>NC_000018.10:47019912-47320578 GCF_000001405.40 Homo sapiens | reverse complement strand
AGCCCTTACTGCTCTGGGAACCTCTTCTGTCTTGCATGCACATGCCCAGTCTGTCCTTCCGCAGCAGATGCTAACCAGGAGCCATGCACTGTTCAGAAGGCAGCTTTTAGGTGGGGGCAAGAACAAGAGCAGTGGAAAGTGGCTGGCCTGCATGGGAGTCATAGCCTGAGGTGGAGGGTCTCCGTGATAGTACCAGCTGTGACCTTGGCCAAGTT
Organism: Homo sapiens; assembly: GCF_000001405.40. Lineage (NCBI taxonomy): Eukaryota > Metazoa > Chordata > Mammalia > Primates > Hominidae > Homo > Homo sapiens. The sequence goes on along the minus strand of NC_000018.10, from coordinate 47,320,363 downwards.
ACTTCGCCTCCCTGATTTTCTCATCTGAAATATTAGAACTAGAGCTGTCCTTGGAAAATTATTTTGAGCAACAGAACACTTTTTCTCAAAATTATATAATAAATGAACCACAATAAGATAATAATGGGAGTAACCTGGTTGAAGCTATTGTGGAGGATGGTGAGAATCTAAGATCCAGATGCTGCAGACAGTTGAAAAAAGGAGGTACAAAGAACTGAGCTAATGGGCAGTTTCCATAGACAGAACTCAGATAGACAGAACTCTGTCTCAGAGACAGAACTGAGATGCCAAGCCCAGGCAATCTCGCTCAAAGCCTGGGAACCCAATATTGCACCCTTCTATCTTCCTTGCAGGAGCCAGGCTAATGCTTCAATTAAGACAGCACATTTACAACAAGCCATCAGACACAAAAGTTAAGGTTAAATTGGCAATAATCTCCCACATTGGCCCGTGCTGAATGAGAGACTGCTAGGTAGGCAGATATAAATATAGACTTTATTATACCACATCACAAGGCAGGGGAGTTAATGTTGCTGGGAGAACATTCATTTCCACATTTTCTTACTTTTACGTGTCTTAATTTGCAACTTAATGTGGTATTATCATAATTTTTTGCATTATGTAATGATTAAAGTGAGGCGTATCATATTTATTGATTTATTTGATTTATTTAAAATGTAACCATTGCCCCAGGGCAGGTGCATGTATAAAATACAAATGCAACAGTTAAACTGGATCCAGCAGATAAATTCCCCATTAAGAAAAGACATTTCAGGACTGTCAAGACAATGAGAAATGTCTTCCCAGCATCATCAGGAGAGAAGGAATCCTGAGGGGTCATCTGGTCCAACCCCCTGCCTTAGGCAGAATTGCTCCTAATCCCCCAAGACTGAGAACCAACTGAGATTTCTGACAATTTTCTAGGGAGAGCCACATTCTACCATATTCTCCCACTTCTGTTTTCAATCCCAAGACCAATATATCTTCTCTGGGTCAATCTCTTTGTCCCTGGAATCCATTTCCCCAACATCTCACTCCTTTAGTTTATAGTCACCCCACTCTCAAAGTCTATACCTCATTCCATTTCTTATTTATTCATTTTTCATTCCACACTCTCACCTCCTAAAAGACTCATGTTAGAACATCAGGTTCTCAGACAATCTCAGCCTTCCAGTGAGGTGAACTGACCCAGCATGCCACTCACAGCAGGAACTGCTAGGCATCAAGTCTTGGCTAGAGCCTTCCAAAACTGAGGCACCCACTGTTGATGGAAGGCTTTCATTCTGAGTCTGACACTGTGGGGACACCCATTCCCTGTAACTCTCTTCTAGCCCAGTCTTGAACCCCATTCTTTTCTCCATTCTTTTATGAGGGCTTAGAATCTTGGATTGAATTACATTGAGATTGTGTTTCAAAGTCCTCCCTCCACTTAGCAGCCCAAACAGCCAAAACATCCTGAGCAGCGAAGACCCCATGTGCCCTCCTCACCCTTCCCTATCCACAGTCTCGCTATTCCTCCTGTGTGCTTCCATAGTGAGGCCACCAAGCCTTGTCCCAAACAATATCTACACTTCAGTTTCCACTCTACAAAATGGTCTTTCCTTTTTTTTCTTTGGTACAGAGTCTAGCTCTGTCACCCAGGTTGATGTGCAGTGGCACAATCTCATCTCACTGCAACCTCCACCTCCCAGGTTCAAGCAATTCTCCTATCTCAGCCTCCTCAGTAGCTGGGATTACAGGTACCCGCCACCAAGCCTAGCTAATTTTTTTTTTTTTTGTATTTTTAGTAGAGAAGGGATTTCGCCATGTTGGCCAGGCTGGTTTTGAACTCCTGACCTCAGGTGATCTGCCCGCCTCAGCCTCCCAAAGTGTTGGGATTATAGGCATGAGCCACCATGCCTGGCCTCTTTCATTTTAATAATAGTAAGATTATCACTAATAGTATGATTACTATCATTGGAGGTAACACTTAGGGAATGGCTACTACACAGAAACCAGAGTCAGTCACAGGCCTATCAACTGATGATGTCTGTCTTACCCAAGTCAACCTTTGAATTTATAGAGTGGATGTGTCAGACTGGATAAGAGGCTCTCAAATGTTTACTTTTGGTCTTTCTTTCAATAAAAGCTTACCTTATCAAAATCAGGTGGTAAAACAGCGCAACAGGAGCTGCTTGTCCTTCAGAACTCAGCTTCAATATCCCTTTCTCCAAGATTTCTCTAGCATTTCCAGACTAGGTCAAGGCTCCCAGCTCTATGCTCTTATTGCACCCTGTACATCTCTTTCAGTTCCTTGTCACAACTGTCTTTACATAACTCATCAAGCAACTTGTTTAGTTTCTGAATCTCACTTTACACTGTCAGCCCACAAGGGCTGGTGTCATGACTGTCTCATTCACTGCCATGTTCTTAGGGTTTAGCAAAGTACAAGACTCTTACTGAGTTTTCAATAAATATGGAAGGAAAGGAAGGGGGAAGGAAGGGAGGAAGGGAAGGAGAGAAGGAGGGAAGGATATTTTCCAATTATGTACTCCCACTGCTTCCCAAGAGAAACCCTACTTTGGTGATCTCTTCAGCTGGATTGTAAGCAGTATGAGGGCTTTCTCCATATTCATAGTTAGTGCTTTTCTTCAAAGCCCCTTCAATATGACAGCCAGCATTTTATTCTCCATAGGACTGTCTCACCAGAGGAAGCATAGGCTCAGCATGAGGAGACTTTTAGGCATGCACCTCAAGTGCCAAACTCCTTTCTTCCTGTTCTACTGGTGCATCTGGGGATGGGAAGGAGAGCTGGGGGCCCACCTTGTCTCCCCAGCTATGCTGATGCCCACGAAGTGCTCCTTACCTGCTGGGGGTCCACCAAGAGTCTATGATGACATGTCCTGGATTTCAGCTCACCTGCCTTCCCAAGGATCACAGTCCTTGGCTGCAGGGATATAGAAGGGGAAGTTCTTCCAGAGCAAGCAAAGGTAGGAATTACCTAGGCTAAGGCTGGGGTGGGGCTGTAGAGAGGAGAAGAGTCTTCCAGGTGAGGGAGCAGGCAAAGACAGCATTGCCAAGAAATAGGAGGATTTGAGAAGTTAAGAGGAGAAAGTAACAGGACTTGCTACCTTAACTTGAAGGTCAGACTAAGGCCCCAGGTCACAACCTGCAAGATGAAATTAAAGATAAACAAAAAGTATTGCAATTAACTTAAACAAAACAGTGACTGTTACACAGGTGCTAACAGGGAAGGACAGTGGTTTTCACTGAAAACGTGGGTGTGGGCGAGTTTGTCAACTCACCACAAACTTTTTTTTTTTTTTTTTTGAGATGGAGTTTCACTCTTGTTGCCCAGGCTGGAGTGCAATGGCATGATCTCAGCTCACCGCAACCTGTGCCTTCCAGGTTCCAGCGATTCTCCTGCCTCAGCCTCCCTAGTAGCTGGGATTATAGGCATGTGCCATCACGCCAGGCTAATTTTGTATTTTTAGTAGAGACGGGGTTTCTCCATGTTGGTCAGGCTGGTCTCGAGCTCCCTATCTCAGGTGATCCGCCCGCCTCGGCCTCCCAAAGTGCTGGGATTACAGGCATGAGCCACCGCGCCCGGCCTAACTCACCACAAACTTAATATGAATTAACAATGTAATATAATTACTAAAAAAGAGAGCAAATTAAAATCTTAATGTGGTGTTAACAAAATTTTAACATCCCTATCTGGGAAAGTGTTAGCCCCAGCAGTGCTTGCAGCCCCTTCCTCTGGCCTCCACATTTTAAAAGGAGCATTGAACCTGGTGAGTATCCAGAGAAGTGGAGTGGGAAGGTGCTGGGAGCTTCCTTCTATGAGGAATGGTGGAATCAGAAATTCCCTGGGGCTCCTTGCAAGAACTTCAATATTCTTTGATGGAACTGATTTCTTTTTAAATCACTAGGAGTTCCCAATGGCCTCATCACTTATATGAACTCCAGGGCTTCTGAATTCCAGGGTCTTTGCTGAGGTGCGAATCAAAGATGTAAAAGATGTAGCATGTGCAAGTGGTGAGAGTTGGTGGAGACCACGGGGCCTCCTCCTGTCTGCCATTCCTCCCCTTCTCCCAAAGTGGCCCTCTGATGGGGTAGAAGTCCTTTACAGCTCTCCTTAATCCATCTTCCTCTGACCACAGCTTCCAAAGCTGCATGATTGACTCTTATTTGCCTCTAACTTCCAACTTTCTGGCTTCTTGTGCAGAAATATCTGATGAGAGGAAAGAGCCAGGCTCTGCATGCTGACAATGCCAAGGGCCTCCTCCAAATGAATTTCCACTGCAGATATTTAATGAAGTAATGGGGAAACCAGGAAGGTAGTGATCGGGCCAAACCTCCACAACCAGGACTCAAAATAAAAAACTTTTTTTTTTCAACATCTACGGAGAGTTTCTGAACATTCAGATTACCAAGGACACTAAGGTCAGATTAACCCCACCTATTTCATTCACACATGGATCCTTGGGTCCACTGATACGTGAACACCAAGAAAGTCCTCGTTCTACTCATTCAGCAGACATTTCTGAATAACTTATATTCATTCCTCCCTATGCCAGAGGCTTAAAAGAGAATAAGAAATAGCTCTTCTCACACATGGCTAGTAAAGGCAGTTTGATTACTTTGGAAAAGTGTTTGGCAGTATCCACTAAAGCTGAGCATATGCATGCCCTGTTACCTGGCAATCCCACTGTTAGGCATAGGCCCTATAGAAGCACATACAAAGGTTTACCAAAAGACCCATGCTAGAATATTCATAGCAACACTATTTGTAATGGCTAAAACTGTAAACTACCCAAATGCCCATCAGCAGTAGAGTAAATAACTAGATTGTGGTATATTTCCACAGTGGATTATTGTACAGCAATGAGAATGAATAACCTACAGCCACACACAAGAGTATGGATGAATTTCATAAATGGAAAGCCAGACACAAACAAGTTCATACTTTATGATTCCATTTACATAAAGTGCAAAACTAGGCAAAACTCATCTATACTTGGGAGTCAGAGTGGTAGCTGCCTTTGTGGCTAGAGGAGGCTAGAAGGCGGCATGGCAGGGGCATCAAGGCACTGGTGATGTGCATTCCTTGGTCTGGGCACTGGTCACATAGGTGTGTTCAGTTTGTAAACATTCAGCAAGCTATATACTTAGAATATGAGTATCTTTCTGATGCATGTTAAGCATAAGTTAAAATTTTTAAAAACCCACAAATTTGGTCTAGGAGCACAGAGTTTATTGGGCAGATAAGACATAGAAGTGACAATAGATATCATCTTAGCTCCAGCTGCCATAACACAATACCATAGACTGGGTGGCTTAAACAGCAGCAATTTATCTCGTGGTTCAAGACCATGAGAAATGTCTTCCCAGCATCATCAGAGAGAAGGAATCCAAGAGGTCATCTGGTTCAACCCTCTGCCTCCAGCAGAATTGCTCCTAATCCCCCAAAACTGAGAACCAACTGAGCTTTCTGACAATTGTCTAGGGAGAGCCACATTCCACCATATTCTCTCCTTTCTGTCTTTTTCAGTGGTAGTTGGAAGTCTGAGATCAGGGTGCTGACACTGCTGGGTTCTGGTAAGGGCCCTCTTTCTGGCTTGCAGATGGTCACCTTCTCACTGTGTACTCACATGGCCTTTCCTCAGGGGTGGAGTGGGGGAGAGAGGGAGAGGGAGAGGAAGAAACAGAAAGGAAGAGAGAGAGAGAGGAAGAGAGAGGAAGAGGAAAAGAGAGAGAGAGGAAGAGAGAGGGAGAGAGAGGGAGAGAGGGGGGGGAGAGAGAGAGAGGAAGAGAGAGAGAGAGGAAGAAAGAGAGAGGAAGAGAGAGAGAGGGAGAAAGAGAGAGAGAGAGATCTTCCTCTTATAAGGCCACCAATCCTATCAGGTTAAAACCCCATCCTTAAGAACTCATTTAACCTTAATTACCTGCTAAATTCCTGTCTCCAAATATAGTCACTTTGGAGCTAGGGCTTCAACATATGAATTGAAGGGGTCCCTAGCAAGTATCATGCAATAGCAGCAGTCAATGAAATACAGAAGCTATCACTAGACAGCATGGGATACAGGCCATGTGGAAGTTATAGAGAATAAGTGCAAAGATGAGCTTACCAAGGGCTGATGTAGTAAGGATCCTCTTCCTGGAAGGGGAAAAACTTGGGAGTCTTGTTGGAAGAGCAGAGAGAGGAGCTGTTCACATGAGAGGCTAAGGAACTGGAGGGAGAAGCACAGTATGTTCAGGCTGCAGGAAGATGTGCTGGACAATAGCAGCTTTTTGCAAAACGAGTCATCTTATGCCAGCTGGGTATGGAAGAGTGAACAAAGCAGAGGCTGGAGAAGAGGCCAGGAACTGGAAGTCCCGTTGAAGTGGAGGCAGGCGGTCAGCAGGCAGGCAGTCAGGGATGTCCTGTGCCAGGGGCTGGATGATGGGCAGGCAGAGAGCATGAGGGGAGACGTGTCCAGCAGTGAATATGAGGATGGGGGTGGGAAGAGACTGCAGCAACAGCACACAACAGAGGCAGGTTGGGGCCAGACTGAAGTGGGGCTTGCATGCCACACCAAAGGATCTGATCCTCATCTCATGGGTACTTTTAGGGAAAGGCTACATAGATGATTAGCTCACAAAAAGGAGGCCTGTCCATGCATTGGCTGGCAGCCATGCTCATACTATTTGAATGATATAGCAAAAACTGCCTCTGCTGAATAAGAAATCTTGTGCCTCAGCTGCATTTATGAAAGCTTATCCCATCATCACTCAATCATTTTAATGAAGAATTTGTCCTAGGATCACAGACTCCTCAGGTTGTAAGGGCCTCAGAGTCCCTAGTCCAGCATCCCCTGACTTAGTCCTGCCATTCACTAAGGGGTTAAATGAGTTAAATCTGCACTTAGATCCCTGTAGAAACACTTACAATTACATTTGACACGATTTTCAGAATGTCCTGTTGGTAGTGTTAGCAGCTCTGTTGGAGGAGCAGATGTCTGGCTTGTTAGATCCCAACCTAACAGGTAGCTTGAGACAATGGCAAGTGTCCACTCAGAAGCAATGTGGTGCTACAGAATGATGTTGCCTTCCATCCTGAAACAAAAGGAATGTCTCTCTAAACAGCCATATCACAGGCTGAGTTTAATTTTTAAGTGCTTACAACATGGTGTCTTGATCTCCTCCCTGCCAACAGTCTTCAGCCTCCTGGCTCTACCTCCAACAGGATAACCTCAAAAAGGTTATAAATTGACATCACTAAGGCCCAAAGACATGGCAGGGAAAACCCTCCCTGCAATACTGCGTTAATAATACTGAACTCTTGCTTAAGGGTTTGATTTCTCTCAAAAACACTCATTCCAGGAGACTTTACATTGCCGAAGGAATTTATTTGCCAGCAGTCCTCCTTTCAGGGAGACAGGACAGGTGAACCTTGACCGCTCTGCATTCTTGAAATGCGTTCTTCCCTCTTGGTTTTCCTCCTACCTCCCAGGCCTCTTCTTCTCTGTCCGTTCATTGGTACCTGCTCCTCTGCTTGCCATCTCAGTATTGGCCAACTCAGATCTCAGCCTGGGGGTCTTTTCTCATCTCCATTTATACTGTTTGGATGAGCTTATTCAGACCCAAATCTAACTATTTCCAGTGCCCCTATGACTGCCAGGCATGTGTCTTCAGGCTCCTGAGGAGAGACTCATGCATCCTCTGGCTCCCTGGCATGTGCACCTGCTGTTGGCAGCACCTGGGGCAAACCCCAGCTAATATCACTTCCCAGCTTCTTTAGATTAAAAGCAATGTCCTGAAGTTGCCCTTCAATGCTGTACATGAGCTGGCCCTTTTCTGTGTCTCCAATGTCACCTCTGGCCACCCCCTCTCTCACTTCTGTTAACTCTCCAGCTCCTTCCTCCATAGGGCCTTAGTGCTCATTAACACCCCTGCTGGAATGTTCTACCCCAAGACTTCAAGTACCAGGCTGCTGCTTGTCATTCTGACTCACCTAAATGTCACCTTGCTAAGAAGTCTTCCCTGCCCTTCCCATCTCCACTCACCGACTTCCTATCTCATGGCCCTGTTCGGTATCTTCACAGCATTCCCCACTGTCTGAAATGAGCTTGTTTGTATATTTGCTCACTAGTTTATCCCACTGCCTCTTCCTCTAAACTACAGTCTCTGGGAGTGCACAGATCTCACCTGTCTCATTCAACACCCTATCCCCAGTACCAGAAACAGGACCTGCATGTAGACAAAGCTGAATATATGTTTGTGAAGGAATAAATAAAATCATCTGAAGAGAGTAGAGAAAAAGCATCACAAAGGGAGGAAGACACTGAAGACCAACCTCCCTCACTTTCCAATGTCCCTAGGGACCAGCTTTGTTCTACAACATGAGTGGAGGACACAGGTGCAGACTGTGAAAGGCCAGGAACTAGAGACCTCCAGTGCAGCCACAGAGCCCACAGCCATAAGAGCACCCTCCAAAGAATCAGCAAAGACAGATGCAGGCCCATCCAGGGCAAATGAAGATTTAGAAGAATTGTGCCATTTCTTCACATGGCCAGAGGCCATGGACTCTGGGAAGAGAGAGTTTGCAGAGTTCCCTGTGCCTTGCACATGCGCATTCCCTCCTGAATACTTTCCTTTCCTTCCTCAGCAGGCTGTTTCCGCTCTTCTGCTACAGGCTGATCAATGACCACTCAAAAGATATCAAAAACTAATCCCTGGGACCTATGAATGTTATTTTTACAGGAAAAAAAAAAGTCTTTGCAGATGTAAGGATCTTAAAAAAGGGGAGATGATCCTGGATGATCCAGGTGGGCCCTAAGTACAATCACGTGTTCTTACACAAAAGACACAGAGGGAGACTTTACTCAAACCAAAGAGGAGAAGGCAATGTGAAGGCTGGGGCCAAGAGTGGAGCCACAAGCCAAGGAATGCCAGCAGCCACCAGACACCAGAAGAGGCAAGAAATGGACTGTTTCCTGGAGCCTCCAGAGGAAACATGGCCGGGCCAACACCATGATTTCAGCCCCACGAAACTGATTTCAGACTTCTGGCCTCCAGAATTGTGAGAATAAATTTCTGTTGTTTAAAGCCACCAAGAGGGTGGTAACTAGTGAAAGCAGCCACAGAAAATGAATACAGATTGTTAATATGCAGCTGAATACCTCCTCCTCTTGAGTGTCACCCTCATACTGCCCCCTAGGCTAGGCAGGGACCCTGCCACAAGGCTCCCGGTGCATTAGGGTTAATCCATGTATCTGCCATCCTCATCAAGCTGTTAATTCCCTGGGGACAAGGGCTGTGCCCTCTCACCACTCAGTGAGTGCATAAGACCCAGTAGCTACTCCATCAACATTGAATGCAACTGAATTAAACCCCTACAGTTGTCCAACAAAGAAGTGGACTGGCACAGGAAGTGGTGGGCTCCTCTTCACTGAGGAACCAGACCAGGCCAGGCCGTCCATCTCTGTGAACAAAAAAAAAAAAACCCAAAGTGAAATCCTTTATGTACCAATGTAAAAAGAAATCTAAAATGCATTAAGTGAAAGAAGTGGCATGTGGAGCAATATGCCTAGAATGCTTCATTTTGTACAGAAAGTGGGTGAGAGGAAAGAAGAATCTCTATCAATATTTGCTTTCATGAGACACTCTGAGAGGGTACCACAGACCCCATAACAGCGGTAACACAGTGGAGGGGAATGCACTAATGAGGTATGGGAAGATTTGTCACTGTAGTGCTTTTTACATTTTTATATTAAATAAAATTAATTTTTAAGCACTCTCCAGGTAATTCTAGTGAGCACTTTCAGGAAGCAATGATTTGGGGCAAACGTGGGAATGTTTGCCCCAAATCATTCATGGTGTCCATTCTGGTTGGTGGATACCAGGGAACTGACACTTGCATCTTCATGTAATCAATACCCCAGGATGAAGTTCATGCTAAAATATGACTGGACTTACCAAAGTCCTATATAAATTCCTGGCCAATGTGTCTAGCATAGCTAACCAGGAGAAGCGCTGCCTGAGCCTGACGTCACAGCTAGCTGGTGCCAGAACCAGGAGAGGTCCACACAGAAAACCTCAAGGAGGAACCCTGGGCCTCAGTGATGGCCAGTGTGGTCTTTCCGGTATTCTAATGAAAATCCCTTTTCCCATCTAGTGTCATGGGCATCTCTCCCAGGTGATTACTGAATATCCACTTTCTCCTGGAGATACACAAAGACATCATCCCATCACTGTTTCTGCCATTATCTTGTGTGAGTCATCCTCTCCCACCTACCCCATCTGCCACGCCTTCCTGTCCCCATCCCAGCTCCAAGCCACAAAGAGATACCCAGTCACAGAGCTGGTCACCTGGGACTTGGACTGAGCAAATTACATGTTTTTTTTAAAAAAAAAAGTCAGAATGAAGCCCTAAGGGTTCAATCTTTCCTTACCATTGTTGGAACAGATGGGGAAGGACTGCCTCATGAAAGGCAGATTAGCCTGCACTGGGATCAGCAGGGCTGGGCGAGGAAGGATCTGGGCCGGAAGGGGCCAGGAGGAGGCAGGATGGATGTAGGGAGAGGCAGACAATGGTTATGGGCTCCTCCAAGGTGGGAGGTGGTCAGCTGAGGCACAGCTCCCTCTAACTGCTGCTTTCATTTGCTCCAGCCCAGCTTCACCTGCCCCCACATGCAAGGACCCCACGTGCTAACACATGCGCACACTCATACACACACAGGCACACATTAACAAAGCATTCACTAGCACAAGCACATGTCCATGAACCAACAAGCACATCAAACACAAGGGAAGCAACGTTCAGGCCCAGAAGTCAGTTTTGTTCCAGGCTATTCTCGTCCTAGTCTGCCACTAGCTGTACCACTTCAAGTAGATCATTCCTTTCTGGCCCAAATCACTCTCTGGACCAGTATCCTCATCTGTCATTAAATTTTCCAATATTGGCTTCATGATGCTTCCAGAACCCAACTGCTTCTCATCACCTCCACTGATATGCCCCCATCCAAGCCACCCTCCCTCTTGCCTGGATTACTACAACAGACACCTTACTGATCTCCTTGCTCCACCCTTTGCCTCCTACAGTCTATTTACTCACCAGCCAGAGACACCATTTTAAATCCATGCCAGATCATGCCACCCTTAGCTCAGAACCCTGCAGTGACTCCTGTCTCACTCAGAGCAGAAGCCAGAGTCCTTGCAAAGACCTGCAAGATCCTTTGTGGTGCTCCACTGTCAGTGCCTATCGTCTCTCTGATCATCTCCTACCTGCCACTCTCCCCGGCCCCACCAGCTATACCTCAAATTTGCCAGGCCAGGATCCATCTCAGGGCCTTTGCACATGCTGCTCACACCCCCAGAAATGAATGTTCTTCCCTCAGAAGAACCTCAAACCAGTGTGTAAGTCCCATGAGGCCAGGGATTTTAATCTGTTTTGTTCAATGTTAATCTCCCCTCCCTTTCACAGGGCCTGGCATGTTTAAGGTGCTCCAAAAATGTTTTTTGACTATTAAATTGGTAGGGGAGGGGAGAGAAAAGGCAAGAATTGCAAGAAATTATCATTAAAGTCTCTGTCAGTGCATCCCACGAGTCTAAGCCCAATATCTGCCACAGGGCAGCTCTGACCCCATGCCCATCTCCCAGCATCTCTGGCCACCTGCCAGGCACCCATGCCGGCTCCTCTCAATTGTGGGCCACAGTCTGGGAACGCCTCTGCTGCCCAAAGCCCTGTCTGTCTCTGAATTTGGGAGGCTCTGGATGGGAAAAAGAAGGGAGATAATTCCAAGAGCTGATCCTCTTACCCATGTTACACACCGAACCAAGACTTTCAGAAGAGCAGGTTGGTAAGTGTGACAGGAGTAAACACAAGGCAAATAGATCAGAAAAGTGATCCATCACTAACCAATAGAGAGGTGAGATTCAAGCTGGGTCTTCTAGGGAAAAGGATCTGGTTCTTCTGCAGAGAAAACTGATGCACAGAGAACCACTAGGCCAAAGTCAAATGCTTTGCATTTGGCATCTGTCTTTTCTAGGATGCAGCCAAGGCATATGAAGTATTGTTTCCATGCAGTTCAGCAGCCACTTCTGATAATAACCGACATGATAGTGGCACTGTTTCACAATTCTGTAGGCTTTTTATTTTCATATTTGTTACTATATTTGCTTTCACAATAGTCTTCTACCACAAAAAGAAGATATTATCTGTGTTCTATAAATGGGGAAAAAGAGACAAAGTCAGGCTTTGCAACTAACTTGCATCACAGACTGGGGTTGGGTCCCACTTCTGGCCCCAGCAAGAGCCAGTCAGTAAAATATATATTATGCTACATAGTGATAACAGCACTGACTCTAACCATCCATCCATAAAGGGCCAGAACCACTTCCCAGCCTGATAGGCCCTTCTGAAGCCAAGAGGTGGCCTCTAAGACTTAAGGTGGGCTGCTAGTTGCTGAGCATCGCATTGCCACCAGGGTTCACAGCAGACATGAGGCATAAACCTAGATAGTGCAACAGTCTCCTGTTCAAGAAGCCCCACTCCTATGACAGCACCATGGCTGGGCAAGGAGGTGGAGTCACAGTCCCCAGAACTCCCACAAAAATACACATTTGGGCAATACAGACTAAGTTACCATACAGTAGTTACTGTATGACATGAGATTCAAGGCAGTGTTACCTTGAATCTAAGGAGGCAAATCCAAAATGAGAAATTCTCAGTGAGTAGTTGGTAGGGAAAGGTATGATAAACACAGATGCACCACCCAGATCCCCTTTCAAGAATGACTAGTGACACAGCTGCCAGGAACACAGTTATAGGTCAGCCCTCTGCTGTCAGCCCCTCCAGGATCACTTCGGCTGCAGAGAGCCACGGGGCCCCAAGTCACATCCTTCCAAGGGCAGCCCATATCTAATGACAAATGAAGGTAGGACTGTAAAGGCCAGGCTATTTCCACCTAATATGGAACAACTCTGATGAGCCATTTTAGCCCCAGAGCTCCCCCTGGGATCAGCCAGGTTACAGCTGGTGTGCATCACAGACCAACTTCTATGCCACGGGAATTCTACCAGTGAGCTCCTTTCTGAAACTAACAGTGTCATAGATGGAGTGGTGTGGCCCTCAGAACAACCTCACAATGGCTCCAGCTGCTGGGTCTACCCGAGCCTGACTTTTCCCCATGACCAACCTCAGAGGTGCCTGTTACCATGGCTCCTTAGTCTATGCCCCTTCTCCACCCTGCTCCCTCCCTCTTAGTGGGGGAACCCTCATCCTTTGTTTTATAAGTTGCCCCCAGGAAGCAGAAGATATTGTTTACCAGCACAATTCATTGGAATCAATTGTTCCTACTGCAGAGCCAGTTAGACAAAGAAAGGGCAGGGTAATAATTATCTACGACCAGATGGCAGCCAGCAGCCAACCCAGAAGGAATTAGATTTCCCATCCAGACCCTATTGGTGCCCTAGGAAACATTTCACCCTTCCCCTCCGACTCCCCAGAGCACCTCAAGATAACTTTTGCTTGATAAGAAGTCCCCCATGATAGGAGGGAATTGGGTAGAAAAAAAAAAAAAAGCCACCTCAGGGTCAAAAGACTTAGCTTCCAGTTATCCAACACTCTGTTGGGTATAGGACCCGAGGCAGCTCACTTCCTTTCTCTTGTTCAGTTTCTTCATTTGTAAAAGAAAATAACTGATTCCTGTTTCAATAAGGATGCTCTCAGCTGCAAGTAGCCAAAATCCTCAATTCAAGTTGACTTAAGTCATAAGGAAAACTGTCATCTTACTCAGCAAGATCAAAGGTGGAGACCCCAGCTTCAGCTCAATGATGCTGCTGAGGCCCTAGTGTCTTTCCCTTGCTCAGCTCTGTCTTCCTCTTGTCAGATATAATATCTGTCCCCTCGTGTTCACAAGATGGTTTCCAGGGACAGTAGAGCTGGGTGCTTCCTCGTTCCCACACAGCAGGAGCGGGGAAAAGAATCTTCCCCTGGTGCAACAGCAGTCCTTTCCTTCAATCTGATTGGGCCAACTTGCCCATCTCCAGACCCATTACCACAGCCAAGGGGATGCCAGGCTCTGATTAGCCAGGAGTCATGAGGATCCTCCTCTGAAGCTGGAGATGGTGTCAACTGGGCCCATTTGAAAGAAGGAGTAGAGAATGGAGACTCCATACTTCCCCTGTATATCACAAAATAGTGTGTGGTTTGTTTACAGATTTACCATCTGACACCTCCAGGTGATGTGCAGAATAAAGTTGTGAAAGCCATCTCTCATTGCAAGGTATTATAAAGAGCAAAATGAGAAGAGCTGAATAAAAACCAAAGTTATATTGGAGATATGCCTTACTTATTGTGGTTTTCTTCTGGGGCAATTTAATCTTTGTTCCTATGGACCTGACAGGATTTTCTTGGTTCCTGCCGTTCAGGGACTTTGTGTGATTTGCCCAGAGCAGACACTGTTGACTACCCACTCCACAAAAAAAAAAAAAAAAAAAAATTTCCTCTAACCCTGCACATATACACTCATCTACTTTTTGTGACTGACAGTTTCCATTTTGTTTCGGTGTCACTTCCTACCAGGCCATATGTTCAGGAAAGGTGGCCCTTCTCCTCAGACCACCAAGGAATCAATCATAATAGGTCTAGACCAATCACAGTTGTCTCAGTCCCTTCAACAATTATTAGTTTAGGGCAAACATGTGATCCAATCTTGGGCAGTAGGACCTGAGAAAATGTCAGCTGAGAAACTTCAGCCAATAAAGAAGCAAATGGGAGGAAACATCTTTTTTCTGGGAGTCACTTAATGTATATGTGATGTCTGGTACCACAGCAGTCATCTGTGGCCATGGGGGAACCTGGTAAGGTGGGTAGGTCAAACAGATTGCAGAGGCTGAGATGGCATTGAGCTGCTGAACCACACACCTCTGGAACTGCCATAACTCTGGATACCTTGTTCCATAAGCTTAAAAAAAAAAAAAACAAACAAAAAAAAAAAAAAAAACCTCATTAGGTGTTAAGTTTAATTTAGTTTATTTTCATTTACTTGCAGTTACTTGCAGCAAAAAGCTCCCTAGTGATAAAAACTGGCATTGGGTGTCAGGCTCCCTGGTCCTAAGTTGTGTGATATTCTCAGTCACACCACATATTAGCTGCCTCAAATGGAGTCCCAAAGAAAACCCTAACACACTCAAAGTGTTAACTCATAAAGGAAGTTAGAAGGCCCAGTTTGGCCCCTGTATCATATCATGGGGTATTAGTGAGGAGAAGTAGATTGATCATTTTACCAAGTTGGGGAAAGTGTAAATTGAAAATCAAGGGGAAAGAAATACATTCACTCAAGAGAAGCCTCTGCTTTTGCCAGATGAGAGTTGAGTTCTCAGACCAAGGAAGCTAAAAGAAAGGCAAGATTTTTCCATGCAAGTGTGGACACTAGGAATCCTCTGAACAAATACTACTGGCCTTGTCTGCAGGGACATTGCCTCTCACACTAAGGATGAGAGTCAGGGGACACAGGTTTTAGTTCCAGCCTTACCACTACTTTTTTTTTTTTTTTTTTTTTTTTTTTTGAGATAGAATCTTGCTCTGTAACCCAGGCTGAAGTGGCTGAAGTGCAGTTGTGTGATATCTTGGCTCACTGTAACCTCCACCTCCTGGGTTCAAGCAATTCTCCTGCCTCAGCCTCCCAAGTAGCGGAGATTACAGGCAGGCACCACCATGCCCAGCTAATTTTCATATTTTTAGTAGAGATGGGGTTTCACCATGTTGGCTAGGCTGGTCTCAAACTCCTGTCCTCAGGTGATCTGCCTGCCTCAGCCTCCCAAAGTGCTGGGATTACAGGTATGAGCCACCACGACTGGCCCCAACCTTACCACTACACTACTTAAATTGTTGTCCAGAAGCAAGATGTTCACTACAGTGGGACTCAGTTGTCTCACCCAACAAAGGAGTTTAGTATTCCACCCTAGTGTATCCCCAGGGCTGTTTTGAGATCACATTAGTTTATAACGAAAACAGCTCTCTCCCCACATTTTTTGATGTGTCCAATGTATCAGGCAGTGTTCTCAGCATCCATATCTTTGTTAACTCACTGAATCCTGACAACAACCCCATAATGTAGGACTATCATTATCCCCACTTTACAGGAGGAGACTGAGGCATAGAAAAGCTAAGTAACTTGCCCGAGATCACAGAGCTAAGTGGTAAAACTAAGACTGGAACTCAGGCAGAGGCTGTGCTCTATGGCATGATGCTGTATGATACAATCACCATATTAAAAAATCCCCAAGAAAAGAAGGTCACCCATGACCCTCAATGGCAATAAATCATTGCTCCCATGGTAGCTTGTCAAGGGGAGAGGTCAGCTGATGGTTCTCTCTAGTAACAAGCCCCTGGGATGCTGCATCTTCAGAGGATTCAACTCCCACAGGTTTCTCTGCCATTCTTCCTCTGCCCATCCCTTCTCAGAGGCCAAGGAACCTGGGATCAAGTCTCAGGCCCCTTCCCTGAAACCAGGGTCCACCCCTGTGTTTTCAGATTCTCCCTCCCTCCTCCCACATGTCTTAGCCCATGTTGCTTCCTCTTTACCTTTAACCCGAAGTATGAGTGGGAGAGAAGCAAAGATGATGGAAGTAGAGTTTGTTCTAAGTAAATGATGTTCTCAAAAGCTGAGAACTAACTATTAGACATCCCAGGCAAGTTGCCTGAAAGACATCCACCAAGGTCTAATGTTCCTATAAAAAAGTGCAAGGTACATTCTGGACCATTTAACACTCTAGCTTCTAAGGAAACAAAAAGACGTAATCACCTAATAAGGACTGGTTTTGTAGACACTGATCAAATGCCTCGTGTCTTCATTCTCTGGATTCCTGCTCTCTAGGCCAAATCCAACCCCTGGAACTTTCTGGGCCCAGCAGGCTGTAATGAGCCCAACTGAACTTAATGAGCTTGTCATTATTCATCTCTGCTACAGCCAAAAAGGAGCACTGCATGGCAAAAATTTTACACAAACGCTTATGTATATTACCTAAATAATATAGTATTTCTTGACTCAAGTGTTGCCAAAATCAATCAATCCATAGAAGAGAAACCCTCCCAGAAGCCTCTGACAGGAACAAGATAGGAAAAGGGCAATGGCTTCCCCACTCCCAAAAAGGGGGATGCAGTTGGAAATATTCCATGTTCCCGGGCTCGGATTACCAGCCCTAATTTATCATCAACCTCATATATTCTTATATAAGTAGTAATACAGATCACCCCAGCCAATTAATCAATCTGTAATTAGGAACTGACATGAACATTTACTACCATCAGGCATAATTTATATGATTACAGGTGATTAAATAAAATGTACTTGAGTGAACAGGCAATTTGTTAAGCACATCTAGACGCAGCCATATCACCTAAGGCTGGGAGCGCCCTGACTCCCCTCCGACAGTGGGTCAGGAGGCATGGTCCTGGGAGCGGAGCCCTCAGGGTGGCTCAAGGTAGGGTAAGATGATTCAGACTTCCAAGGGGGCCCAGGTTTGGAGTGTGGTGGGAAACCAAGCCATACAGATTTGTGGGGCGGGGGTAGGGGGTGGGGGGTGCACTTCAGTGCCCAAGTGTTTTCTGCAAAAGAAATACCTGGATTTTCAGAACTCCTGAGACAACAAGGAAGAAAGAAGGAACATTTACATGACATGCCCTGGAGCAAAACTATGCACAATATTTTCCTTCTGGTCCCCTGGCCCCGAAACTACACCCACTGCTCACATGGAAGGACTCCTTCATTTCTTTCCAGGAGCATTTCTAACCATGAAGGGAGACTTATTTAAAGACAAAGTTTATTCTTGCCAGGAAATGCCATCACCGCTGAAAGGAAAATTTTCAATAATATCAAGCACCAAATTCTGCCTTTTCTATTTTATTGCTCCTCTTCAGATTTTATCTCTCAGTTTTATCCCTTCTCTTCTATTCCAGAGGAGAACAGCTTAAAGTTAAATTTAACATATATCTTTTTGGGTGCCAACTATGTATCAGGTACTGTGCTGAGTGCCATCACGTTAGGCTTGCCAGATCTAGCAAATAAAAATACAAGATGCCCAGTTAAACTTGAATTTCATATAAACAATACGTACTTTTTTTAGTATTAATATGTCTCAAACAGTGCAACCTTACGCCACGTTTGTTAGCTCATAATGTTCTCACAACAACTCCATGAAGTGTAATTTGTTTGTTTCCATCAAGGAAACTCACTTCAGTTCCTCGGCTCTTGCTGCTGTCCCCACCAGGGAATCCCTGTCTCATCTACCTTTGCCTGGCTAACCCTTCTCATCCACTGAAATTCAAGGTGAGCTTCACCTCTATCAGGAAGCCATTCCCCACCCTCTCTGATCCCTTAACCACCTATTCATATTTCTGTCACAGCATTTGGATCATTGTTTAATAATTACTTTTTCCATACCCCCTACACACGAGTGGGGCCCCTCAAGACCTGCCTGAGCTGCATTCACCTTTATGACCTCTTTCCTAGCCTCATGCCAGGCATACAGTAGCCCCTACGTGCATTCTAAGACTTGCTCAGGTTTACACAGCTGGCAAGTGATAGCACCTGCTTTCAATCCTGGTTCCACCAGACCCCAAAACATATTTCATTAGCACTACTCTATCTGCTTCTTTACATAAAATATGTGACCCTTGCCCGAGAAACTTTCAGTCCAATTGAAGAAACAATGAGTCCACAAAAAATAAAAAGTACATAACAGAAGATGGAAATGATGAGTGTCTACCCCCAGTACATAACATGCTATGGGAGAACTGGGAGAGGTTAGTTTTTGACTGAGGGGGCTAGGGAAAAAAATAACCTTGACCCCTATCTCACACCATACACAGAAATTAATTTGAGATGGATCATTGAACTAAATATAAAAAGTTAAAACAAAGTTTCAGGAAGAAAGCATAGAAAAATCTCTTCTATGGTGGACAGTCAGTTTTCTTACACATAGCACAGAAAACAATAACTATCAAATTTAAGAACTGACAAATTGGAACTTACCAAAATTTAGCATTTCTGCTTACCAAGAATACCACTAAAAAAGAATAGGCAAATCACACTCTGAAATAAAATATTCATCAGACACATGTCTGATGAAAGGCTGGCATCCAGAATATATACCCACTCCTACAACTCAATAAGATGACAAACAACCAAATTAAAATGGGACTGTAAGGCCTACATACCATTTGATTTCATTTGTATGACATTCTGGAAAAGGCACAACTTTAGGGACAGAAAATAGATCAGTGGTTACAAGTGGAAAGGGGTGAGTATAGACTATATAGGGTGCAAGGACACTGTTGCAGTGACAGAAATGTCCTATATCTTGATTGTGGTAATTGTATGACTATAGATATTTGCAAAATTCTTAGAAAATATACCTACAAGAGATGATTTTTTACTGTATGTAAATTATGCCTCATTAAAACTGACTTTCAAAAATAGGCAAAATATTTCAACAGAGACTTCACAAAAGAAGGTATACCAATGGCTAATAAGCACGTGAAGAAATTCTCAACATCATTTGGTCATCAGGGAAACAAATTAAAGCCACAATATGATACTACTTATATACTCACCAGAATAGTTAGAATTAGAGACTGACAACACCAAATGTTGACAATGATATGGAACAGCCAAAACTCTCACATGTCATTGGTGAGAATGGAGGATGGTACAACCACTTTGGAAAACAGTTTGGCAGTTACAAAACAAAACAATCCTATCACATGCCCCAGAAATTCACTCCCAGATACCTACCCAAGAGAAATGGAAACATGTCCACAAAAAGACTTGTACAAGAATTTATTCATAGTAGTCAAAAACTAGAAAGAGCCCAGATGTCCACCAAGAGGAGAATGAATAGCCAACTGTGCTGTAGTCATACAATGGAAAACAACAACAAAGGAAAAAACAAGTAACAATAACAAAAAAAAACATATTGATGCATGCAGCAACATGGATGAATCTCAATAACATTATATAGAGGGAAATAAAAAGATCTTAATAAAAGAATGAAGTTCCAGAACACACAAAACTAATTTAATCCATGGAGGAAAAAAATCAGAAAAACCGTTGTCCATGGTTGGCCTGGGAGTTGCTGGAGGCAGTGCAGGAAGTGGTCTGAGAACACTTTCTGGGTTAGTAACAATGCTATAGCTCTTGATAGGGGTTTGGAATACCCAGTTGTAAGCATTGGTAACAGTCATAAGATGATACATTTAAGATTTGTTCATTTTATTGTATGTAAATTCTATCTAAAAACATAAATAAGTGGCATGCATGCTGCAATGGTTAGGTTAGAAGTATACTGAAGTCTGAAACTTGCTTTGAAATACACTCCCCAAGCAAGTATGAATTAATGAATGGATAGGCCAGGTGTAGTGGCTTACACATGTAATCTCAATGTTTTGGGAGGCCTAGGCAGGAGGATTGCTTGAGGCCAGGAGTTCTAGACTAGCCTGGGCAACATAGCAAGACCCTGTTTCTATAAAAGAAAAAAGAAGAGCCAGGTGTCATAGTGCCTGCCTTTAGTTTCCACTACTTGGGAGACTGGGGCAGAGGGATTGCTTGAAACCAGGAGTTTGAGGCTGTATCAGCCATGATCATACCACTGCACTCCAGTGTGGGTGACAGTGAGATGCTGCCTCAAAAAAAAAAAAAAAAAAAGATAGATGTAATACACATGTTAAGTCAAATAAAATACTAATTGTAGCATGTAGATAGTGAAGAATAGGAATCAACTAGTATCCTTTCCATTTTTTATGTGCTTGAAAACTGTCATAATCAAATGTTAGGGAGAAAATTGTAAATGAAGAGGGACATCCCATCAGAAGAATAACAGGAACAAAGGCACAGAGGCTACACGTTGCCAGACACATTAAGTTAAAAAAAAAAAAGGAATATTCAATGGGGTGGGAATAATACCACTAATGATAATAATAAGCACTGGGTATCTATGTACCAAATATTGTGCTAAATGCTGGGGACACATTGAAGAAGAGGACAGACTCTTGCTCTGACCTGGGGAAGAGAGGCAATTTAGCAGGCAATGATAACCAAATGTGATAAGTACTGTCATGGGGGCATCTGGGGTGCTTTATGAAGGAGGTCATAGAAAAGTAGAGGGACCTCTTCTATTGCAAAGCCACAGATGAGCAAGAAAGACAATTTGGTAATTTCTTACAAAACAGTACAAACAGAGCTTTCTACGCAAAGCCTTGTAGAGAGAGACTCAGAGACATGTTCTAGATTTTCAGAGGGAGAATAACAAGAAATGAGGCTGGAAGGGTAGAGGTATATAGAAGGCAAATTACGGAGGCCCTTAAAAGCCATGTACAGGAATTCAAAACTTACTGAAAAGAATTGGAGATCAACTGAATGCCTTTGAGCAGAGTAGTGACAGAACAGCAACATGATAGATTTGATATTCTGTTTTGGTGTGGAGAATGGATTCAAGGAAGAGAGACAATAGGTAAGAACAGAGGACTGGTGGAGGAAAGGAGAGATGATTGCTGTTGGACATCAACAACAGCATCCAGGATGCACCAGGAGGGTAGAATCAGCAATGATTTGGAGGAGAAAAAGAAGTAACATCTATAACAAATCTATAATAAAAAGACAAGAAACTATGAAACAAAAAACAGTAACTCCTACAACTCAACAAAAAGACAATCTAATTTCAAAGTGGGCCATTTGGGCTGACATTCCTTCAAAGAAATATACAAATAGCCAATAAGCTCATGAAAAGATGCTCCATGTTAGTCATTGGGAAAATGCAAATTGTATTCATCTGTTAGGGGTAACATAATAAAATATCACAAACTGGGTGCCTTATACAACAGAAATATGTTTTCTCACGGTTCTGGAAGCTGGAAGTCTGAGATCAGGGTACAGCAGGGCTGGGCTCTGGTGAGGGCCCTCTTCCTGGCTCATAGATGGCTGTCTTTTCTGTGTCCTCACCTGGCGTTTCCTCCATGCATGCATGGAGAGAGATAAAAATGAGCTCTCTGGTATCCCTTCTTATAAGGACACTAATCCTAGAGGAGCAGGGCCTCACCCTTACAGCCCTACTTAGCCTTAATCATTTCCTTAGAGGCCCTATTTCCAAATGCCACCACACTGAGGGTTAGGGCTTGAGGGGTCAGAGGTGGTGGGGAGGTGGGGTGCAGTGCTCACAAACATCCGGTTAATAACAAATCAAAACCACACTGAGATACCAATTCATACCTACTAGGATAGCTGGATTTTTTTTTTTTAGTGGAAAATAACAAGTATTGACAAAGATGTGGAAAAATGGGAATCTTCAAGCAATGCTGATGGGAATATAAAATGGCGTAACCACTATGGAAAGCAGTTTGGTGGGTCCTCAAAAGTCTAAACATAGAATTAACATATGACCCAGAAATCCTACCCCTAGGTATATACCGGAAGGAATTGAGAGCAGATACTGGAGCACATGTTTGTATACCACTATTCACTGCAGCATTATTCACCATAACCCAAGTGTCCATCAACATATGAGTGGTTAAGCAAAATATGATAGATACATACAATGGAATATTCTTCAGCATAAAACAGGAATGATGATGCATGCTCCAATATGAATAAGCCTTAAATTATGCTAAGTGAAATAAGCCAGACACAAAAGAACAAATGTGTATGACTCCATTTATAAGACATATCTAGAATAGGCAAATTAGTAGAGACAAAAAATAGATGAAAGGTTTTCAGGAGCAGGAGGAAAAGGAGAATGAGGAGTTATTTAACGTGTACAAAGTTTCTGTTTGGGGTAATGAAAAAGTTTTGGAAATAGATGGTGGTGATGGGCACATAACATTGTAAACATAATGCCACTGGATTGTACATTTAATGACAATGAAAATGTATTAATGGTCAAAATAGTGAATTTTGTGGCATGTAAGTAATGTATAATACATTTTTAATGTATTATATATAGATATATATTTAATACATAAATATATTTAATATATTATGTAAATATATAAATGTAAAGAATATGTATTTAATATAACTTGCGTTATCATTTGTTAGGTAAATATAAAAGTATAAATCACATATATGATATATAAATTTGTGTGTGTGTATATATGTATGTGGACACATACGTATATACACACATATTTACCGCAATGAAAAACTCCCATATTGAAGTTCTAACCCACAGACTTTAGAATGTGACTGTGTTTGGAGATGGGTCTTTAAAAAGGGGATTCAGGTAAAATGAGGTCCTATGGGTGGGCCCTGATCCAACAGGACTGGTATCCCTGTGTCCTGTGATTAGGACACTGACACACACAGAGAGATGTGCACGTGAGGACACACGAAGAAGATGGCTGTCCACAAGCCAAGGAGAAAGTAAGGCCTCAGGAGAAACCAACACTGACCTTAGACTTCTAGCCTCCAGAACTATAAGAAAATTAATTTATATTGTATAAGCCACTCAGTCTGTGGTATTTTGTTATGGCAGCTCTGGCAAACTGGTACAACTACAGCCTGCATTTGTTCTTGTGGGGACTCCTTTGGGTTCAACTTCCAGACCTAGAATCCGACCACTCACCATCTCACTGAGACCTCCTCAGTTCAAATCAACACCATCCATCATTGCCTTCTAAAAGATCTATGCTCCTGACAGTCTGGCAACAGTCTGGCTGCCAACAGACACCAAAGACAGCCCTTGGAACCCACAGGATATCCTGTCAACCACCAAAGACTTTACACTGCCTCCTCCATGGACTAAAGTCTACCCAGCCCTGCAGGGCCTGGCCACCAGGAGCCTCTCAACCTCCATTTCTCTCCTTGCACTGTTGACTCCAGCCACAGTGACCTCCTGAGAGTTTCTGGAAGATGTGAGGCAGACTCTGAGCCTTTCTTCTGCCCAGTGGTTCCCAAAGCTCATCCAGAACCAATGGCATCAACATCCCTGTGTTTACATAGCCCTTCATGGGATACCAATGGTGCTCAAAGTGGAAAATGGCTGTCCCACACATTCTTCTGCCCATGGTCTTATTTTTTGGGATCTCCATAGCTAACTCCACCATCTTCTTCTGGGATTTGACCCAACCTTTTCTTCTGGGAAAGGCATAGCCCTGAATCCTCTTTTAAATGTTGGCATGCTCTTGCCCCCCAACTCTTTACTTTCTGTCACCCCTACAAGGGAAATTTTTGTGCTATGCATATTTTACCACACTTTTTTAAAAATTATGTATTATACCAATATCCATTGAATTATGCACCTTAAATGAGTGGACTGCATGGTATGTGAATTATATCTCAGTAAAGCTGTTAAAAATAGATTATGAAACAAAAATATCAAGAAGCAGTGCTGGAGAAAAAAGACAGTCACTGAAATTAACCCAAGAATCAGGATAATTCTAAACAGGACACTGTCAAATAAAGAATTAGTGAACTGAAAAGTTGCACTAAGGTATTCACCCAACATAAAACAATAAAGATAATTTTAGTGTGAAAAAGAGGAGTTCCAAACACAGATAATTAATGGTGAAGGGAAAAATGTTCAAAGAAATAGTGGTTTACAATGTCTCCCTGATTGAAGAAAGATATTGGTCTTCAGATAAGTAAATACCAAGCAGAATAAATAAAAACAAATTCATTCACTATATACATTGTAGCTAATCTACAAACCATCAAGGAAAAAGAGGAAATCTTAAAAGCTATCAGAAAACAAAAACTGATTACTGAAAAAGAAATGACAATTAGATTAAGAGCAGACTTCTCATTAGCAACAAGAGATACCAGAGGGCATTACAGTAATAGAAACAAGTCCAAACATATCAATAATAAATGACACAAATAGTAGGAAAACATTTTCGTCGATTGGTCCAAAAGCACACAAGACCATACCATATATTATTCACATGTATATAATAAAGTATGAAACCATGGACTTGAAGGATACATGCCAAATTCAATGTTTGCCTGCCTCTGGGGAGGAAGAAAGGAAGGTGAAGGGGTGGGGGTGGTAAGGACAGAATAATAATAAAGATTAGCAAATATTAAAACTTCATTCTGGTGTTGGACACGTTGTTTTATTCATCCCCACTTTCTATTTTTTTTTAAATAAAAGAAATGGCAGAGACTTGAGCAGGTTGTTCACTTGTTGGTGAGAAGGAACCAGTAGAGGGAGAGGAGAATGTGAGGGTGTGCAGAAAGAGGGAGATGGGCAGTGGGGAACAAATGAATGAGGCCCTGAAAAGCAAGAGGCTGAGTTGCACTCATTTGATGGGTTGGATGTGTCTTCCACTGGAGGAGGATGGGTGCAGACACATGGGTAAGCGTGCAGATTTGCTGGTCATTGGTGTGGTCCTGTTGGATTCCACCATGGACTGTGCAGCAGAGCCCATTTTCAACCTGACCTTGTGCTGTCGGCAAAGCAGAAGATGAAGCCCCACCCGCATGCTCCTAATGGCCACTCTGCTTATGTTTATGGAGAGGTCCTGGACATACTGGTGTAGCCTAGATTTCATAGAATCATAGAATTAGATTGGGAAAAAATGATTCACCCTCACTTTTACATTATGAGAAAACAGAAGTTCTGCAAAGGAAAGGAATTGCTCCAAAAGCACACTGCTGACTAGTGGCCAGGACTTCTGAAGAAGTAATCTGCTACAGTGTCCCAGAACTTTCACTTCAGCAAAGTGTGGCTCACCTATTTTGAGTCATGGCTTGACTTATAATTTTGTGAAAATGCCAGCCCTGCCTCTCTCAAGGATTATTGTCATAATAGTATAAGACAGTGCAGATGAAAGCACTTAGGAACTGTAAATCTCTGTGACAAAGCCAGTGTTTGGGTCTGGCTGGCCACACCAAGAAACTGTCTCATTACCTTGTCTCTGGCCTAACATGCCCTTCCCCAGCTTGATCACACATCTTATTCACCAGATTTGGTTCCAAATAGGCTTTGACTGTTTCCAAGTTCTTCCCTTTTGAGAATATGTAAAAGGATATTTTACCTGCCCTGAGTATGCTTGCTGAGAAAACAAAACACTTCACTTGAAAGCAAAATTTGCAACTGATTTGTTTATAATAGGCACAGAGTTACTATGTCTGTCCAATGAATAAAAAGTAACTCATAACTGACAGGAAGGCTGAGCTTGCTTCCTATGTTCTCTGGATCACAGCTGTGTACTCCTGCGGAGATGGTTTAAGTTTATTAATTAACAGCCGCCCTCTTTTTTCCTCCTACATCCAGGGTGGCAGGTTTCTAAGAGCCTTTGAGAGATTTATTTTTATCCTTCGAACGGATAAAATACATTAATGAAACCATTGGAGACTTTAGGGACTGGGTTCCACCCACAGAAGCCAAGTGTGAGTGACCGTTGATTATTAAGTGTCCTCTTAGCAAAGGAATATCATCAGACTGGCCTGATGAGCATTTAAGTGTGCAGAAAGTCAGGGGAGGATCACATATGCATTACGTATAAAGAGACACCCCAGCTTTCTTACACAGAAAAATAAAATCACTTTGCAAAATATATAGACCTCCCCCTCCCCCACTCCACTACCAGCTGGTCCAGTCCTTGAACATAGAGCCCCATGTTATGATGGCTCCAACAATTTGGGTCAGCACGATGTTTAAACTCTTAAGTGGAATCACTAATCTCCATTAATCTGACTGTAAAGATGAAACATAATGCTTAATACAAAAGCATAAGAGTTAGTAATGCATGTTCCTGACAGGCTGCCTTAATACACACCAACTCCTGTCCAAAGGGCAGGGTCTTTGGGATTGCATATGACCATTCAAAATCTATTCCTGAACCTTCCTGGAAATTTCTTCATGTGCAGGGACAAGGACCCAAGGGGAGCATCCACCATGATGCTCACAAAGACATTCCTCCCATGGGACTTCTGGCCTCCACTCCTCACGAGTGATTAGGTACTTAGTTTGGGGCTTGGCAGAGCTGTGACTTTGTCACTGGCACCCATGGCCATAGGCTGAGTGGACCAGTGGGCATGGTAAGCACCTCACACCTATGTGGCACTCACCCCAAAGGGAGAGCACCTGGCTGACCCATGAGGGAAACATCGGGGAGCCCTCTTCCTGGCTGGGGACACTTTGGGACTTTGAAAAGTAATTGAGTAGCTCCCTATCTCTGTGAACCCAGCTACAGAATAAGCACCGCTCATTTTCCTAATCTCACCTCTTCCCTTCCCTACTTCTCCTTCCTCTGGGCCAGTGTTTCTCAAACCATGGTCTCTGGAACCACTTGCAGGAGAGGAGAACCACTGAACACATCCACATTCCTGGGCCGCTCACCCTGACCTACTGACTCAGAATCTCTCAGGAGGAGATTGGGGAAAACCCTCTTTCACAGGCTTTAGCAGTGAGCATTCAGCACAGAATGTTACAATCACAATCTAAATTTTGCAAAGCTGTTATAGGAACTCAGGTGAAAAATGGTCATACCTAGATAACCCCGCCCCAGCACAGTGGTTTTGGACTAGAAATTCCCATAGTCTGGTTCCCAAGCAAGTTCTTAAAGTAAAAGTTACATGTGTCAAGTGAAATATGGATGCAGACTCAGGGGATGCAGACGTCAGAAGAGGTTGTGACATCTTTTTTTGGTAGCCACTGTGTTCATAGTCTCCCTCTTGTCTTACCATGATGATAATAGCTAAAACTTACTGAGTGCTTAGAGTGTGCAGTGCCATTCTAAGGGCTTCATGTGTATTAGCTCACTGAATTCTCATAAGAGTTCTATGAATAGGACTTTAACTATTAGTCCTTGTGGGGGGAAAGAAGAGCATTTAATCAGGCTATGGAGGATTGGTGGGAATATTTCAAATTCCTCACCTATTAATTCAACTGCCATCAGGAAGGATCCCCATTGCCTTTTCATGTCTATAATCTCCACTGCTAATTTCCCAAAAATAAGAGAGAACAATATTTGGACTAGAGCTGGTTGCTACTGGCTCTATTGAGGACTCTCATTCTACCCCCAAAGAATGACTTCTTTCATAGAATTTCAAGAGGCTGGCTGTCCACTCTATGAGCAGGTAAAGCTGCCTCTGCTCCAGGTTTTCTGATGAACCTAAGCTATATCAGGAGCCAGAAAAATCGAGGCTCAATCTATGAACATTGCAACCCATATTACCTGGTCTCTGTTCCTGCAGAATTCATACTTTATGGTGGCCACTGTCTTTAACTGCCTGGGACTTTTCCCCAACTCCAGATGCCAGCCTACCCTTCTGATAATAGACTCTAGCCTCAGAAGCTTTGGGATTGACTAGTGATGGCTCTATCCCCTTGGCCACAGTGGGAATAGCAGACACAGTGACCAGCAATGAGACTGTGGCCCAAATAAGAGTCAATCAGAATTCCTCCTGAAGGTTTTCCTGGCAAGAAAGACTAAAAAATTGTGAATCTGGGGCTCTGTATGCACACTTTTTCTTTTTCTACCTCATGGAGAAATCTCTCTGCATTAAAGAGTGAAGGCAAGCAAGAATGAGAGAGTCAGAGACAGAGGATAAAAGGCAGAGAGAAATTGGCTGCCATCTTTGGAGCACCTGTAGCCAACTCCAGCCCTGCCCTTCCTATAGTTAGGCTACAGGGACTAATAAACTCCCCTTTAATATTTAAACTAGTTCAACACGAGTTTCTTACCACCCCACAACTTCCAGCTCATTAGATACATCTTATCTCTCCACTTAATTTGGTGTCCCGTGAACACAAGCATGAAAATAACTTGGATTTGTACTGGCATTGGGTGTTTAATCATTCATTCATGTATGTGGCCATCCTGTTCTCTTTCTACTATGTGACAAGCACTTTGTCAAGGCACTGAGGGTACAGGGGTAAACAAAGTGGTCAGTTTTTTACCTCATGGAGCTTACAGTCCAAATAATTCCACAACTAAATATTTGAAATATAGTTTCAACAAATGCTACAGAATACAGTGATGAGAGGAATCCATGTTACTGGAGAATGCGAGTGAAAGAAAGAAGTCTCCTCTTAGCATTTGGTATCTCTCCTGAAGTCCGAAAGATTAGTCATCCAGGCAACGACGGGATGAATGAGCCTCCCACAGAGGAAGTGTCTGTGTGAAGGCTCCGGGTCTTAAAAGCAGCATAGAAGGAACAGAAGAGGGTGGTGTGGCTGGAATGGACTGGGGTGAAATTGAGACTGAAGGGGAAGGTAGGGACAAGACTGTCATGGCCTGATGAGCCATGTACCCAGTCTGAGACAGCCAATAGACAGCCATAATTAAGAGAGGGATGCAAGTGGCTTTACATTTTAAAAGAATAGCTCTGGCTGCTGTGTGGGGTGGGGATGGTACACAAACTAGAGGAGACAATGGTGGGTGTGGCAGAAGAGTAAGAAGGTAACTGTCTTCATTCAGGCAAGAGATGAAATGGCTTGGACTAGGCTGCTCAGTGGAGGGAATAGATTTGAGAGTTACTTAAAAGACAGAATAGAATGTGTTATTGATTCACTACAATGGGTTGGGGGATGATTCCAGTTTCCAGCATAAGCACCTGAGTAGTTTGTGATGCCATGACTGACCTGAGAATGCTAGAGAAGGACTAGGTTTGCAGGGGGAGATTCTATGTTCAATATGGGAAAGTTTCATTTTAAGATGGCTGGGAGATATCGAATGGAAACAGCAAGTAGATAAATGCATTACTTCACTTGAAACAACAGATTGATGTGTCCTTTTTTCTATACCTATTTTACAGGTGAGGAAGATGGGTACAATAATTTAATGGGACTAATAGGAGTAGCACTAAATTTCCTACATCCTGGTACAAGTGTTTTCAGTGAACCATGCTGAATCCTACTACATTTGACTGATTAAACAAACCAGCCAAAAACAATGTTATATAATAGAAGACTTTGCTATAAGAGGCATAATGTCAATTCAAAGTTGTGTTCTGTGAAATCAATGTTACATTGTCTAACATTTGGTATCAGTTTAGTAACTTAACAAGACATAGAAATCCATCCTTATACTTCATACAACTGACAGTCAACCTTCCATTGAGAAAATAGTCCAATTCTACTGTGGTTTAAGTTTCATCTGTGCTCAGCATTTGTACCAAACATTGAAACAATTATTGGTAAAAACTGTCAAAATACATTCATTCTAATTTTGAAGAGGAAACTATTTCTCACATTGGTTGCTTTACCAACAATACCTACCAGCTATATATCCAGATGAAAGAGACAAGTGGAGTTTTGTTTAAAAAAAAAATCAATAGATTGGCTCTGATGGAAGTCATTAACGCAAACTGTTTAGCAAGAGAGGCTGATTTTTCATTCCTGGTTGGCATTCCATAAAGAAAAAAAAAGTTGCACTGAGTTTCTGAACAAACTCATGATTAAGAATCATATCCATCTTGTCTGTAGACTGTGCCCTGCTCCACTGATTCAAAAGAAAGGATGTGTTTGGTTTTAAGGGGAAGCAACCTGGCCATGCAGAGGAGAGCCTGCCTGGGCGGGACCCAGATGTAGTGGGAACCACTGAATTCTTGAGCAGTAGTATGAGATAATTAAAGTGATATTTGCAAAAATACTCAGCCAGATACTGCATTTGGTTTTCTGACACAGCCCTAAAGTCAAATTGCTAGCTGGAGGAAGAGTACCTTGGGGATAGTGACACTTGCTATACATCTTCATGGCATCCCTCCCCACCACAACCTGTAATTCGGTGGCTTGTGCACAGGAAAGGCTTGATAGAAGCATGTGGGATGTGGGCAGTAAGGGCTGGAGGCTGAGAAGGGTATTGTGGAAGACACCGACTTCTTTGCCCTGATCTACCATTATAAAACACAGTAGGGTTTTTCCAGATCCATGAAGACAGCTTTTATAGATTTTACTTTATGCAGGGGAGGTCACCTTGATTTCATTTGTAAATGGAACTTGTCAACTGAAAATCCCAACTGGTACTTGTGGGGAGGAAACAGGTTTGAATTTCTGAGTTGGTCTCAGATAATGAGGCTGGGGTTTCCCACCACACAGAAACAGATGTTTCCCAGGACTCTGTGCTTAACCTGGCTTTGGTTTTATTAGCACAGTCTTGCCATGCTTGGGACTGAGCAGGCTTTCAAGCCTGTACCACTTCTGAAGGAAGTCAGTGGGGTGTTCCCTGGCTCTACCTGGAAAAGTCACATCACACTGGTACAGGGGTACCATGAAAAGAGTTCGTGGACCAGGACTCAGGGTATCCAGTGTCCAGTGCTAACTCTGCCACTCCCTCAGTATTTGACCTTGGACAAGTTGCTTCACCTCTCTGTGCCTCAGTTTCCTCATCTGGAAGGAGTGGGGACTGGCCTAGAAAATCTCCAAGGTCCATTCCAGAAGCTTAACAGTGCAGATCACTTACCAATTAAAAAGCAGTCCCCCCACTCACTTTCCAATAGGGGTTCTACATTAAATGTCACAGAGACAAGTTAGAGAAAGATGCCTCTCCAGAAATTAAAATGCACCTTAGAAAGGTGGGGAGAGGTGGGGCTGCTTGCAAGAGACCTCTGGGCCATAGTCAACCATCTTCACCTGCATTTAACTCAAGTCTGAAAGGATGTGAGGCAGGTTCTGAGGAAGCAGCTGGTCACAGCTCACCAAGCCATGTGACTCCCTCATGGGTCTTCTCAAGGTTGAGTTAAGGATTCTCCAGGTAGGGAATTCTCCTGAGAGCCTCTGCTTAAGTTTAAAAGTTTCCCCTGTGGAAGCCATGCTCCAGGAAACAGACAGTCAGAAGGGGAGTCCAGCTGACTATGAAGGGACTTTGTTCTGTCCAGCCTCCATGTTCCCCTGAATCCCATCCCCACGTGGACACTCCCCCAAGAACAGGAGTCCCCAAAGGACAGAGGCTCCTTTTGTTTAAAAAAAAAAAAAAAAAAAAAAAGAAGTCCTGTTCTCTGGGCCATTAATCATGGCTGTAAGAGCGTTTATTAATGCCCTGTCAATTGTTCAGAGTGAAGGCAGCCTGTTAGCTGTCCTCCCTCCCTGTTAGCTGTGTACAAACACTGGTGATTAAGCACCAGATTTAACATCCTCATGAATATTTAAGAGCCTGTTTTTGAAAGTTTCCTGTCCTTTTACACTAATAGCCCCATTAAAACCTGTTTACAAGCCAGTCAAGAGAGTAACTGCATGCACTTAAAACACGAGAGTGCTCCCCCAAGAGGGGCACCAGGACCACGTGAGGATCAATACCCTGCTTAAAGTAAGACTGTCTGCCCACCCCCAGTGGAGCCCAGCCCCGCTGGAACCGCCAGAAGGAGCTGGAAAGGACCCAACTTGTTAATTAGGCTCATGAGGGGGGTTGTAGGGGAGCAAACCCTTGCTACTGGGCTCCCTGCTGCCCCATGTAGGGTGACCCCAGCTCAGAGACTTCATAGAAGTTACCCAAATGATATCAACAGCATACAGCCCGGGGCCAGCACAGGAAAGAAAGTTTGTCTTTGTGCTTCTCATCTCCTGGCAATTGCTCCCCTTAGAGCACCTTAACCCTGGACCTGGCTTCTGTGCCACAGCTCATCACATGAGTCTCCTCAAGGAGTTAATAAGGGCTTAAGGAAGTGTAATGAGGCCTCCCTCACTAGACCTGAGAATTCCCAAAAGCTCGAAGGCTCCAAAGAAACGAGAGGTGAATTTGTGAGGGAGATATTGGAACTACAGTGGGGAGTCCTTTTTCTGCATGGAAGAGGCTGATTCCTCCATCAGCACTGAGGCTGCTTTCCTGCAGCTGGAGAAGACAACAGAAGCATGGAAAACCACTGCTTTGAAATCAGTTGGACAATGCCCTAACGTCTCTTTCTCAGTTATATGCAAAGGAATGACCGGGCTGGTGAAACAAGGGTAGGGGGCTGTATTAGTCCGTTCTCACACTGCTATAAAGAAATACCTGAGACTGGGTAATTTATAAAGAAAACAGGTTTAATTGGCTCACAGTTCTGCAGGCTGTACAGTTCTGCAAGGCTGTACAGTTCTGCAAGGCTGCATGGCTTGGGGAGGCGGCCTCAGGAAACTTTCAATCATGGTGGGAGGTGAAAGGGAAGCAGGCAAGTCTAACATGGCTGGAGCAGGAGGAAGAGAGAGAAAGGGGAGGTGCTACGCACTTTCAAACAACCAGATCTATGAGAAGTCACTCACTATCACAAGAACAGCAAGGCGGAAATCCACCCCACATGATCTAATCAACTCCCACAAGTCCCCTCCTCCAACACTGGGGATTACAATTCAATATGGGCAGGGACACAAATCCAAATCATACCAAGAACCTTTCTGGTGGTCCCAATGTCACAGAGAAGGGCAGAGCCAGGTTGCCAGGTGCAATCTACTTCCTTTCTCAGCCCCAGCAAGCAGCACTCCCAGGATGGGCAGATGTGTGGAGGGACCTCCCTGCCTCCAGCAGGGGAAAACTCTCAATCACTGGATCTCCCTTCCCCATCCATTGCCTGTGTCTGTGTTTAAGGAGACGAAGCACCACCATTTTTAGAGCAAGGAGGCATGCCCCAAACTTGACCATTTAAGTCTTACTGTATTTTGCAAAGTTCACCATATGGACCACTTCATGTTCCAGTAGTGTTACTGGGTTCCTCAAAATACAGTCCAGGACTGCTCTACTTTTTACATGACATATTTCCTGGCCCAGAGATGAATTTTCCTCTTATAATGGAATTCATGCATGGTGATATAGTATATAATTATATATAACAACATTACTGTAGCAATACTCACTGATCTGAAACACAGTAATCTAGTAATATCACCTCTCCAGAAATTCTACAAAAACCAGAAGTTATTGCAAAAGGTATCTGAGCATCCAAAATAAATATCGCAAGATCCATGCACTAAAATTTACATGTTTTTCTCAATAGGCCTGTATTGCAACAGATTACTGACATTTTTAAATGATTCTAATAAGTCTAGTTCTCTAGTCAATTAGAAAGAGGAGGGAAAAGATAGAGGCAGACACACTGACAGTAAAAAGAAGTCAGAGCTTCTGGAAAGTGAGCAAGAAAAAAAACTCTAAAAAGCAAAACTCTAAAAAGCAAGTCCAAAGGCCCCAACAGCCTAGCAGTTTGAGGTCATGTATTCCAAGGGAAAATAGATTTGCACACTTCAACATGTCCTGGGTTCTTCATAAAAAAGTAATAAGCCATAATGTCTCACGTGTAATGAGGTAGGAAAGAATGCAACACAACTCTTTTCAAAGTTCATCAATAAAAGTTAAAACCATCATAGCTTCGGAGCTTACAGAGCTAAGACTTCCACTACACAGAAAGTTTATCTCCAGAATAACTCATTTATCTTTTGCCCCTCTTTTCCACTATATTCATATTTTATGTTTCCACCAAAGAGTATGCAGAAGAATCAGGACAAGTTTATAAACTAGGAAGGCGGGTTGCTACACCGAGAAGCTGGCTTCATTCCTTTATAGCCAATGTTGTCTTGGGGCTGACTCGCATAAGCTCAGGAGAGCTGAGTATTCACGTATTAGTCCGTTTTCACACTGCTATAAAGAACTGTTCAAGACTGGGTAATTTTTAAAGAAAAGAGGTTTAATTGACTCACAGTTCTGCATGGTTGGGGAGGCCTCAGGAAACTTACAATCACGGCACAAGGCAAAGGAGAAGCAAGTACCTTCCTCACAAGGCAGCAGGAAAGAGCGAGAACAGGGGAAACCACCACTTATAAAGCCAACAGATCTCGTGAGAACTCATTCACAATCATGAGAACATCGTGGGGGAATCCCCCCCTCCCCGATCCAATCACCTCCCACCAGATACCTCCCCAACACGTGGAGATTATAATTCAGATTACAATTTGAGATGAGATTTGGTTTGGACACAGCCAAACCGTATCAGTTCAATTTTCAGGAATTTCATGAGTGATTGTTAAACATTGCCCTTATTAGACATTAAATTATGTAAGCTTACAAATAAGTTACACTAAAACCAAAAGTAATAAACACTCAAAACTCATCACTTCCTAATCCTTTTAGCAGACCTTGCGGTTGTCCGTGCCCTTGCAGTTACTTATGCCAATTGCATCTGTTTGGTGGAAATGCCTCTGATTGGTGGCCCTCTGCTGCCCTGCTCCCACTACTTCACGTTCAGTGACAGCACTTTGGCAGCTTGAAATTGGCCATATGCTACAAATAAGGCTTGTTTATCCACACCCCACCCCACCCCAGGTGATTGTTAAAGATTTGCCAGCGCACCACTGTTTGTAGTTTTTTCTCAACAACACCTCAGGTTGTTAAGACTTAAAGTGTGGATTCCTGGGTGCGCAGGTGAAAGTTGCTGTGTGCAGAAAAGTGGAAAGGGCAAGGAGAGGTAGGAGATGAACAGGACTTGTTTTCATGACACTGCTGATCAAAACAGGATGTAGCAAAGGAACCAGCCAAAAGCAGTTAGGACTAGGAATTATAATACATTTGCATGCTGTAAAACACTTCCCACCAGCACCATGACAGTTGATGTCATGGCAAAACCCAGAAGTTACCTTACATGGTTTAAAGAGGAAGGAACCATCAGTTCTGGAAATTCCCCACACCTTTTCTAGAAAATCTGTGAATAACCCACCGCTTATTTAGCATATAATTAGGAGCAGCTATAAATAGAGCTAGCCAGCAATGCACAAGTGCTACTCTGCCTATGGGATGGCCCTGCTCTGTCTGTGGAGCAGCCATTTTGCTGTACACTATTGCTCTAAAAACTTGCTTTCTTTAACTGTCAGCTCACTCTTGAATTCCTTCCTGAGCAAAGCTAAGAACCCTCTTGAGCTGAGCCCCAATGTGGGGGTTCACCTGCATCAAAGAGACTGGTTTTCAGAAAGCCTGGGTGCCCATCCTGCTCTCCTTCCAGCTGTGTGACCTCAGGCAACTGTCTTCCTCTCTCTGGGCCTCCATTTTCTCATCTATAAAATGGGAGGACTAGACTAAATGGTCTGTAAGGCCCATTCTGGTTATAACACTATCTGATTCTATGATTCCTCTTTTACTTTCTAGTCAGGCATGGTGGTACTACATTTTGGCCCATGGCAGACTGGAGGAAAGGAGTTCAGATATCCAGCACTTTCTCTTCTTTTTTAAATACTTCCCAAAATAATGTAATAGCAACTGTGGTAAAGCAGTCAAAAGGGACCCAAAACAGGTTGAATCAGAGAATAGAACATGAGATGCCCATTCGCTTTCATTCTTTCTTCTGCCTGCAACTTGCCAGTAGCACCAGTAAGCCATTTCTGAAATTCATTATGTAAATAACAAAAGCCTCAAGAAATCTTTTTATTAGTGCTCCATATTATGATCCAGAGACTTAGAGGGTGGTGCCCTGGAAAATAAAATTGACCTGAAGTTACAAGGCCTGGATTTGGGTCCTGGATGTCCTAATTCACTTTTACTCCTTATGTGAGCTTGAGCAAGTTACTTAACATCTCCAAGACCCAGTTTCCAGTTAAATGTGAATAATTTCTAGTAGAATGGACTAGTGCAGGCTTTGTGGAGAGCCACTGGGTGGCACTTATTCAAATTAAGTGTGCATTTTATGACCCAGCCACCATGCTTTTTAGTCGGCATCCCAGAGAAATTCCCACCCAGGTCCATCAGCAGTCACATTTCACCAGCGGTTCTTGTTTGAAACTATTTGTGTGCAGAGTTGGAGGCCATCATGGTTTCCACTAGGGGGCAAAGATGAGTAAAACATGATCGACAAACACCGTGGAGTATTATGCAGCATTTAAAGGCAATGGAGTAGATACACATAGCAACATGGATCACTTCTAAAAACAGAGCAGAATGAAAAAAGTACAAAACAGAATGAGATTCACAGAATATTACAATTTATGCAAACGAAACTGCATACACACTAAACAAAATATTCACTTTATAAATACGCATACAAATAAGATAAACATTGGACATATTTAGAATGATTGCCTATGTGGAGGAAAAAGTGTGAGTGGGAGATGGCAATAAAAGAGAATGGATCGATTAGTTAATTATTAAAACAAGAGAGGAGCCAAGCAAAAACAATAGATGCCAGTATTCCACGCACTAAGTAGTAGGATTTGCTCATCCTTCTAATCCTAAGTCCAATAAAAATTAATGAAAAGTGGCCAGGAGCAGTGGCTCATGCCTGTAACCCCAGCACTTTGGGAGGCCGAGGCACGTGGATCACCTGAGGTCAGGAGTTCTAGACCAGCCTGGCCAACATGGTGAAACCCTGTCTCTACTAAAAAATTACAAAAACTAGCCAGGCATGGTGGCACTTGCCTGTAATCCCAGCTACTTGGAGGCTGAGGCAGGAGAATCACTTGAACCTGGGAGGTGGAGGTTGCAGTGAGCCCAGATCGCACCACTGCACTCTAGCCTGGGTGACAGAACGAGACTGTGTCTCAAAAAAAAAAAAATTAATGAAAAGTACAATCGTACCTTACCTACCCCACACAGTTATGGTGAGGGTCAAATGGATAATGTATGTGAAAATTATCTGTGCACCATAAAATGTTATTCAGATATGTTATTATCTTTATGTTTACAGCACAGCTGGGAAAAGGTCAAGAGAGACTGCAGAGAATATTTAAGAAATGTGGCAAGATGCCTTGTCTTTTTGTCTTGATAAGTTTAACAGGGAAGTTTAAATGTCCCTTAATCAGATATGCCTCTGTAAAATAGAAATCTTTAAATAAAAATTATGGCCATCCTCGATTCTTCTTCTGAGTAACATATTTGTGGTAGATGCTGTCAGTTGCCTAGCCACAGCCATTCTCCCTGCTTGCCAGGAGTACAGCACCCCACAGTTGTTCAGGTGGCAACATGTCTCTATCCTCAGAGGATCAAATGTGATTGGTCCAAGACAGGCATGGTAACACCATTTCTAATGGCCAGTGGTTGTTTTAGATGGGAGCATGTGACCCAGTTCTGGTAAGAGATGTAAGGGGAAGTTTGCTTGGAGGAGCCTCTCCTGGAAGAATGGTTTTTTTCCTGTTAAAAAAAGGAGACAGAGATAAGAATGAAGGCTTCCATTTCTTCCTACCTTAATCCATAGTATGTAAGGATTTTCTATTTAGAACTGAGGCAGCTACTTGTGACCATGAGGCAGTAAGTTTAAGAATTAAAAGACAACAAGCTAGGGTCACATAGAAAGAGCCTGGTTCCTGGATGGCACCACTGAGCCCCAACACCAAAGCTAAAACAGTCCAGCTCTTGGTTATGTGAGCTCGTTAAATGTCTTTATTACTCTAGACATTGTTACTTGCAGCCGCACACATCTTAGCAGATATGACATGTAACCCGGCATTCCCTTGAAAGATCTCTTTTCTTGTGTATATCCTGCAGGAAAGATCATCCCCTTACTAGTTTGTGATTTCCCCAAACGTATCTGAAAGACTGTCAAGGAGCAGAAAACTGTGTTTAAAGTAGGTGGGACCTGTCCATATTTTGAGTGAGCCAAGGAAACCGGCATAGGTGAAGTAATCCAGGCATCTGTTTAGGATATCAAGGATTCTGAAAAGGTACCACACACCAAATTTCACCTCTGAAGCCAGTGGTAGTGAGAAGTTTCTGGTAAGGAGTGGTCAAAACCAAATGTGTGGGCTGGAGAGAAGACTTGACATAAAATACCAGAATGGCTATGTGTGGCTTGTGTGTGTGTTGTCCCACTGGACCAAGGGTAAAATTAAGGGGGTCAATTTTAGCTTGATACCTCTAATTAGAGTTGCCCTACCCTCAGGACAGTTTACATTGTACTGCTATGAGCTTCTAGGCCCTGGATGTGTCCAAATCAAAGCATACCTCCATTGAGTAGCAAGTCTCTAAAGTCCCATCTAAGCTCCAAATTCTAAAATTACGTATTCCTCTGGATGAAATGCAAATTATCTTCAGGGTCATAATTTAGTGAATACAGGGGAGAGCAGAGGCCTTTGATGGAAATAACCATGCAGAGTGGAGAATCTGAGGTCACCAAAGATTCTCATCCAACTCCATCTTTGGAGAATAAAGGGATATGGTCATTTTCTCAAAGAATTGAAAGTAGATTGCCATATGATCCAGTAATTCCACTTCTGGGTATACGCTCAAAAGAATTGAAAGCAGGGTCTCAAAAAGATATTTGTACACCCATGTTTATAACAGTATTATTCACAATAGCCAAAAGAGGGAGGCAATCCAAGTGTTCATCAATGGATAAATGGATAAGCAAAAAGTGGTATATACACACAATAGAATATTACTCAGCCTTAAAAAGGAAGGAAGTTCTGACACATGCTACAACATGTGTGAACCTTAAAGATATTGTGCTAAGTGAAGCAAACCATTGATTCCATCCATATGAGGAATCTAGAGGAGTCAAACTCAGAGATAGAAGTAGAATGGTGTTGCCAGGGGCTTGGGGAGAGAGAAATGGGAAGTTGTAGTTGAATAGATATAAAGTTTCCATTTTGCAAGATGAAAAGGGTTCTGGGCCAGCACAGTGGCTCATGCCTGTAATCCCAGCACTTTGGGAGGTCGAGGCGGGTGGATCATCTGAGGTCAGGAGTTTGGGAGTAGCCTGGTCAACATGGCAAAACCCCATCTCTACTAAAAGCACAAAAATTAGCCAGGCATGGTGGCATGTGCCTGTAGTCCCAGCTACTCGAGAGGCTGAGGCAGAAGAATTCATTAAACCCAGAAAGCGGAGGTTGCAGTGAGCCAAGATAGCACCATTGCACTCCAGCCTGGGCAACAGAGCAAGACTTCATCTCTTAAAAAAAAAAAAAAGGAGAAAAAGAAAAGAGTCCTGGAGATTGGTTGCACAACAACATGGAGTTACTTAAAGCTACTGAAATGTACACTTCAAAGGGTTAAAATGATGGATTTTATGTTACATGTATTTACCACAACATTTTTTAAAGGAATATGGTTGTAAAGTATTTTCTAGCACTCAGATCCAACAGATCTTTTGGCCACAGTCCTGGGGGCAAGGACTCCCACCCCTACCCTAGAGAAAAGGCAAGCCTGTTCTCAGTGACACAAAGGAGGGAGAGGAAGCAGGTGCAGCCACTGCTTGGAATCTCTGCCCAACAGCTGGCATTGCTTTAGAGACGTCATCATGCCCTCCCACAAATGACTGCTCTGACTCCAGCTGTAGTCATTTCTCCATCTAAATAAAGAACCCTAAAAAGTGGCACTAAATTAAGAGATGCCTTTGACGTCATCCATTCTGACCCGTCTGTTCTGAGACCTGGAAGGGAAAGTGATTTTGCCTAGATCACACTCTGCATTAGTGACAGCCAAGACTAGGGCCATGAGAGCCTCAAGAACCAGCCCCTCTACTCACAGGTAGCTTGGTGGAAGTATTATTTAGCATTGCTAAAGAACTGCATATTTGTAAAGTGCTTTATGCTCATCTATTATTAATGCACTAATGAGAATACTTAGATTGTGCCTTTTCTCCTAGGAGCTCAGAGCACTTTGTAAATGTTAACTCATTCACCCCCTACGTCCCAATGGGAGACAGAAATCCTCAGCCCTTGGCTCTGCACTTGGTAAAGAGTAGGCCCAGCAAAGGCAACAGGCGGGATGGGAGGCAGGCTCAGAACCGGAAACTTCCAAGTTCCTGTTCCCTCACTGTCTCCTGTCTAACTACACAATGTCCCTGGGACTGATATACAAGCCCTAGGAACCAATGAGATATTTCTGTGAAGCTAATGGCATGTATGGCACCAGAGGAAAGGGGCTTAAGTTCTAGGGAGGGGGAGAAGAAAGGGAGTAAAGTTAGAAGGAATAGCAATATCATAACAGCCAACATTTACTGAACGTTCATGATGCAGCAGACCCACAACTTCTGCATCATCTTATTGAATCCTCATCCATCCCCATGACTGAATAGTGATCATCTCCCTTTTTCATATAAGAAAACTGAGGCTTGGGAACGTTAAGAAACTTTCCCAAGGCCACACCTAGACAATATCAGCACCATGCCCAGAACACAGATGTAACTCCAGAGCCTGTGCTCTAAAGCCACATGGGGAACTGCTTCTCCCCAGAGTTAAGGGATAATCATAGCAGAAACCACCATTAAATTATGTTAGAAAATCCCATTCTTGGAAAAAGTTACTCACTGAAGTCAGTAAGGAGGCAAAAGGATAAAGGAATCCTCCCCGCAAGAGGACTTTCCCACCCTTTCCTCTGGCATCCCATCATCTGTGACTTCCTTCTAACACATCATTGGTCATGTCATAACATACCATACACTCATCAGATGCCTCTGCTCCACCAGACACAAGCTCCAGGTCTTCATCATTTTGCATCCCTAGTGCTGACATCACACTTGCTACTTAGCAGGTGCCCAGTATGTATATGTGGGAAAGGATGGGAACAAGGCAAGGTTTTGAGACAGACATTAATACATGTATGGCCCAAATGTCAACAATTTTATAATTCTACATTTAAAGCAGTTGACATAGGTCATAAATTTTGTTTTTAAATTTTGCTCTGTACCCCTCATTCCCCACAAATAGGGAACAATCAATCAAGAAGTGATAATTGAGTATCTGCAGCATTACAGTGCTGTGGGGTGTACTGAAGATACCCATGAGGTGATCTTTACCCTCCCAGAGTTTACGTTCCAGTTAGGGGCATGATGGTAACACACACAGGCAATTAATGAATGACACAGGATAAATTTGCAAGCTAATCAGGGGTTTAGACTGGGAATTCTGGGGAGTTTGGGACTAGGGAAGGCTTAATGGAGAAAGTGACATCTGAGCAAGCATAGCTGGGCACAAAAGAAGACATTCCTGCCAAGAGTGTACATGGAGCCAGTAAGAGCTAAGAGCATAGTGTGTGGGCAGGACAGGAAGAGGACCAGCCTGTCAGGAGAAGTGGGCACATTACACAGGTAATTCTTTACCAGTCACAGAAATTCCCTCGGCTCCTTGAAAATCAGCCATTGGCATGGGATGTGCAACAAGCTACTCAACATTAACCCCAGTTCTAAGGAAACATTTTTTTACGTCTTTGTTCGTTAATAAAAGAGAAGGGTTGTTCAAACCAGCGTGTGCTCCTCTAATGAATACTGACTCACCAAGGTTCACAACCAGAGTTGGAAAAGCTGGGAGTCAATAAAGAAGCAATACATTCTAACAATATTAAAACTTCCTGGTACTGCAGTAATTAGAATTTCAAACACTAATAAAAGACTGTACAGTTAATTAGCAGCAGTCGTAAAAGTCTAAGAACAAATATACTATGTATTAAATACAACAACTAATGTAATTGCTACACACCGATTGAAAAATTAAAGAGGGAGAGGTTAGGGAAAGTGCTTGCCACAAGAGCAGCAACACTGTTTCTCTTGGTCTTTGTGGCCACAATTCCTTATTATAGTCATATTAGTATTACAGTCTTTACTATTAATATCAGAATGTTTTATTTCTCATTAATAGATTCCACTTCCTTAAGAAGCCAGGAAATTTGGCATACCCTAACTAAGCTACAATCTGAACTACACATTATTTTCTCATTCTGGGGACAAAACTCATACATAAAGACACATAGACACATGTGTGTACACACACACACACGTTTACTGAACGTTCTGATTTTGTACAGGTGTGATTTTGTACAGGCATGAAGCTAATAGCCACTTTTCTAGTCAATAGCACCTTTCTAGACTTTGGGAACATCCCTCCCCAAATCACCCAAAATGATCTCCCTCATTAAGCTTACAACACTCCATCTTCAGGACTCCTTTATGAAAAGTCTCCTGGAAGAACACAAAACCTCCCATACAATAATCTTACCAAAAAAAATCCAATTTGAATCTGATCACACTTCTAGATTTAATGACCAGTTTATAGGGAATAGAGCAGACAGAAGAAACAAGGTAAACAACACCACAGGAATGCAGATAGAAAACCTCAAACTGTGAAAAATTCTATAGGACAAATAATCCAGTTTTTCAACAAATAAATGTCAAGGATAAAAAGAGATGGGATGGGAAACTATAGATTGAAAGTTAAAAGACATTCAGTGATCATGCCCTTTGTTATTTACCCAAAGGAGTTGAAAACATGTCCACACAAAAACCTGCACACAGATGTTCATAGCAGCTTTATGCATAATTGGCAAAACTTGGAAGCAATCAAGATGTCCCTGAATAGGTGAATGGATAAACTGTGGTACATCCAGAAAATGGAATATTATTCAGTGTTAAAAAGAAATTAGCCATCAAGCCATAAAAGGAATGAAGAAAACTTAAATGCATATTACTAAGTGAAAGAAGCCAATCTGAAAAGGCTACATACTGTGTTATTCCAACTATACAGCATTCTGAAAAAGGCAAAACTATGGAGACAAAAAAACTACTCCATATGATACTATAATGCTGAATACATGTCATTATTCGTTTGTTCAAATCTATAAAATGTATAACACCAAGAGTGAACCCTAATGTAAACTATGGTCTTTAGGTGATAATGATGTGTCAATGTAGGTTCGTCAGTTGTAGCAAATGGACCAAATGGAACAAATCACAATGGTGGAATGTCATCAGTTAAGTCAGGAACTGGCTATTTTCACTTCTTTTGTGGATCTTCAGTTGCTTCAGGCCATCTGGATGTACACGTGCAGGTCACAGGGCATATGATGGCTTAGCTTGGGCTCAGAGGCCTGACAGTAGGGGCTGGGGGAGTACCAGCTTGGGAGTCAGGACCACTGGCTGCTAGTCTAATTTCTGTAACCATTTGGCTGTGTAATTTGAGTTTCTATTTCTTCTGTGAAATGCACCACTGGAAAGGTGATTTCTGCACCCTCAGCTTTAACATGCTTTGAATGATGGCCAAATCAGAAAGACAAAGAATTAGATGTCACAAATAGATTTCAGTTAAAAGAAGATATTTCCTATGTCTTGGTTAAATTCTCCCAGGAACACACTCTGAGACTAAAGATTTGAATGCAAATACCTTATTTGGGAAATGATTCCAGGAAGCACCAGAAGGGAAGTGGAAACAGAAGACAGGGAAGGGAAGGAAGCCAGCAACGAGGGAACTATTGATCAGGTGACCACTGTGGGCATCTGAAGCTCAGTCATGCTGGCAGATAGTATGGAACATGCCACAGAGTGGTCTTATCAAGGGGCAGATAGGCAGGATATGTATACACCTACTTCCACCAACCACTGGCTGGGGGCTACTCCCCAGAGCATGAAGTCCCCAACAATTCCTGCCTGCAAGGAGATTCATAAGCGCTTGCAGTCAGAAGTCATGGGTATGTATTGGAACAGTCAGTGACAAGAAAATATAGGCAGAGCATCAATTGCCTCA
Source organism: Homo sapiens (assembly GCF_000001405.40). Lineage (NCBI taxonomy): Eukaryota > Metazoa > Chordata > Mammalia > Primates > Hominidae > Homo > Homo sapiens. The sequence continues at coordinate 47,276,065 of NC_000018.10, read as the reverse complement.
GGGACCACCTAGGAACTTAAACTGGGCACATCTCTACCTCTTGCTTTTTACTATTTCCAAGGGAGTCAAGTGCAAACAAAATCAGGTTCAAAGATTTGGCAACAGCTCAAATTATTCATTGTGATTTTTATTGCTGCACCTATGTTCATTTGTGCATTCTTGTTTATATAAGGCAGAAAAAAGTGCTAATTCAGCACTGCCTTGGTAGGGTGGCCTTGAAGGCTGCTGTAGAAACCTCCTGCAAGTGCTCAGAGCAGCAGTTTCAAATCTTTGTCGCCTGAAGAACATTCATCATGTTTCCAGGCCCTGCTTTTTCTTTTACAGCTTCGGGGAAAGACTCGAATTCCATCCAATTAGATGTACACAACTTCAGCTGTTTTGAATCTACCTACATGCAAATGAGACCCTAAGGAGCTGGTTCTTTAGGATGAAGAAAGGGGTGTAAGTATTGCCTTGGATTTTTTTAACCAATGCAGGCATCATTTTTAAAAACAAAGACTCTGATTTTCCCTGAAAGTAGTCCTGGAAAAACAATCAGAAACTGAAATGGAATTTCACTGAATTTTTTTATTGCCCTCCCCCCACCTTTTTTTTTAACTATTGAATTCAGTTCAACAGCTGGCTTTTTTATTGTAATTTTTCCTGCTATAGTGATTATTTGTCTTCATGACTCAGATGACCATACTGGCTAGTTTTTTTGTTTGTTTGTTTGTTTGTTTTTTCACTCACGAGTGCATCGTTTGGGCACTATGCAGGCACAGCTTGAGGCAGTTTGGATGCAGTGACTGATAACTGCACCAGAAGCAAATCTGCAGATTCTGTTTGGGGCTCATCTCAGTTTCAAATACGGGTGACTAAATGACATCTGCCTGCCTCTCCCTCCTCCTTCCTCAACAAGGAAGAGGCCTCGTCGCCAACACGCGCACATAGTTGTGGGCTTCAGCCAACTCCGTATAGTGCAGCATTCAAATGAAACTCATCAGAACACTTGGAAATGACAGAGTGAACACCAGGAGCTTATTTCTAATGATATTTTCAATCACCGAGGATTTCACTCTAAGCCATGTTTGTCTTTTTTTTCAAATTGCTAGAAAGGGCATTAATAACATTATCTTTCCCCCAAAATGAGGTAAGAAACTCATCAAAAAGGGGCTGATATACTGGGATAAAGACTCTGGGCTCCTCCCTCATTTTCCTCCAGTTAAAGGGCCAAACCAATGGGCCATCTCTAACATTCTGAGAAGTCAGAAATTTCTGGGCAAAATGATCCACATTGTTCAAAAACAGAAACATTAAACAGCAAGTTTGTTTGCTTGTTTGTTTGTTTGTTTTCCTTAACTACTACTCTCACTTAACAATGGGCAATGGAAACAGAGAAATCCAAGATAAAATAAAATTCAGACTTTTCTAAAACTTTACCTTAATGAATGCACCAGTGCTGCACTCTCTCACTCCATTTTTCTCTGTCATCAACAAGGGGCAGGATGTTGTGATGGAAAGAACATTGTAAGTCAGTGGGTCTGAGTTCAAGTTCCAGCTCTCTGTGGTATTAGGCGAGTTGTTTTGCCTCTCCTGGTCTCAGTTTCCTCATTTCCAATCCCTGCCCTTTCCACTTCAACTATAAAAAACTGACATGGTTTAAGCTGAACAGAGACCTTAGCAATTCCCAATGCAGTCCGAGAAATGGCTGCTTTCACTGACCCACCAGAGGTGAAAAAAGTGTACGAGGTAATTAGTATGCAGGGGTGACCGCAGACTACTGCTAAACAAAGTAGACTCAAAAATAAGACTCCTCATTAGATGATTTAGGTAAGCTAAGATTGGGAGAGACCGCAGGCAGGGACTGGGATGGCCTCTTACTCAGAACGTTAATATTTTTCCCTTATTATTCACCTATCTGAGATCCAAACAGGTGAGCAAATGACTCTTGTAAAAGGCTCTTGTCAGCCTTCTCTTTCCGGGAGTATGGCAGACAAAACACCCTGAAGGGTCCTTGCCATGAAAACATCTAAAATACTGGGGAAAAAATGAAATTTATATTTATAAAAGTATTGTCAAACTAGCACAATTATTTAAAACACACACACACACACACACACACACACACACACACACAGGCAAAAGATAAAGTGAAAGCAAGAATTCTGGGGCTGAATGACTGCCAAGGCTGGCTTTTCCCTGAGGGTCTCTTCTGAAATCTGAAGGCCCTGACGTTCTACTATGGGGCTGCATTGGAGATAAGGTAGGGGGTCTATTAGGGAACCTTGACATAAAAGTAATGTCACAAAGAGCTACACCCTCTGTAAAAGAGCAAATGATAAAGAAATCTGCTGCTCAGAAACAGTCAATAAGAAAACTTGTCTATTTCAGCCTTAGCATCGGGTGGGAAAAAAATTCTACCTGTAAACTGGCCTTTGCACAGGACTGTGGTTGAATTCATGCTACTTCTGTGGTCCAATAAATTTGCAAGCTTAGACTTTAACCTAAAATGATCCTGGAAACATGGATGAATCTTCAAAACATTGTGCTATGTGAAAGAGGCCAGATATAAAGGACTACATATTGTATGATTTTGTTTATGTGAAATATTCAGAATTGACAAATCCATAGAGGAAGAAAGTAGACTATTGCATTGGGCTAAGGGGTAAGAATACTGACTAACTGTAAACAGGGAAAGGGATCTTTGGAGAATTTGTCTTTTAAGTTTAAAACTGGATGATAATAATTGCACAATACTGTAAACTTACCAAAACTCATTGAATTGTATGTTTAAAATGGGTAAGTTTTATGGCATGTGCAGAATACCTCAATAACAGTGTTTTTTAAGCTGGTCTTGGGTTATTGCTGGAAAAGTAACTAGCAGAAGGAATGCAAGTCCTCTCCGGAGGAATATAACTTCACTAAGAATTCCCATAGACAAACTTACACATAAAATGAGCAGCTCACAGTAAAAAATCACAAAACACACAAGAAATCAAGACATTATGAGTGAGAACTAGCAGAAATGTAGACAGCAGATCAGTCCAGGAAAGGCTTCAAATAATGGAATTAGTTCACATAAAATAAATAATAACTACATTACTAACTATATTAATTATAACTATGAAGTAAAAGGTATACTTGGAAATATGTGCAAGCAACTAAAGGGTCTAAATACAACCAGCATATTTAGAAGAATCAGAGAGATATTCCAGAAATAAAATGTACATATAATAACTGAAATTGAAATTTTAATTGATTGCTCTAAATAGTAAATTAAATATAGCTGAGGACAGAATTAGAAAACTGGAAGGTATAGCTAAAGAAATTAATGAAAAGTTGGGGCAGAAAAAAAAGTTTACAAGATATGTAAGATAGGTTGAAGCAGCCTTCCACATGACTAATCAGAATTTCTGAAAGAGACAATAAGGAGAATATGAAATAAATCATATTTGAAAAGATAATGACTGAGAATTTTCACAACCATTGAAAAGCATCAGTCCTCAAAAATCAGGAACCCAAAGCAATATTAACCAAGATTTTAAAATCTAGATACTTCATGGTGTAACTGGAAAACACCAAAGACAAAAAGAATATATTGAAAATAGCCAGGAAGAAGAAAGAGTGGCAGTTAGAATGATGGCAATTTCTCAGTGCAACAGTGAGAGATCACAGCAGACTAATAGTATCAATATGCTGAGAGAAGGTAACACTCAATGTAGTATTCTATTAGCCAGAAAAACAATCTTTCAAAAATTAAGTGAAACTAAAATAATTTTTAGACAAAGTAAGGAAAAGGAAGAAAAAGCTTGACCACATTACCAACAAATTCTCACTAAAGGAAATTCCAAAGAATATACTTCAAACAGACATAAATTAATTCCCAAAGACAAAAAGGAATTATAAATAATATTGATAAATAAGTGAATAACTAATAGACAAAAGATATTGACATATGTATGAGTAAATATAACTATATGACCATCCTGAGCAATCTAGTAAGGCTCCATCTCTACAAAAAATTAAAAACTTCCCTGGGTATACTGGCGCATGCCTGTAGTCCCAGCATCTTGGGAAGCTGGGCGGGGAGGATTGCTTGAGCCCTGGAGGCAGAGGTTGCAGGGAGCTGAGATCACAACACTGCATTCCAGCCTCAGTGGCAGAGCGAGACCCTGTCTCAATAAAATAAAATAAATGTATGAATAAGTGTGTGAGTAAATATAAATAAGCATTTACTAGATAAACAATATTAATAATATACAACTTGTATGACTAAAAAAAAAGGCTAAAATACCACAGAACTAAATATAAAGCAACATAGCTGATAAGCTGGGCAAGAGGTGATCAGAGTTAAACCACTGTAAAATCATTGCAGTGTTCAGGAGGATAATAATATTAGGCTGTGTTAAGTTAATTGGGCAATTAAAAATGACCTAGGTAACCATAAAAGAAGTATAAAGGATATAAATGATAAACTAAAAGAAGTGTGAAATAGGCCGGGCGCAGTGGCTTACGCCTGTTATCCCAGCACTTTGGGAGGCAGAGGCGGGTGAATCACAAGGTCAGGAGATCGAGACCATCCTGGCTAACACGGTGAAACCCCATCTCCACTAAAAATACAAAAAATTAGCTGGGTGTAGTGGCGGGCGCCTGTAGTCCCAGCTACTCGGGAGGCTGAGGTAAGAGAATGGTGTGAACCCGGGAGGCGGAGCTTGCAGTGAGCCAATACCGCACCACTGCACTCCAGCCTGGGCGACAGAGCGAGACTCTGTCTCAAAAAAAAAAAAAAAAAAAAAAAAAAAAGAAGTGTGAAATAAAATGAGAACATTAGTTTAAAAAAAAAAAAAAAATCCAGGCCGGCCCGGTGGCTCATGCCTGCATTCCTAGCACTTTGGGAGGTCAAGACAGACAGTTCACTTGAGGTCAGGAGTTCGAGACCAGCCTGACCAACATGGTGAAACCCCATCTCTGCTAAAAATAAAAAAATTAGCCAGGCATGGTGGCACATGCCTGTAATCCCAGCTACTCAGGAAGCTGAGGCAGGAGAATCACTTGAACCTGGGAGGCAGAGGTTGCAGTGAGCCGAGATTTTGCCACTGCACTCTCCTAGCCTAGGCGACCGAGTGAGACTCTGTCTCAAAAAAATAAATAAATAAATATCCAAAAGAAAGAAGGGAAGAAAGAAGGGAAAAGCAGAACAAATGACACAAAACAAAATGATAGAAATAAATTAAAATGTATCACTAATGAAAATAAATCCATATCTATAAATCAAAATAAATGGTTAAAAACACATTGATAACTTTTTCAGTTAGTATAGGGCAAGTTATGCTGAGGTTAAAAATAAGTGATCCCAGGGCCGGGCATGGTGGCCCACGTCCATAATCCCAGCACTTTGGGAGGCCAAGGTGGGAGGATCGCTTGAACTCAGGAGTTTGAGACCAGCCTGGGCAACACAGGGAGACCCGACTCTACCGAAAATACAAAACTTGGCCGGATGTGGTAGTGCGCACCTATGGTCCCACCTACTGGGGAGGCTGAGGTGGGAGCGATCACTTGAACCTGAGAGATCAAGGCTGCAGTGAGCTGTGATCATGCCACTGCACTCCAGCCTGCAAAACAGAGGGAGACCCTGTCTCAAAAAAAAAAAAAAAAAAAAAAAAAGATCCCGAAATCTTAGAAGCTTACAACAACAGAGATCTCTGTTTCAGTTATTTAAAGCTTCAAATAAAACACCTAAATCTTAATGACTTAAAATAACAATTTATTGTTGCTCAGCATGTCGTGGTTTGGTTGGGCAGTTCCGCACATGCTCCTGCAGTTGCATTCGCCTGCTGCTTCAGTGAAAGCTGCAAAGACAAAGCGGGCCTCACTGTAGTAGGGAAGGCTAGAAGTCTAAAACCTCTGTTTCTATGAAGTTTCATATCTTTCAGTTATCTAACCCAAGCTTCTTTACTTGGCAGCTAGGTCCCAAGAGAGTAAAAGTGGAAACTGCAAAATATCTTGAGGCCTAGACTCCAGAACTCATTCAACATCTCTTCTACTACAATCTTATGATAGTGTGAATCATGTCAAAGTAAATCACAGGCCAAGCCCAGGTTCAAGGGAGTGGGAAATAGACTACATCTGTTGATGGGAAGGGCGGACATGGCATGGGCAGTCAACCCCCATTTATGTCTCAGTCATGCAATGTGTTCACTGCAGGTCAGCTCCATGTTGTTTTCACTCCAAAACCCAGGCTGATAAAGGGATCTCAAAATATTTTTAGTGTCATGGCAAAGGGATCATGATGAAGCATGTGCTGGCCCTTAAAGCTTCCAGCCAGAAGTGCTCTTTGCTCATAATTCATTGGCCAAAGCAAATTACATGGTAAAGCCTGTCTTATAAAGCCCTGGGACTATAAGGGTACCTAAAAAGAGAGTGTTATTAGAAATCCTACTGAAGTGTGAACTACTTGAGTGAGGACAGAGGAGGAAACCACAAAATATCTGGATGATATACAATGTTAAGAATTAGCTTCCAAGAAAATTTCAGAGAATATTTTATGTTATGCTAACAAGGTTCACTGATATTGACAGTTATGGAATATTATAGAGCCCATGCTTAAGAGGCGAAGTTGTTAGGAAAAGTTTCAAAGGGGTTAGACCACTTCTGTGCTCAATATACACACCAAGTCCCCCACTGTCATCTAAAGATTTCTTCTCTGGTTATAAAACTAACACTAGAATCATAAAAATTTTCATCAAGTCCAACCTATTCCACATACAAAGACAACTGATAGTCATAGGTACGGGGAAATGTTAGGATATATATCTTGAAATAAGTCAAACTGTCAGCAGGCCTTCACTGACCATTCTTTACATGCTCATCTCTTTGCTATGTGCCGTAGTGAATGCCAAGTATAAAATAACCTCAAAGGTCAGGAAAACAGGAAAACATTTTTAAATAAACAAAGACCAACATAAGATAACTATGGTCTTTCCCTGTTCTCCAAGAGGCAGACAATGGCTGCTGAGATATTTGTACTTCAGTTGGCAGTTTAAGATACAGTTAAGGCATAGGAAAAAATAGCAAGCAAAGCAGTAGGTAAATAATAAAGCAGGTGGTAGAAAGTCCCAGTGCTGGAAGAGATTAGAGGAAGGAAAAATCACTAAGGACTGAAATAGACATATTCAAGGAGGAGAAACTAGAGCTGAACTTCAAATGATAACACAAGATTATTCTTAGAGACAGAAAACTTTTACAATATATGAGAACATGGACAAAGCCACCTTCCCATGAGGTTCCCAAAGAACATAATTATAGAAGAAAAGAAGAAAATGTCCCACAGAGTAATAATTTACCACTACCTCAGTATAGACACCAAATCCCAACATTAAAAAGTCTAGGCCAGGTGACCCACTCTTTGTCCTAAATTGGTCAGGCTTCCAACTAAAGTAAGCTGGGAAGCCTCCTGCTCAGTTCTACCTTTGCCAGTGTCCATACACAAATGCCAAATCGTACTACTCTATATTCCTAATGACAAGAGATAAAGCAATGCCCACCAACCCAGCACTGACCTGTTACAATACAGCATCTTCTGCTAGCAAATATGGTCCTATCAGCTTCCTAAAGTCCAACCAATTAGATTGGCATTCATGTTTCTTAATAAGAGAGAAGTATAAAGATGAACTCCTGAGCACTAAGTACCAACGGGGCCGTACATCATTAAGTGCAACCAGAGCGGCAGGGAGTTTCCAATGAAAGATGAATCAGGACCGGCAGCAAAAAGGGACTGAGGAGTCTCTGATTTCAGCAGTTCTTGATGGTAGGTGAAATGATTGCTAATGTTTTCACTTTGCCTGTGCATTACTCTTCTCCACATTTCTTTCTCATTTCTTTCTATGCCACTGTGAGAAGACTCATTTCAACAGATTTCTGAACCAGGAAATGTGGAATCCATAAAATGTTGGTTTGGTGTTTGATTTGGGGGTTTCTTAGTATCTCCTGTGTTCTACAGGCACCACAAGAGTCCTCCAACTCTCACAAAGTAACACTGCAACGCAAAGACCTTCAACACAAAGAAGGCTTGTCTTCTCTGTGCCCCAATATTGCTTTTATTATGAATCACACAAGTTAGACTTTATTGCACCTTGTTCTGTTATGTCACTATTAATCTTGTCTCCCCAAGTAGAATGTAAGGGGCCTTGCTGGCACTGTGCGTGCACCCTTATAGTACCTCACCCAGCGCTGGGCAGCGTTAACTCTCGGCAAAATTTTAAAGCAGTTCTCCCTCTAGGGCCTTTTTCTTTTGCTCTCTTTGCCCGTAGTGGATGGTGCCATTTCCTTCCTAATCACAGAAGCGTGGCATCTGCACACTTTTTACACCTTCAAGCCCATCAAAATAAAATCTTAGGAAAAAATGTGATAAACTAATCCACCCTAAATGATAAATGATTGCTTGAGTTTAAAGAGATGTCAAAGACACAAATCACCACTAGAAGAATTCCAAGTATTAGCAAGATGGTAGGGAAATTCTTTTGAGGAGCAGAGGGCCTTGCTAGAGCCTCTGAAATTCCAGAATATCTACTGGATCCTGTGTCCTTCATTTTGGGCCTATACAAAATCCTATATATCAATTAATTTCTTACTTCCCACTTCCTGCTCATAGCAGGCTTAAAAAACAATTTATGGGATCTTTATTGTCTTCAGACCAGAAAAAAGAAATAGAAACTAAGGCAGCAGCCCTTCCTTCCAGTGCCTTGCAGCAGTGGACTAGCTTGACTTTCAAATAAGTTCACATCATACAATATAATAACAGGAGAGTGTTCACAAATCTGGCCTTTTCTGGATATTAAATACATTTCTGCTGCTGGACTAGCCAGATAAATACAGAATGTATGTCATCCAAAAAGCAGGGCAGAAAAGTACTCCACTTAGAGTTAACAATGTGCTATTAAAACTACATATGTCAAATTATTTCATGCATAATGCAAACATATGATCTATCACAGTTAGGACAGTCTTGAAATGTCTAAGGGCCAAGCTCAATTAGGGCTCTAAAATATTTTGGTTTCTGCCATAACCTTCCTGGAATGGCTTAGCAAGTAAGAATCTCCTACTGTTTGCTTTAGTAAATCCCATTTTTCAAGGGTTAAAAGAGTGATGTGATTTAATCTTGATGATAAACATTTGCATTGGCCTAAAAACAGAGATAAACAGTGGAATTGCTCCTGGGAGGCTTCTGTTAAAATGTTCACAGAGTTTAACCTGATAGAAACCATCAATCAACAGGTTTATTGGTGCCCAGCAGGGCTAGAGCCTGTCTTCTTCCTTGCATATAGCTCTGGGTGCAGTTCAAGCCCCACACACACCTAGAGGGAAAGGTGAGACCTTCCAGGATGGACCAAGTCAAATACACATTCCAGCAGCACCTGATTTAGAGCTTCACTTAAATTGTATGTGTCAGTTGGGTCCGGACATTTGTCTTCTTTGACCTTGCTTCCCACCCTCTTCCAAGGGAGAACACAACTACATGTCTGTGGTTCATTGCTCTCCATTCTATATTTCCTCTGGACCATGTAGCTGAGTCCCAGCAGTAGGGTGGCCCTCACTCTTTGGTGTGCCTGAGTCTGCTTCCCCAGGTAAACTGGGTATGTGTGATTTTAAGAAACTTCAGGACGCTGACTTCCATGAAGCCTAGGTTAGTGGCTTCTGGGAGGTCAAGGGGAGATGCAATCTGCTACCATAGCCAGAACCTACTTTCCCCACCCCCACCCCGGCCTCTGGGTTCTAATTATATGATTGCAATAAAGAAGTCACTGAGGCCAGATGTGGTGGCTCATGCCTGTAATTCTAGCGCTTTAGTAAGCTGAGGCAGGAGGATCCCTTGACCTCAAAAGTTTGAGACCAGCCTGGGCAACATGGTGAAACCCTGTCTCTACCAAAAATACAAAAATTAGCTGGGCATGGTGGCACGCACCTGTGGTCCCAGCTACTGAGGAGACTGAGGTGGGAGGATCACTGGAGCCCAGGAAGTCAAAGTTACAGTGAGCCATGGTTGCGCCACTGCACTCCAGCCTGGGTGACAGAGCAAGACCCTGTCTCAATCAACCAATCAATCAATCAATGAAAGAAGTCACTGAGATCTTGATGCAAAGGAAAGGAAAACAAGGGGTCTGGTATGAGTTTGGCCCAATCCTAATGGCCTGGAGCAAGTTACCTTTCTCTATGGTGATGTTTGTCAAAATACACTCCCCAAATACCAGTTTCAGAATCACCTGCCAGAGATCTGGGTCCCATGCCAAGCTGGCTGATGGAATCAAAGTCTCTAAGGGTGGGGACACATTCATGTTTGAGGACCATGGTCTAAAGACTCTGTGTTTGTTATCCATCAAATGAACTAACATAGGCCATAGCTACTTAATGAGGCTATTGTAAGGACCAAAATGGTATAGTGTATGTAAAGTAGTATACAGTCTGGTTTATCAGTTAAGAGCATATTTGGGATCCAAACAGATCTGAACTTGAAACCAGATTTTGCCACTTACCAGCTGTGTGGTCTTGAGAAAAGTACATCCTCTCTGAGCCCCTGTTTTCATAAGCTGTAAAATGTGGACAGTAATACCTAACTCATGGAAGTCACACAAGGATTAAATGAAAGGTTACATGAAAAATGCTTAACACATACTTGGCACAAGGTAAGTATTCCAGTCATGAACACATTTTTTCCCCTTCCCAGAAAAGTACTTCAAACATGAGTCAGAGTACACTTCCTGTTTTACTACTACTGTGAGACTTACGATGCTTTTCCTACAGAACTTCCCAACTTAGTCTTGAGTTTTGTCTTTCATAAGTAATTGCCCAGGCTCTTCCAGTCCCTGTTAAGACAGGCTTATAAACTGTTACTATCTTGCTTATCTGGGACTAATAAATTGGCATCTTGGCTTTCTGTGCCTTTCCAAATATTTGATTCCCTTCTATTTCCCCCACCCCACATCGCTCAATTTAGAATCCTAAACTATGGGGTAATAGCCCTATCCCCATAGTCACTATTCAAGAAAGCGAAAAATATTTTTACCATATTAACAGACGGTTCGTTTCTAAGGGTATATCTTCACAGCAGCTGGTGCTATGGAGGGTTGAAAAAGAAATAAAAGGAAGGCAAGTTGCAGGAAACCAAAAGATTGGCTTAAGCTGACCCTGGGAAATCCCTGGCAGCTGTACCCCCCAAAATCGACCTCGTTCAGCCCTGTTCTCAATATCCCATGCCAGGAAAGAAGGGCATAGTGGCTATTTGGGGTGAAGCTTGGATTAAAGCTCCTGACAAACAAGGCCACTTCCTTGTCCCAGGGCCAATTCTAAAGGTTCCATCTGATACTGTGGGGAAGCTATCTTCCCCTAGCAGTCAACTCTTAGTAATCCAAAAATGTATTTATTTATCCTACTGTCAACAGGAATAAATTATATTCTACCTCCCTGTCCTTGCATTAGGAGAAAAAAAGTGAAGGAAGACAATCTATTTCAGTTGTAATTAACATCGGGCCCGAGGGACCTTTCCGAAATGTCTGCCCTGGCAACATCTCCCCCAGAGTGGATAAAAATGCCTTCATGGAATGAGAGCCTTGGAGATCCCCCGCAGACATCTAACTGGATTCCAAACACGGAAACCCTGAGCAAGAGATGAGTTCCCTGCGAGACTCTCAACTTGCACGCATTTCCGACCCCATCGCTGCCCCCTTCATTTTAGGCCTCCCCTATTGCCTGGGGCAGGGGCCCGATTTTCTTACTTTCATCACACCGCGCTGGAGAGAGGCCCTGCTCCAAGCAGGCTCGGGGCGGTCAATCCTCGGGGCTCGAGAAGGCGCTGTTGCCTCAGGGCCCAGTCGCCCGAGGAGGAGGCCAGCGCAGACCCCGTAGAAAGCAACAGGGAGCAACACACACGAAACCCTGGGCTAAATCTTCGGTCCAGGACCCGGGTCCGCGCACTTTGCGCCACACCCCGCACACTTTGCGCCACACCCGCCAGGAAGCTGCCTCGCCCCCGCCCTCTGCCCTCCTCCCGCTGATCCGCCGCGAATTATGGAGGAGTGAGTGCGGGGACCCAGTTCTGGCAATGCCAGGGTTTCTCCGGAACGGACTCCGGGACACCCAGGAAGGGCGAAGCCCGGCATGGCCCTCCGCCTTGGTGCACCCAGTCTGATTCCGCAGCATCCCCTGCCTCTAGGCTGAGAGAGGGAAGAGGGGGACGGTAGACAGAAGGTTAAAGACATCCCTTCCCCCACCCCAGCTAAGGTTTCGAACCGCACACCCACAAGCCGGAGACACCCCGACGCGCGCCCTGCACTCCTGCTGGGCGATCCGGCTGGGCTATGCGATCTACTACCCTACGTGGAGAGGAAATCCCGTCCTTCCCCTGGCTTCCTGGAGGAGTTGCCGCTTACGCAAAGGAAGGGAAGAGGGACGCCAGCAGAGGCAGCCGGCAACCCCGAGCAGGAGCTCCGGGATGAAGCCGTAGCAAACAGCCCCCGGCATGTCCTAGATGTCCTGGGGCCCGGCCTAGGGACCCCCAGCAACTACCCTCCCCGCCCGCCTTCCGGAGGCGGAGCCCGGCCCGCGCTGCCCTGCAGGAGAAGTTTCCTGCCGCTCCTAGGGGGCGCCATGAGCCGCGGCGAGCGCCCCATTCATCCTCCCAGCGAAAGAAGATTCCCCAGAGCGACGGCACTAAGGGGGCGCGAGGCCCTTTTCTTCACCAAAACCTCGCTCCATAGCACTAGCGCTTCCCTTCTCCTTGGGAACTCCAAGCTGGAGCTTGGGGACCTACGAGGTCTGTCCTATCCAAGCCCTAGGACGCTCAAACATGCGGGAACTTTCTTCTCAGATCCCGCCAAGTTAGGGGTGGGAGGAAGCGAACCGGTCGAGTCTGACCTGCTTGCGCTGTCTCCCTCGATTATGAAATGGAAAGACCATGAGTGATTCGCTCTGCAACGCTGTCTCCATTTCTTTTCCTGACAGAGGGCTGGTCTCAACTGACATAGTTACAGATGTGGCCTTAACCCCAGCCCCGCTCCCAAGCAGAGGAGAAGAGTGAGAAAGAGGGAAAAGCAGAGGTCTGTGCTCTCCCTTCAGATATTCACCTCTCTAGCCAACAGTTTTCTTCTCCCCTCACCTCCCCACCACGCAAAAAATCAGTCTCATTTGAACAGAAGCTTCTCCCGGGTACAGGGTCGGGGAGCGTGCAGAGGGTAGCCGGAGCTGAGAGCTAAGGCCGAACTTAGATTTTTCATGAGACTGTCGCAAAATGAAAGAAGAACCAGGGAAGGAGGGTGGATACGTGCCACACCGGGCGACTGGATCTGGCCTTAGGCAAGAGAAGCTCTTTTAACCCGGGGATTTGCTTCTCAACTGTGGCCCGGCCCCACACCACCGCCACCCCACCCAACAGGTTTGCTAAACCACGTTTCAAGCCCGAGGGACTCAAGCCGGGAAAGGTTATCCCGGGAGCTTGGACCTGCAAAGCCCAGTGTGTCTGGCAGAGCGGGGGTTCTAGTCTTGTTGGACTAGAACAACGTCACTGGGTCGCAAACCTGACTCGCTCACGCGCAAGGCGAGGGCCGGCGGCGGTCTGCGCGCGTGTGGACTTCGTGCACAGTCGGTCTGCGGTGCCTTCCACCAGCCAGCACGGGGCTGTTCTCTTAATGAATTACTAATGAGTTAAAATTGGGCAGCAGGCTTAATTAAAGCGTAGAGGCAATGTGTTTACCACATTGTAATTGAACTCATTAGGGCTATGGCTTTTTGTTTTTTAAGCAGCCGCCTTCCTTCTCTGTGTCGAATAATCTATGGGAAGCGTTTATGAGAGAAGGAGGGAGCAGGGCAGAAACAGTCCATCAGTTCTTTCAATGAAAAAGACAGGACGAGGATGGGGAGGGGGATGGAACGCCTCCATTTCGCCGAAGTCTTGGTGGACCCAAGGCTAAACCGAGGCTTCCCAAGAAGTTCCAAGGGTAGGATGATCCAGTGAGGGTTGCCGGCACTTGCAAAGTTGCCAAGGAAGGAGCTAGGCCGGAGCCTGAAAGGCAAACTTTGTAATACCACGCTGTTTTACCGAACTCGGTCTTCATCCCCTCCTGGAACGCTGGGCTCCAACTGGAACCCCTGGCCCGCGGTCTCCCTGACACGCAGTCTGACACTTCGTTATGAGACGGATTCGACTAACTTTTTTTTTTTTTTTTTTTTTTTAAAGCAGCCTATGTTTGGCCCTAAAGCTTTCCTTCCTGGAGATGCTGAGAAGGGCTCAGTCTTCCGTATCCAATCTTCCCAGCTCCCCTCCTGGAGACGCACAATAGGTTCTCATCTCACCTCAGGTGGTCGTTCCCCGGGAAAGTGTGGAAATGGTGCCCCCTCCTAGTGGACTGCCCTAGGGCGGCACAGGAGAAGCGCACCTGCGCGTCCTGGGACAACCCTTCTGGCAAGGGAGTTCAAGCTGCCGGCCCAGGCTGCGCGCCCCCAGGGCGGATTGCTCCCTCCTGCCCCTGGTCCTACTTCAATTACTAGGCCTCCAGCCCTCGCCTCATATCTGTCCTCCTTCGACCACTGGGCATGGAGGGGTGAAGGGTGGGGTGATGGGGCTGGGGCTGGCGCTGCGCTCCTCGCCCTGCCCTGCCTGACCAACAGGCGGCGTCAGAGAGGTCTGAGGTGGGGAGTGGGGGGGTGCGGATCTGAGCAAGCTAAGCCGAGAAGCAGGGCGCGAGGAGAGACCGACCCTCACCCTAAACTTACAAACTTGCCCAGGAGGAGAGTAGGAAGAGCTGAGCCGCTGCAGGAACCGCCGAGAAGGGGAGGGGTGGGACAGGACAGGGTCGCGGCGAAGGGCCGGATCGCGAGCAGGAACGCAGAGGACGGCGGGCGGCGGGCGGCGGCGGCTGATCCGCGCAGGGGAGGCGGCAGGCGCCGCGGGAGGCAGAGCGCGGAGGAGCCGTGGAGCGCGAGGCAGGAGGGAGGACCTCGCGCAGGGGGCCGGAGACCGCGCGGGCGGCGCGGACAGGTAAGTGGCTTCGTCCTCCGCCCTCGGCCTCCCTTCCTTTGGAGAATACGGGGACCAAAGGGACTCCAGGAATTTCTAGCCCCCGGCACAGCCCAGCAGCTGACCTCGACCTCCTCCCTCCCCTCCACTTCAAACGCACACCCATTCCGAAGTCCCCATTCCGCACCATTTGTAAATTTTGTCAGAGTCTCCCACCCTGACCATCCCCCACCCCATCCCACCTATCTCCGCCTGACCCGGGAGGTTGAGGTAAATTGTCTCTAATTTGTTGCTAAAAGATTAATTGCAGAAGGTGGGTCGATTTGATTAAGGCAATTAATTTTTGGTTACAACGTTCTGGTGTCACTTGTGGGCGGGGGGTTGGGGGGGATATGAAGAGAGCTAGGGAGAGAAGGCAAACTAGACTTTTTGGAGACGCTGTGGAAAGCGGCTCCCTAGCTTAGGACAGCATCCAGATTTTTGCCCCTGAACCTCCGCAGCCCGCAGCTCCCTAGCTCACGCCGGCGGTTTCAGCACTGCCAAGCTCGGACAGCGACTCCCGCGGGCGAGCCTAGTAACTTCCCGGTCCTGGCAGGTGAAGGAACGTAGGCAGCCGCAAGAGCTGACCGGGACGAAGGGTGCACCCCTAGCCCCGTCTCCGGCCCAACCACTGGGCTTCCCTTTCCCCACTGCTTCAAAGCAGGATCCGGCCAAATAGACTCCCCGAAGACCCCAATTCTCAAACCGCCATAGGGGTGGGAAAGAGAGAAACCCCCCAAACGTCTCCTAGAAAAGTTCCCAAAGCTGGAGTTTTCTCTTTTCGTGAATAATTAACGCTGCTCATAAATAACTGATAGAGGCAGTGGAGAAGGGAAGAGGGAGGAGGCGAGCGAGAGCCAGAGCGGCCAAAGAGAGATCGAAGAGTTTGTTAAAGGACCATTAAGGACGGCTTGCTGGGAACGGCATTCCTCCCAGATCACCCAGAGCGGTTCCACCCTGGCGAGGGGTAAAAGCAGAGAAGCGATGCGCCCAGGAGAGCGAAGATTGTGCTGACCAAGCCCAGGGCAGCCTTTCTGGACCCAATCTTGTACTCTCACCATCCTCTCACACCAACCCAGGGCTCTTCCCAGAGCCCCCTGGGACCTTGGGTCATCACCCCATCCCCATGTCTACCCCCAAAGTGCAGAAGTTCTAGGCTAGATAGTAGAGGCCCAGGGCTGAATCTGGGTTTTGAGCTCTGACGGTGCTGCTTAGGACTGTGGCAAGACTTGCCCAATTCCAACTAATTTGCATGCACCTCCCCAAAGCTCTCCTCACCCCATCTCAGACCATACCATTTCATTCTTTTCACACTGGTCCAACGCCTTGAGACTTCAGTTTCCATCGTATTCATTCCCACCTGCTCACATCAGAACCTTCAAGAACACAGTCTTTACAGTGTCCCCCACCACCCCCCCAAACTGCTTCACCCTCTCCCACTGCCCTTCTACCATCTCCAATTTCTAACTTCGTCTAAGGGTCTGGAGCATGCTGAACTCACATCTTATATCCATCCCAGCTCTGAACTGGGACTCGTGAGCAGGGATCTCAGAACTTGGAAGAAAGCCCAAGAAGAAACCCTTCCTCCTAGGCTGCAGGCCTATGCCAGGGCCTTTTGGCTTCTCTAGGAAACACTGGCCTCCCACCAAATAGACCGCCTCAGATGGCCAGTACATGTTTTTAGAGTGAAACTCCTGAGAGCCCCTTGGCCAAGCAGCCAACACAGTCCTTCACAGGGGCTCATGGAGGCCATCCCACAGCAAAGCGATGTCTTTTCCTAGTGCAACTGGGCATAGGGCCGTATCTTCCCAGGGCATTGGCCCAGGGAAGAAGATATTGTAGACTGCACCAACCACCAATAGCTCTGAGATGAGGTTCTGACTTAGGGGATAGGAAGGAGCCTCTTTCTGAGCTTGACCATTGGTCAACAGCATCCACCATGTCCACTTCCAAAATGACCATCTCCTAACCTCTGGGTATACCAAAGGCCAGACTGACTTCTGATATTTCTGGGCTAAGAGCTGAGAGTAGCTTCCAAAGAGAAAAATTTGTGGCCAAACAGTTTTATTTTCTCGCCTACCTCCTCCCCACCTCAACACTTCCATACTCTGAACTCTACCTTTTAAGAACAAGGAAGTTCTGAATGGGAAAAGAAAATGGAGGGAGAAGAGGAAATTCTTAGGGAATTGTCTCTCTGCCTCAGTAGGGACATACCAACCCAGGAGGATTGTTGTGAAACTAGACAAAGGGGTAGGAGGAAATCAGATGAGGAGGAGGCTAGCCCTGGAGCCATAGGTTGTTTACTTCTCATATAAAATATAACTCCCCCAAGCAGGAAGTTACTGCAAACAAGCATCAATAATGAATGAATCTCCTGTAATAAAATACTTACATAATTAGCACAAGTCAAGTGGCTGCATTATGTTAACCTTTTGCAACTCTGAGCTGGAAAATTTTGCTCCAGAAATCCTCAGAATACTGTTTTCATTCTCAAGAGAGGGTGAGAACCAAGTGCTCACCCAGCCTTCCACTCTGTTATGATATGGTTTTCCATTTCTGAACCAGGACGTAAGTACTTCTGAAATATAACAGAAAACTCTCTTTGGTGAATTCAGAACAGTCATTAACATTCAGTTTTAAGTGAATGTTAACAGTAAATAAAGAAATCTCTTGATTGTAATAGTAGTAACAAAGCAATAATTACCCAGTAGGTGGTCATCAGTAATGATAAATGTATCATTATTACTGTGTGAGTCTGGGAACTCAGTTTTGGAAACTACTTCAGACTTTTTAGTAGCATGGCTGGTTACAAAGCATTTCTTAGCCTGCAAAAGCCATATAATTTTATACACAATTTAGGTGAAAATAAATTTAAATCTGTATATTACATTTTTAATTTCAAGTTAGTAATTAAAGTTGGTTCATTATATCTCTTCTGAAACCCTCAGTGCTCATCTCCATGGTTTGTTTGTACAATTTGTTTCTAAGACACCCAAGGTTACACAGTTCTAAAAGATAGAAAATTTAATTATTTGCCAACATTAAGAGTTTGCTGATGATATCATAATGTGTCTTGAAGAAGTTTGGGATGGTATTGTCTTTGGTCTGTTTAGCTGCACTTTCACTTGGAACCCCTTAAGCTCCATGACAGAAAGCCTTTTTTTTTAATTTTTTTTTGCTTAAAAAATAACTTTTAAATACACCAAAATAGAAAATGTCTCCCAACATTCTCTCTGCATATTGACTGGTTGCTGTATTTTCAAGAAAAAAAAAAAAATCAATGACTCAGATTTCTATCACCCTCTTCCCTGGGATTTATTTTGCTAACATCTAATTTTATCTTTTGCTACCACTGAGTTAAAGTGTGCAGGCAGGAGAGAAGCAGAAGGCATTATGCTTATTGGGCAGTCAGAGAACACAAGATAGTTTAATAGTGCATTAGGTAATGGGATCAAGCTTGATGGAAAAGTAGAAATTTTTCAGATGAGTTGAATGATGGGGGAGGGTAAGATAGAGAAAACAGTAGGAAAGGGAAAAAGAAAGCCTTTATTTCCTTAGGAAATAAAATCCAATGTTCCTTCCACCAGTGTCAGCTGGGGAGATGGTAAATGTACATCTCTCTCGTGACATGTCAACTACAATCTACAACCCCTCCCCCTACTCCCACTCCTTTGCTTCCCCTCCCCAAGCTTTAAAGGGTCCTGCTCTCCACACCCTCTCTGCATCCTCAGTTTTATTTACTTCTTAAACTGGTTGTTTGAAACAAAATAGCCAGTTGTAAAATAAAATAAGCCCTAGGCCTCATGTCTCATACTTAGTGGTAGTTGGAGTCTTTGTATGATTAAAGACTCTTTTGCAGAAATGCAACCAAATACTTGCTGTGGTTTCATCTTCCCCAATCCAATTTCCTACTCCACTTTCTCCCTCTTCCCTTCTCCTTTTTTCTCCTCTCCCTTCTTTAGGAGTGTCAATCAGAAAAGGCAAGCATCTTGCCTTGTTATTCATTATTATAGCAGCATCTTTGAGATGCATCTTTGCCAATGAAAACTCCATGTAGATGCCTTATCCTTTTGTTGTAGCAGCCTAGGTTATTCAGGAGCAGAGACAAAAGCCTGAAGTGATGTGATCTAAATGAGCTCCGGGGTTTTCCAGCTGGGACCACCTCCATTTCAAAGGACCCCCTCCTTCCCTATATGGGGAGGAGGTGGGTGGAGAGGGCGGGTACATATGTGTATACGTGCAAAGAGACAGAGAGAGTGAGAGAGAGAGAGAAAGGAGAAAAGAGAAAAGCGAGAGAGCCTAGTGGGCTTATTCCCTGTGCCAGTGTTTTTCTTAGATGCATATTCACAGGTGTGTTCAGGGAGTGTGCATCCATGGGTCTGTGTGTATCCTCAGGTATTTTGTGTGCCTTTGAATTTTATCTTGTTCAACTAATATTTGCTAAGTGACCACCAAGTTCACCAACTTCATCTTCCATTCTGAATATTATTACTTCATGGAAACGATGTGCACATGTGTGCCTTGCTGTGTTTACAGGTTTGGGAGGACTTATAGGTGTTCTCTCTTACAATAAAGAAAGGCCAATAGCAACTGTTTCAGTTAGTCCCTGTGAACTAAGGGTAAGGAGGTTAAGACTCTTCTCTGCCACTTACCCAAAAGCAAGCTTTTTTGTGACAAAGATTTCCTCTGATTAAGGACAATCGAGTCTCAGTTTCTCCTCCCACCATCACTATTTCTTTAAAAGGTGCTTGTTTGAAGTGTAAGAGCTCACTGATTCCCATAGTCACTGGTGCATGAAGAACTCAAGGGATCACTGGGGCAGGAATACCGGTCCTGCAAAGTATGCTCAGTTTCCCTTCCCAATTCCAGTTTAGAATATTTGGTCTGTGCTCTCGCTGTACTTCTCTTGGACTGGGCCCTTGTTTATAAACAATATTTCAGAGAAGATTCAAAGATTGAGTTAGCCCCAGGATGCTCGGAGCCCTTTCTAGTTCATCCTGTGACTTCCGCCATGAATAAATCTTTAGTTTGCTCCTAGTCCCTGGTTTGTTCCATGCAACCACAGCTGGGGCAATAAACGGAAAACCAGGGAGTCTGAGCCCGGCTGCAGAAAGGTTTTTAGGGTAGAAAGTGAGAGCTGAGGGTTATCAGCAATCGTTATCATTATGGCCATTATCATTGCTAATCTTTATTGTCAATCTACTTACAATGGGTTAAACAAATGCTAGCTGGGGTTCTGGCCAACTGTATATAAAATAAAGACTAGACCAATTAAAGGCCAGATAAAATTTTAACAAAAGGACTAATGTTCCTCCAGAGAACTTGGTTCCCTCTCTGCTCACCACTAAGGTAAAGTGCCTTTGATATCTTTTATTCTGGAGCTATTAAAGATTTCTAATGTATCTTGTAACAGGACAGTACTAGCTCTTGTCCCCATTCTCTGAGGAAAATGCTTTTAAAACTACCGTGTATTAAATGACTACTGTGTGCCATGCACTTTGCATATATGATCTTACTTAATTCTCACGACACCCCTGTGGGCTACCTATCAATCTCCTCATTTTGCAAATGAAGAAACAGGGGCTTGGGGAGGTGAGGTATCTGAGCAAGATTCCACAGCTAGTCAGTGATTGAGGAGAAATTTGTACTCAGTTTCATCTGATTCTGAATCTCCGGTTCTTTCTAATATACCAGAATTCTTCTGCCCCTTCCAGTACTGCCAGTCTCCCAGTTTCTTTCTGGGCCATATGGGTCAACTTTTGCAGGCTTGGGACTAACAGAGAAATCATTTCTTGCCCTATTTGATGCAGAAATACCAATGCCAGGGACACTTCTATCAGGGAGATGGGAGCAGTAAGATTTCTGCCTAAGAGCTGAGAATGGGGTAAGAGGGAGTGGGAGAGAAGGATAGAGGCTGTTTTTCTGATCTGTAACGGTCATGCGTTCCTTAACATCCAAACTGGGAGTGGGAAGAGAGGGCATATCTGGTGTTTCAGATTGTAATGATTTTTTGTCCAGGCTTTTATTTTCTTTGCTGTCAATGCAAGGAAGGGGGTGGGGTTGAGAGATCTGGATTGCTCAGTCCTTGGAGATGGGGCAAGTGTGGGAGAAGTAGGGGGTGTGGTTCTGTGTTGCACCTTGCCCGCCTCTTAAGACTATGAGGCTCTGCTCGAGCCCGCCCAGAGCCGAATCTAGGGCTCAATTACATGCTGGGAGGCTTCTTCCCGACTTGAACACAGTAGGATTCGCTGTGCTTTGGAACGATGCATCTCGTCAGCACCGCGGACAGTTCCCACCCGGGTTTTGTTGTGGCCTCCTATACCGCGGAGTTCAACGCCGGCTCGGAAACCGACTGTGTCCCAGGTGGAGGAAACTGGGCCCAGGCCCGGCTGAGCGTGGGTTCTCTTCAACCAGTTTAAATTTGTAGCTGGAAGCCCATATGCGCTGCTGTGCCGGCCTCCTCCTCTTACTTCCAGACGTCGCCTCTCCAGTTATGAGGAGGCCAGCTCGGTTTGTGGTTTTCCTCTGGGTCCCGCGTCTGGGCTCCTTTACCTGTCCTTGGCCTGGGTGAACCGCAGCCGCCCGGAACGGAGATGGGAGTGGAAATGCTCTCCTCCATGTGGTGATAGATCATGAAAATGGGTGACACCAGTTTAACCAATAAAACAATTTGAATCAATTAGCCGGCTGAGGAGAGTCCTGACGTGTAAAATGCATGTCAGCTCGAAGAGGAAAGCATTGATTAACTCGGGCTCGACCAGCCTCCTCTCGCCACCGTCGACTCCTCCCTGAGCCTGCCAGTGTCCCAGGGGCCAGAACAGGGACTGACAAGGACTCCACAGAGGACCAGCAGGAGACTTGTTCAAACTGAGGAGAAAACAAAGGGTCACAGAGACAGTGGGTGGCAGAAGGTTGCTCGCAGACTCAAAATATACCAACAGGCTGTGATTCTGCAGTCCAGCTCTGGTCTCAAGATGAGGATTCACTGGGGGCAAGTGTGAAGTCTTTGAATAACTGTTATCCACTTTTACCTTCCAAAAATATATAATTGACCTGACTTTTTAAACAGGCACCCTAGACTCATAGGGGAAATAAAACACTGAACTATTCTTAGAATTGTGTAAAATTATTTAACCTAATACCACTCATTTTTCCTTCCAATGAAACCTTTTTCTATTAAAGTTGTGTATCCTGTTTGTCCTGTAGGGTGGGAGGGCACTGGGGAAGAAAGTTAAGGCTTGTAGGCAGTAAGCCCAAAAGTAATTTGTAAATGTTTCTGTTTTAAAATTCAGGTAAGGAAGTGGCTACAGGTGCCACCCAGATGTGGATTCAGTCCTCAGGGTAACCTGGAATGGGAGGGAAGGCAAAGATTCAGCCCATTTCTCTTGTCAAATAAATCTGTTTTTGAAGACACTCTTTTTTAAAAGATAGGGATCTGTAAGAGGAAGAGGAGCTTTGTGGGGTAACAATGGGAACTGTACAATCAAAAGTGAAGACCTCGTAGTTCTCCCTCCCCGGCAGCAACCAGATATTTCCCTGTGGTAGTTAGAGAGGTGATAGGACTTCTCCTTTCTTCCCGCTCTCAGTCGTAAAATCAGCCCCATTTCCAGGGTTCGTTTCCACGTGGCTCAAGATTTCTTCCTGGCAGTCTGGGAACTGGGAACGTTTCCCTTTGTGGGAGCCCCTGACCCCAGAGAGGAGGCAGAGGAGGGGAAAAGAACCAGCTTAGCCCTGAAACCTTCTAAAGAGCACTGAGCCTTCGGCCTCAGAGAGAAGGGATTTGTGAATGACAATGGCGCGCTTTTGGCCAATGGGCTGGGTAGGCAGAAAGTGTGAGTTTTCCTTCTTTTTAGGATGGGAGGCTTTGGGGTATTGGCGGGGGAGCACTAGGTTGATTTCAGCCCCTTAGGATAAAGCCCAATTTGTGCCTTGAATGTCTTTAGAAACTAGAAGATGGGTGAAAAATTCTTTCATTGCCCGTTGAAACTTATGCCCAAACGTTTCGATTTTCATGTCTCTGTAACTGTGTTTTCAGGATATTAATTTAAAATAGACACAACTCCTGAGCAACAAGCCCCTCACGTTTCTGTTCAATTGACTTTCCTTGGGTTTATTAACCTTTGATGAAGGTTAAGATTTCACATTTTTGCTCTTGTATTTAGGAGTGGTATGTTGTTGGTGCTATGACACAATCTGGGTGGGCTTTCAGCTTGGTAGATGTTTTTCCATCATTTCCACAATGCTAGGACTGTTTCACTAGGCAGCAATTGAAAATTCAGCTATGGTAGTAAAGGAAAAACTTAAAGGATTTCCCAGCCCCACCCCAGCCGGCATCCTTCTTAGAACATACTCCAAATAAGTGGTTTCTTTCCTTTCCGATAAACTAGCCAGTGGTCGTTTTGACTCTTAACAGCTGGTCAATTGGGACGCACTATATTGACACTTCATTAATACACTAGGGTGCGCCTCATTTAGGGAAACTGTGAGGAAATGTTTTCTCATCCTAGTCTTTATTTTAGGGGAGGAGATCATGCTTCTACATGTTTTCCTGATTAAATTTATTTATTTCTCCAGGAAAATTGGCAACTTGCTGAAGGACTCTTCCATGTGGGGGACCTCCCTGCTTCCCTGCCCCACCCTTTCCTTGTGTAGAGGTAGCCTTACGGATCTTGTAAAATGGGTTAGAGGACGATTCTGAATGAAGTTTGATAAATCGATGTGCATATGCACATATTGGGGTCCTCACCTAATTGTACACTCCATAAAATAGAGAAGGCTGCAGTGACTCTGCATCTTGTCCTATAAAGCAAATGTATATGCAAAAGTCGGGGCACTCCAAGTTTTCTGATTGGGCACCCTATGTGGAAACTTCTCTCCTTTTTCTCATTTCATAGCGTTTCAAAGGAGTCACTGAAGCTAATTTATTCTCCAGCTGACTGTGGATTCTGTCTTCAGACACAGAGCAGCTTTGCATCCTGTACCAGAGGGATCATTCATGAAGGAGGGTGACTCAGAAATGAGGGGAGGAGACAATAACGGTCAGGGATATAGTTAATTTGGAGGCGTCCTTCTAGAATCCGGGGCCTCCAGGATCTAGGTCCCGGGATGCAGGCAGACTGTTCGCTTTCCACTCCTAAATCAGATCTGCGGCTCCAGCACCATTGCTGCAGTTTACTCCGGGGCTGAGGAGGTTGTTGTCAATTGCGAGTTGGTTAGGTTGGTAGCTTTCGTGCCTGCTGAGAAAGGATCTCTCTGTTGCTCGCGCTGGCTTTCGCTCTCCCCCTCCCTCCCTGTAACATGCCAGCCCTTTAATGTGGAGTGTCAGGGAGACGGTGACGTCACCCTGCCCGCTGGGTGGCGTCCCCTCGGTCCGACACGAGTTCAGAGACAGACGCTGTCAGACTGCGCTCCACTTGGGGCTCTCCTGCCGCGGGTTTCTGCGTACCCACACTTTCTGCGGTGGAGGGGACGCCCCGCCGCAATTCAGGCCGTCATTCTCCCCAGGCCGGGGTTTGAGCGCCATTCGCTCGGGCCAGAGCCCGGATCTTCGCGCGGAGCCCGCCAGAGTCCCGCCCGCTGGATACGAGGACCCGCTTGGATGCTTCGCCTCCGAGCGCCCTCGGAAGATGGGCCGGCAGCCACACGCCTAAAGACACCCAGAGGTTACCAGGTATTGCCGGAACCGGCCGCCCCAATCCGGCACACAGCTTGCTGGGCACCTATTTGAGATCCCCAGCGGTAGGATTTTCCGCGTTAGGTTGAGGGGCAGCGGTGGGCTTCCGTGGTGACTGGTTTGGGAGTCGGGAGAACTAAGTTGGGGGTGGGGGGGTCTTTGGCTGTTGGGCAGGATAGGGAAGTTCACCAGGTTCCTTTCTCAGTTCAACTAACTTTTAATTGTCTCTTCTCCCCTCCCCACCC
Organism: Homo sapiens; assembly: GCF_000001405.40. Lineage (NCBI taxonomy): Eukaryota > Metazoa > Chordata > Mammalia > Primates > Hominidae > Homo > Homo sapiens. The sequence continues at coordinate 47,251,125 of NC_000018.10, read as the reverse complement.
ACCCAAAAAATAATGCCCCAACCAAAACCTTGTGTCTGCTCTGACGGCAGTTTCTGGGAGGGCTTGGGGTAAAAGTGAGGAGACACTTCTGCCTGGTCTACTGCTGCTAAGGCTGCGAGTCCTTAACGCAGAGCCAGCTTCCCGCCCCGGCTGGCCAGCCGCGCGCCTTGCTGGGGAGCGAGAGTTGGAATTATCCCAGGGTCTTATTAAGCGGATATGAATCTTGTTTGGTAGGGAAATGAGCATCGAAGGGCCACCTGACGAAGCTAGTGTTGGTTGTATCAGACTCGGGTGTCACTGCGCCTTGAACTGCCATGTAACGCCCTGTCCCCTGGAAATATTGTCTCTGATCCACCCAAAGTGACAAGCAGGCTTTCCTCTCCTTTGATCGCGTCGAGGTTTGTTCAAGCTTCCTGGAGGCCGCCAAATGTAATGAGAACTGAGGATCCAGGGGGCAGCAGGACAGAGGCTGCTGTATAGATGCCACAGGGGCCCAGAGAGAGGACACGGATAAGAAATTGGGTGAGGGAGTAAGATCGTGTACCCTCTGAAAGCACTGTAATAGCGAACTCGCTGTACGTGGCCGAAAGGGGCCACGCTATGGCCTCTGGTGATTTTTCAGGGCAAAGCATGCCTTGGCCAATGCGCTTGAGATGTAGCTGTGGAAAGATCAGTGTTTGTTTTCCTAGGGAGTGAGCCACTTTCCTTCTTTCCACTTAGTGGCATTGTCACTAAAATTTCTTTCCGCTTCCTTGTTCTGTATTTTCAACTTACTGAATATTTTCCCTCATTGTGGCATTCTGTTGACTGGAGGTGAAGTTAGAAATTTTACCACAGACCCAACCTGGGATTTCGACTTTCAACACTCCCATAGATTACCTAGTCCACCGATTGGCTGTATGGTGGGGCAGCTTTTCCCCATAAAGATATAGAGATATCAAAATAAATTAGGGGAAAAGAGTCACAGAAGGTGGTTCACATCAAGCTAAAAAATTTGCCTTTTGAAGTCTGCCAATGAAGATCCCCAAGAATTGTTCATTCCTGTGTACTGTTTCTGGGTTTAACACCCTTGCCTCTACTTACTTTCTTATCGTCATGGAAATGACAGTAAAACAGTTTTTAAATGACTACCATCTTCAACTTCATGTTTTTAAGCTACCTAACCATCTGAGACCAGAACCACTCAGTTCAGCAAGTAGGTTTTTTAAAAACTGAAACATTCTATTTTGGTGCAACGGTGTATATGACTTTGTACATTTTTCACCTTTTCAAAAAAATAATTCTAATTACAGTAACAAAATATCTAATGGCAAGGGTGAGGGAGAAGGCTGATTTCGTTTTGCTTTAATGACCTGTGTTTCAACCAATAATGAATTTCCCCAAGGAAACCATAGACACCAAGAAAATCACTTTTTAAAGGGTTTTGGGGGTTACTTTTTAACCAAAATCAATCTATCTCCAAGCAAATGAGAATGACAGCTCTTTAAATTTGGGTTTCAATGGCCAAGCCCCAGTTTTCCGTAACTTTTATTATCTGTACTAGTTACAACTATCGTTACTATTTAATTTCTAGAAGCAAGCCATTTTATTCCAACGGCTCCTATAAATCCGGGATAAGGTCTTAGGTTTCTTAGGAATTCACTGCTTTTGAGGAAAATACATAGTTAATTCACTTTAAATGTTAAGAAGTGCAAATTCCTGCATTTCTAAAGGATGGCCTTGAAGGAAATTAAGAGATGACTTTCTTGTGTTCAAAACTTGGTCACTTTTTCCAGTAATAATCGTGTCTTAACCAAAGCAAGAAAGTTATTCTAATTCTTTGGTTAGCGATTCATCCCACCCCTCTGTTTTAGTCTGAAAAGGCTCAAGTCAACGCTTTCTCCTTTCCCTTCCAGTGTCCAAGGCAGACCTGTAGGGCTCGGCCCGGGGTTCTGCGGCGGAGATGGCTTCCAGTCCGCTGCCAGGGCCCAACGACATCCTGCTGGCGTCGCCGTCGAGCGCCTTCCAGCCCGACACGCTGAGCCAGCCGCGGCCAGGGCACGCCAACCTCAAACCCAACCAGGTGGGCCAGGTGATCCTCTACGGCATTCCCATCGTGTCGTTGGTGATCGACGGGCAAGAGCGCCTGTGCCTGGCGCAGATCTCCAACACTCTGCTCAAGAACTTCAGCTACAACGAGATCCACAACCGTCGCGTGGCACTGGGCATCACGTGTGTGCAGTGCACGCCGGTGCAACTGGAGATCCTGCGGCGTGCCGGGGCCATGCCCATCTCATCGCGCCGCTGCGGCATGATCACCAAACGCGAGGCCGAGCGTCTGTGCAAGTCGTTCCTGGGCGAAAACAGGCCGCCCAAGCTGCCAGACAATTTCGCCTTCGACGTGTCACACGAGTGCGCCTGGGGCTGCCGCGGCAGCTTCATTCCCGCGCGCTACAACAGCTCGCGCGCCAAGTGCATCAAATGCAGCTACTGCAACATGTACTTCTCGCCCAACAAGTTCATTTTCCACTCCCACCGCACGCCCGACGCCAAGTACACTCAGCCAGACGCAGCCAACTTCAACTCGTGGCGCCGTCATCTCAAGCTCACCGACAAGAGTCCCCAGGACGAGCTGGTCTTCGCCTGGGAGGACGTCAAGGCCATGTTCAACGGCGGCAGCCGCAAGCGCGCACTGCCCCAGCCGGGCGCGCACCCCGCCTGCCACCCGCTCAGCTCTGTGAAGGCGGCCGCCGTGGCCGCCGCGGCCGCGGTGGCCGGAGGCGGGGGTCTGCTGGGCCCCCACCTGCTGGGTGCGCCCCCGCCGCCGCCGCCGCCACCGCCGCCCTTGGCAGAGCTGGCTGGTGCCCCGCACGCCCATCACAAGCGGCCGCGCTTCGACGACGACGACGACTCCTTGCAGGAGGCCGCCGTAGTGGCCGCCGCCAGCCTCTCGGCCGCAGCCGCCAGCCTCTCTGTGGCTGCTGCTTCGGGCGGCGCGGGGACTGGTGGGGGCGGCGCTGGGGGTGGCTGTGTGGCCGGCGTGGGCGTGGGCGCGGGCGCGGGGGCGGGTGCCGGGGCAGGGGCCAAAGGCCCGCGCAGCTACCCAGTCATCCCGGTGCCCAGCAAGGGCTCGTTCGGGGGCGTCCTGCAGAAGTTCCCGGGCTGCGGCGGGCTCTTCCCGCACCCCTACACCTTCCCTGCCGCGGCCGCCGCCTTCAGCTTGTGCCATAAGAAAGAGGATGCGGGTGCCGCCGCTGAGGCCCTGGGGGGCGCGGGCGCAGGCGGCGCGGGCGCGGCGCCCAAGGCCGGCTTGTCCGGCCTCTTCTGGCCCGCGGGCCGCAAGGACGCCTTCTATCCGCCCTTCTGCATGTTCTGGCCGCCGCGGACCCCTGGCGGGCTCCCGGTGCCCACCTACCTGCAGCCCCCGCCTCAGCCGCCCTCGGCGCTAGGCTGCGCGCTAGGCGAAAGCCCGGCCCTGCTGCGCCAGGCCTTCCTGGACCTGGCTGAGCCAGGCGGTGCTGCTGGGAGCGCCGAGGCCGCGCCCCCGCCGGGGCAGCCCCCGCAGGTAGTGGCCAACGGCCCGGGCTCCGGCCCACCTCCTCCTGCCGGGGGCGCCGGCTCTCGCGACGCGCTCTTCGAGTCGCCCCCGGGCGGCAGCGGCGGGGACTGCAGCGCGGGCTCCACGCCGCCCGCGGACTCTGTGGCAGCTGCCGGGGCAGGGGCCGCGGCCGCCGGGTCTGGCCCCGCGGGCTCCCGGGTTCCGGCGCCCCACCATCCGCACCTTCTGGAGGGGCGCAAAGCGGGCGGTGGCAGCTACCACCATTCCAGCGCCTTCCGGCCAGTGGGCGGCAAGGACGACGCGGAGAGCCTGGCCAAGCTGCACGGGGCGTCGGCGGGCGCGCCCCACTCGGCCCAGACGCATCCCCACCACCATCACCACCCTCACCACCACCACCACCACCACCACCCCCCGCAGCCGCCGTCGCCGCTTCTGCTGCTGCCCCCGCAGCCCGACGAGCCGGGTTCCGAGCGCCACCACCCGGCCCCGCCGCCGCCGCCGCCGCCGCCCCCGCCGCCCCCTCTGGCCCAGCACCCGCACCACCGAGGCCTTCTGTCTCCCGGGGGAACCAGCTGCTGCTACCCCAGCGAGGACAGCTCCGAGGACGAGGACGACGAGGAAGAAGAGCAGGAGGTGGACGTGGAGGGCCACAAGCCCCCCGAGGGCGAGGAAGAGGAGGAAGGTCGAGACCCTGACGACGACGAGGAAGAGGACGAGGAGACGGAGGTCCTACTCGGCGACCCCTTAGTCGGGGGCGGCCGGTTCCTCCAGGGCCGAGGGCCGTCGGAGAAGGGGAGCAGCCGGGACCGCGCGCCGGCCGTCGCGGGCGCGTTCCCGCTCGGCCTGAACTCCTCCAGGCTGCTGCAGGAAGACGGGAAACTCGGGGACCCCGGCTCGGACCTGCCCCCGCCCCCGCCGCCGCCCCTGGCCCCCCAGAAGGCGAGTGGCGGCGGCAGCAGCAGCCCGGGCAGCCCAGTTCACCATCCATCACTGGAGGAGCAGCCCTCCTACAAAGATGTAAATATCCCCTTTAGGCTCCTTCAAGCTAATTATTATTATTTAAATGCACCTTTAGGCTGAATCGGTTACATATGCGCAGGAAAGATGAATCACCAGATTTCCCCACAGAAATGAAATATTCAGTGTGTTTAGGAGGGCTTCTTTCCTGCCAGTGGTCCTCCGTAAAAATGTGGTTTCTGGTCCCTTTCTTGATAACGCCTTTCAAAGGCTTTGGGGCCGCCTTTCCCTCTTATATTTCAGCTGGCTGCTTGTGGAAGTTGGAAAAGACCCTTTAATTGACCTGGTCCTTCCTCTAATCCAACAATCCCCTTTGCCCTCCAACTGAGCACATTTGTTCCCCTAAAAGGAGCAAGACCACAACACCGGAGCAGCCTGAATCACCCTACCCCTTTTCTTCTCTATAGTTCAGTACCTCCCCTCCACCATGACCAAAAGTAAAAAATGCATTGGCTTCAAAAGTTAAATGCAGTTTTAACTGCTTTAATCAGTTTTAGCCAGAATGGACACAACTGTTGTGTCCAGTGAAACAAAAGACAGGATCTTCAGTATAGACCCTCTTCTCGGAAAAGTACCAACTGAAAAGTACTACCTGGGACCCCTAAAAGACCAAAGTTAAATTTAAATGACTGAACATTCAGTGTTCACTCACGTGTGCACAGAAAACACTCTGGAGGACTTTAGGGCGAAGTGAATCTGTCCTAATGAAGTGTAGATTTGACAGATAACATGGTGTGTTTATTTACAGAAGCATATGCCTATGCTTCTGTAAATAACATAGCATATATCTGATTAATCTGTATTACTTCTTAAAGGATAATAGTGTAGATATACGTAGTCATACACATGTATTTAAGTAAAAAAGTATTCAAAGAATAATCGTCAAAAAATGATGTCTCCTGAGGCTCCATGGAGTCACTTTTATTGATGCTTCTTCCTGCTGACTGTTGACATTAGCATATGGTTTGATCCGGGCATTGATTTGTATGTCTAATTCTTTTCCACACAGAGTCAGAAAACTAAGGAAAATAACCAAGTAATTGTATCTACAAAGGATGACAACAGCTTTTCAGGTAAAAAAAAAAAAAAAAATCAGCTGCCACTTTTCTTGCCTGCATTTAACCATTTCTGTGAGACTTATGCCCAGCCTCCTCACCTACCCACTACCACCATTCTGTTTTTAACCATTGATTTGTGGGCTCTTTTTTGGTTTTGTTTTTGAATATCAGAGTTTATATTTCAAAGATCAACATTTCTATAGTTTGCCAACGATGACAGTTTCCCAAATAACAGTGCCATTTCTCACAATCTCAGCATACTTCTTTGCATTTGAATGATGTCTGCCCTCTAAACATACACAGTTACATAAATATATGCTAAAATTCTTAGATATCTTTGTCCTCTCTGAATAGTTGCCACATTTTTGGAGAATACCTAGAGCCTTCTGATTGTTTCTCCTTGGAGTTAATAGCTCTCAAACTTAGATATAATAAGTAGCATCCTCCCTGCAAAAAAAAAAAAATTGGATCTTTGTGTGCCTCTTGTCAGTTGGATCACTTGCAGATTTTGTGTTTTGTTTTGGTTCTAGATAAGAACAAGGAGCATAGCTTTTTCATCACAGACTCTGATGCTTCTGGAGGAGATTTTTGGAGAGAAAGATCAGGTAGGCTGGGAACAAATAAGAGGAATGAATAGTCAGATGACAGGGAGAGGGGCTGAAATTCATAATCAAAAGACTGAATATTTAGTACAAGGGTAAAAATAAAAAACAATTCCTAGTAGATATAACTAAGAAAAACACAAATGGGGAAGCAGTGACATTAATAGCAATAAGATTATTAATTGCTGGGCATATTTCAGAAGAAAATTCAGAAATATATCAGGTTACACAATGAAACAGGCTGGAAAAGCATAAAATGACAATAATTGAAATGTTCTCTTAGAAACCTTCCATTAAAAAGGATCACAGCTTATTGCTTTTAATATCTGTCAGAAAGACATTAAAGGTGTTTTATGACATCTATGCCAACATTTATATTATCTCCATGATAATGATCTCTACACAAAATGTATAATACATTTACAAAAATTACATTATACAAATTAAATGAAACCACCTTTTACTGATTGCTAAATGTCTCCAAGGGGTTTGGGAAAGACGTGATTAGAAGTTTTGATACTAAGTTGTCTATTGCAGTGTCTTAAGGAGAGGGTTTTGTTTCTTGGGAAAAAGGAATCTAATTTTCCATTTATGTAATGCAAACTGCCTTGGCTTTGACTATTCACGGTTAATTGACTGTCAAACGAGGTTGTTATCCTGAGGCAATGTCTGCAAATTTGCCTGTCAAATGAGACAGAGAGAGCAAGCTAGGAAGTGAGGGAGAGAGAGAGAGTGGTGTAGAGAGCAGAAATAAAGAAAATAGGATCTTAAAGGAATCTTATATAACGGCAAAGTACAATGAAAAAGGTCTCCAAACCTTTGTTTTTATTTTCTCATAAGGAAACTTCTCAATATTTTTAATGGCAAAAGGCAAATACCTACTTTAATGAAATAAAATGTTTTATGTATCATGGGAAGAAAGCTTTATATATCATCAGATATTTCCAAATTATTTCATGAATATGGTATAAGTGTTGATCAATATTCGATTTTGGTTGATGATGCTGAGGAGTTATTAATAATAATTTTGTAGCATATCATTGGTTAGTGGCCACAAGTCTACATATAATACACAATACTATCATTTTGTGCATTATGGCATTACCTGTTTGTTAGCACATTTTGAATGTTTTTATTATTATCACTTCCACATATTAAAGCCTTATATCCTTTGAAAATTCATAAAATTATCTTTTGCAAATTTGCCCTAAGTGTCTAATGTGGTAAAATTATTAAATGTAGATTTTCCTGTTACACTCTAAAGTCACAAAGGCAATGATATTTTCCAGGAACTACCTCCTCCCTAGTATGATATTTCACAAAATTGAGGCCTGAAATGGAAAGCATTGCTACCAAGGAATTTCTAATGGATTTGCATGCACTCACACAAAAAAGGGTTTATAATTCTATTCAATTGATTCTGTAATATCTTGCCATTTCCCAGACATTTCTAGATAGTCAGTTGCTTTTGTTTGTTTGATATGTGTAGAAATTAATAGCCACTGGAAACAACACATTCATGAATATGAAAAAACAATTTTAGAAACATTCCTTAGTCCCAGATCAAATGATATTTAGCAGCTCTGTATATCTAAAAATAGATTTAAAAGTAGCCCAATTTCTCCCATGCCTGGAAACCACAGATGGGAAGTCTATATGTACTCCAGTGAATGCAAATCACCTCCGGCCGTTTCAGCTGCTGAAGTGGATTGGAGACCTTTGCTAGGTCTGTCTTGTACGACCAATGAGCACTTAGAGAATTCCCATTCCTCTCTACCAAGACAGACAAAGCTCAGAAAGAAAGTTTAAAAGCAATGTCACATCTCAGTGGCACTGTCAAGAACTTAATTTGGAAGGATTATTATTTTGTTTTGTTTTATCTTATGTATGACCCCATTTTGAAAGCAAGCCCCCGTAAAGCCTAAAGTTGAATAAAATAAGAAAACTTTCATGTAGCAATGGCTGTGTATTTTTTAAATAACATGACCCATTCAGAGGCAGGATGTGAAACCTGCTTTCCATTCACCAGTATTAAGACAAGCTTTAGAGTCGCTTGTTAAAATTAGTGCATTGTAATTTACACACATTAGTTTTAATTTGTTTTTGACTTCCTACATTTGGAGATTTTTACCTTGGAGTCGGCTATTGGTAATATTAAAGTTCAAATTATTATATACATGTATTTAATACAAAATAACACATTTAGACAGACATCAAACTTTACCCCAACCCTGAATTTCGTTTATCTACTAGATAAATATCAATCTTCATAAGTCTACTTCTGCTGAACTCTATTTGGGTAAAAATTTTTGTAAATATGCTATAAAAGATGGAACATGTGCAATAGCTTTTCAAGGGGTAACAATGATTCATACAAAATTATGGGATAATTTAATGTTTAAAATATTTTCTATAAATTTAATGAGAAAATCCAAATTTCACAGTCTGAAATTTACTTTTAGGAACTTTAATTTCCTACACTGCATTTAACAGCTAACATTCATAATTTTTTTAAGAAGTTTTCAGTTAACATTTCAACAACCATGCATACCCATACCCACAAGCAATCTATTAATAAATATATTTGAACAAACTAAGTCCTTCACAGAGCTATATTCTCTTCATTTCATGTATATTAATAGTCTCTGTATATTTGTTAAAAACTGAATTTCTCTCTTTCATCTTCCTCTGATTTGGATGGAATTTGAAAACAAATTCCTGGCTTTAAGAGGGGTTTGTTTTCCCCATGCTTATTGACCTAGTAAACCCTAACAAGCCATCAGAACCTTAAGAATGATAGCCAAGCAGATAAAAACCATGGTATCTACTGTTGTTTGATATTAAGATGGAAATATAAATGCTAAAAGGAAGTAAGTAAAAGTACAGTCAGGATCGGTGTTCATATAAAAATTCCACAGTGCCTGGAGCTCAGGGCAGTGCGGTCAATAGTTATATTGGTAATAACACGTAGTGATACTATTGAAATATTGCTAGTCCCTACCTCACAATAATTAATTTGATACAGATTCCCAGAGAAACTTGTTCCACATTGATTTTTCCATATCACAGTTTCATTCTCACATTATTCTGGGAAGTATGTAGTAGGAGGTTATACAATCTTATTATCCTGTATTGAATGGGAGACAGGTGAAACATGGAAGGGATAAAAATATATTATCAAAATAAGCAAATTTCAGGTGAAGGCTATACTTTGTTAACTTTATCTTGGAATCTTGGGTCACAAGAACTTCATCGTTATGGGTTTTTTTTTTGTTTGTTTGTTTGTTTTTTGTTTTTTGCTTAGCACGTGGAAATGTTTTAAACACCAGTAAGTGTTTAAAGGGTTTGGACTGTGTGGGACTTAACTTGGTGCACCGTCAGCTGCCATTGCTTTTAGAAAAGATTAGCTTGTGGTCCTCAGATTGAAATACACATTTGAGAAAATCCCAGACTGGGGCCCAAGTGACCTATGTTTTGGTATTAATGTATTTACTTGTGGTCAGATCCTGAGAATCCATTTATTTGGCAAAGTGTCAGAAATTCAGATGAGCCAAAGAGATTATGAGCGCTTGTGATTAGCTGCTTTGGAGTGGTAGCAGCCAAATGTTTTATCCAGTATTCTTTACTCATTAATGAAGATATTTTCCCCCATGTAACAACCGTTATCTACATGATAGCATTCATTTGTTTATTTACTTATTTACTCCACAAATATCTTTGAATGCCTACTGTATAATAAGTACTTTCCTAGACTCTGGGAATTCAGAAATAGAAATCAATACGAGTCCCTGCCCTCACATTGCTTCCAATCAAGAGGAGGAGACAGATTACCTAAGAAGGCAGTATGAGTACTATAATCGTAGTCTACACAAAAAACCATCTGATAAGATTTATATAACCCTGTGTCCCTTTAGCCAATCCAATGTTTAATTCAACCATTATTATTGGAAAATATCAATATTTTATTTCTATGCTTATATAGCTATAACAAAAAAAGAACGAAATGTCTTTTCAAACTGCCTGATAAGTCGGTATGCAATTTTTGATTTTTATAGGAATTTTTCACTCCCGTGGCAACCATAAATATAGTTAACCAGAAAATCTCTATGACCTTTCTCTGAACAAAGATATAGACCTATATTTAATTGATCCCTTTAAAAAATTCAGTTTAGCAACAATACTTTGTTCCAGTTGATATTTTAGTTCATCATTTTAATTAAGTTTAGCCTTTCTTTAATCTGTCAGCCTTATCAGTAACTATTACTTTTCATTAATTTTGAAGAGATTACATTTTTAAATGATTTTTTTAAAACCTCCCTGTTAATGGTCATTAACCTTACATACAGCAGATATAATTCTGTATAATTGAGGGACCAAACATGAAGTTCTCAAGCAGCCAAAATTACCCAAAAGCCAGGAGAACTTTTATCTATAGATCCTTTAAAATTAGACCCAAGTCAGATAGATAAGGGGGATGGTAGTTTCATCAAAATATTACCTACTCAAAAATATAAATGACAGTATTTCCAATTGCAATCCCAGAGTAAGGTTTTGCATTTCCATTTTGAATAACTTTAGTGAAGTTAAGTGATTTGAAATTGAATGCAGTGGGGTAAGCTGGTAAGACAGCTCAAAGCTATTGCAGGTCAAGGAAATCAGGTAAAGTGGAGTCATCCCCACTTTTCAGTCCCCTTCACTGGAGAAACGCTGGTGCCATTGCAGTGTGAGCATGGCTGCATCTTTTTATATGTATAGAAGTTTTAAAATCAATTTGATTTTCACTGGTATGATTCTCTAGTGTACTTAATATGCTATGGACAGATTTCTGAGAATAGTAAGAAGCAATTACACTTCTCATGAATATATAGCAGATGAAGCACTCTGATTCATTATTCCATTCTATTTTTGAACATGCTTATGATTTTTTTAAAAAAAAGCAAAAAATAAGAAAAATTCTTTGAAGTATAGACTAGTAGATCTGAGTTTTAATTCCCTCACTAGGTGACATTAGGTAAACCCTTAAACTATTTTGTTTCTCAGTTAATGTACCTATAAAATTTGATAAAACCTCCTGTCTCTAGTTTACTAGCAACATTTAGTTATGTACAATGTATTTTGAAGTCTTTCAATACATGGATTCAAAATTAAATAGTTTCCTTATTTCAGATATTTGTTTATTTTTATTTATGAACGTTTCCTTCTTACTAATGATTGTTAAAAATATAGAACTCAAGGAGATAGAGAAGGGCAATGAAAAAATGTCCAGGAAAAAAAATTAAACAGCATTAACTCACAAGACCAGTTCTAAAACTCAAGAGCTTTCTAAATGAACTCGAGACGCACTAATCAAAGATATTTAATTTACTGATTCAAGATGCAACGTGTATGCACCTTGCAATAAATTTTGATCATGAATTGTAAAGTTTGCCATAACTCTTAGTTTACTATAATCCCACTGGTATTAGTTAATCTTGCACTTGCTCCTTTTTTTTTCACTAATGGAGTTAATATTTAGTTAGTTCATTCTGTAGCATATGCTTTCCAGTGATATTGATTTTTTTTTCTTTTCTGTTCTGTGACCTCACTGAAGTGCCAAACATCACAGGGGAAGTCATTCAATGTAGAATTTAACACCAAGAAATTAGAAGTCTATATCCCACTGATAGAGGAGAAAATTATTTAACCTTGCTTTTTTATATAATTGATTTTTTAATGACTTAATGCAAAGTGTTTTTAAAAACCTCTCTATGCCATATGTTGTGCTGTATTTTGGTTATTCTTAAGTGTACTAGTTACACTAACTGTAGGTTAACTTTGACCCTATCCAAATTATACCTCTAAGAGTATCAGAGACAGAGAAAATAAAAAATCCAGAAAATCTCACTTAGAAGCAGATTATAAGACTAAGATCAATTTTAAAATTCAGAGTTTATTTGGAAGTTAAACATGCATACGTGGAGCTTTTGTTCAACAGTGGCCAGGCCCTGTGCCTGCTGTTGAGCAACAGGAGGACAGAGCCTCAGCCCAGCATAAAAGGGCAAGAAGGTGCATTGGGAGCAGCATGCAAAGATTGTTTGCAGCTTTGCATGCAGGAGATGGCTTCTCTTCTAGGGTGTGCTCCCCTGCAGCAGAACACAGACACAGCTAGCACATGAGTCTGCACAAACTATGGAAACATCTGGACACTTGACCGAAATTATAATACCTTTCTTCATCCAGATGTTAGAGTGCATGTGTATCTCATGTATAGACACAGTCTTAAACTAAAATAATTTTATTTACTAAATTGGCCAAGCGCAGTGGCTCATGCCTGTAATCCCAGCACTTTGGGAGGCTGAGGCAGGTGGATTGCCTGAGGTCAGGAGTTCAAGACCAGCCTGGCCAACAAGGTAAAACCCTGTCTATATTAAAAATACAAAAATTAGCCAGGTGTGGTGGCAGCCACCTGTAATCCCAGCTACTCGGGAGGCTGAGGCAGGAGAATCGCTTGAATCCAGGAGACGAAGATAACAGTGAGCTGAAACTGTACCACTGCACTCCAGCCTGGGTGACAGAGCAAGACTCCCTCTCAAAAAAAAAAAAAAAAAAAAGAAAAGAAAAGAAAAAAATTATTTACTAAATTTACCTGTGAGTGTGCAATTAAATAACACACTTTCTTTCTTTTTTTCTGCAGACTTCCTCTGTGGACAGACATTTTCCTTCTATTAAAAAAAATCAAAACAAAACATTTTCTCCAAATATTTTTCATGAAGTGTCAACAATAGTACTGGGAGGACATAATAGCCCTTTCAGTGATAAGCAACCACTTAGTCCCTGGGGCTGCTGGCTGGGGCCATGCTTCTAAGTGCCAGTTGTTGGCTCAAGGGAGAATTTAAAAGGGAGACAGCCAAGACAAGGAGTAGGAAACCAAGTAGGGATGAAATGACTGGGGGCAGCCTGGTACAGTGGCTCATGCTTATAATCCCAGTACTTTGGAAGAATGAAACAGGAGGATTCCCTGAGCCCAGGAGTTCGAGACCAGACTGGGCAACATAGGTAGACCTACAAAATATTTTTAAAAATTAGCCTGGCATAGTGGCACAGCTACTCTGGAGGCTGAAGTGGGAGGATCGCATGAGCCCAGAAGGACAGGCTGCAGTAAGCCATGTTCACACCACTGCACTCCAGCCTGGGCAACAGAGCAAGACCCTGTCTCAAAAAAAAAAAAAAAAGAAAAAGAAAAGAAAATGGTGGGGAGGAGAAAGAATGTATTTCCATAGAAGGGATGGGTGAATGCCACATTTTTTGATCTTTATTCAAATGGCAAAAGTTTCATATTGTACCCCATATACATGGTATACCCTACATGTGTACAGGACACAATATTTAAATGCTCTTATTTATTGAATTCAGAGTTCAGCTTGAGAAGAGTGATAACTGTTTAATCAGCTTCTCCTCTCTCATGTCCACCAACGGAACAGGTCACCTGACCATTCGTTTGGCTCTTATAGTTAAATGAGCTCTAAAAATGTACAATATTTTTGCTGTTGGAGGCTACAGTAGACATATACGCTAATTAATATTTTCAGGTCATGGTTAAAATTTAGTGCTGTGGTTTTGTTTGTTCCTGAAAGAAATTTTCAAAATGTCAGATGAGAACAAAACTTATTTTCTATTGGAGCATCACAAATTTCCCCAGTAAACTGAATATATAATTAGCCTAATTTAGTCAGAATATACAAATGGATCAAAATGTGCTTTTCACATATAGGAACAAGTTAGTGCTTTAAAACTCGTCATGACAACTAAGGATTTAGAATAGCGTTAGTTGGTATTTCTCTTACAAAGCAGAATGAATTAAAAAGTACAACAAGTATTTGTGGAATGTATTTGTACCCTTTCCTAAGGTAGGGGTGATCGGGATTACCTGTAGGGTAGGATCTCTCTGCCCTCAGAAAGTATATTTTCTAGCTGAGGAAGACCAGACTAATATTGTAAAACACTAGAACATCAGGTACAAAGGGGCAGAATAAAGACAATAAGCACTTAGAACTTCAGCCCAGGAAGGGATAAATCAGTAAGATTTGCAGAAGTTGAAAAAGCCTTATGGAAGAAAAATGTCTTAGTCTGGCCAGGCTGCTATAAAAAAAAAATAATACCATCGACTGGGTGGCTTAGACAATATCTGTTTTTCTCAGTTCTGGATGCTGGGAAGTCCAAGATCAAGGCACTGGCAGATTCAGTGATTGGTGAGGGAGCTCTCTTCCTGGTTCATAGATGGCCATTTTCTTGCTGTGTCCTCACATGGTGGAAAAGTAGGAAGGGAGCTCCCTGGGGTTTCTTTTATAAGGGCATTAATCCCATTCATAAGTGGTCTGCCCTCCTGGCCTAATCACCTCCCAAAGCCCCCCACCCCCTTCTCTAATACCACCACCTTGGGGGTTAGGATTTAAATATGTTAATTTGGGGATAAGGGGGACACAGGCATTCAATCCTTAACAAGAAAAGACTTGGATGGCATTCTGATTTTGGTTGCACAAGAAAGAGAGGAGAGGGCACCTTAGGACAGAGAAATGACATAAGGCAGTTGTAGGCAGCAGATGTGAAAAATAAATGCCTGTTAGGCAATAAACACAGGATGGGCCAGGTGCAGTGACTCAGGCGTATAATTCCAGCATTTTGCGAGGGCGAGATGGATGGATCACATGAGCTCAGGGGTTCAAGACCAGCCTGGGCAACATGGTGAAACCCCGTCTCTACAAAAAAAATACAGAAAAAAACTAGCCAGACATGATGGTGTGCACCTGTAGTCCCAGCTACCTGGGAGGCTGAGGTGAGAGGATTACCTGAGCCCAGGAGGTTGAGGCTGCAGTGAGCCTGGATTGTGTGAGTGCGCTCCAGCCTGGGTGGCAGAGCGAGAACTTGTCTCAAAAAGGGAGACAGGATGGCTCAGCAGGTTGGACAAGAATGGGAGAACCTAGAGACTTTGTGGGGAGAACTTTAGAATGGAGTCTTTGATGGAGACCATAGGGAGCCATTGCAGGTTCTTGAGCAGAGGCTTGCCATGATATTTAAGAGAAAGTAATTATTCTAGTACCTTGAAAGCTAGTGCTATTGAATCTGTTGGCTGTTTTTTTTTTTTTTTTTTTTTGCTTGTTTGTGTTGTTCATATAGTCCATCTCCTCCTCATTTGCTATTTACTGCTCATATCTGCTTCAGCATGTTACTTCTCTCACCCATCTTTCTCATACTTCCAGTTTCTAATGACATGTGAGGGCAGAACCAAGAGTGGGTTGGAATATTCACCTAGAATGTGGAACCACTGCTGTTGGAGGTCCTTGGAGAGACCAGGAAAGCCGACTCCTGACATTCCAGGCTCTCTGGTCTCCAGTTGCACTCAGCAGTGATGTAGTTTCCCTGATATGGCACGATGCTGCCTCCACCCTCCTGGATGAGCAGGATTCTCAGAAACCATGCAGATCACAATGTCCTGCAAATGTGCACTTGGAAAGTCCTGGTGTGGACACCTTCCTAAGCAGCAGCTTTTTCTTTTCTTCTTCTTTTTTGTATTTAAGTCAGGGTCTCACTCTGTCACCCAGGCTGGAGTGCAGTGGCCAGTGGTGCAATGATGACTCACCTCAGCCTTGACCTCCAGGGCTCAAGTGATCTTCCCACTCAGATTAGCCGGAACTAGAAGAGTGCACCACCACTCCCAGCTAATTTTTGTCTTTTTTGTACAGACAGAGTTTCGCCATGTTGCGCAGTCTGGTATCAAACTCCTGGGTTCAAGCACTCTCCCTCGGCCTCCCAGAGTTCTGGGATTACAGGTGTGAGCCATGGCACTGGGCCTTTAGCAGCAGCTTTTAGTCACTTCCATCCACAGGAGACGTTTTATGCCCTAGTTACCCGTTACTCTCCAACTTCAAACCAGTTTTTTTCTACAGTCTTAGATATGTTTGAGGCTGGGCTTCCAAGAAATATGCTTCTTCCATGTATAATTTTCTCTCCTACAACTCTACACTGTTAGAATTGCTGTGCTTCCCCCCACCCCCTCTCTTTTTTTTTTTCCCTGAGATGGAGTTTTGCTCTGTCACCCAGACTAGAATGCAGTGGCGTGATCTCGGTTTACTGCAATCTCTGCCTCCTGGGTTCAAGCGATTCTCCTACCTCAGCCTCCCAAGTAGCTGGGATTACAGGTGCCTGCCACCATGCCCAGCTAGTTTTTGTATTTTTAGTAGAGATGGGGTTTCACCATGTTGGCCAGGCTGGTCTTGAACTCCTGACCTTAGGTGATCCACCTGCCTCAGCCTCCCAAAGTGCTGGGATTATACACATGAGCCACCACATCTGGCTCACCAACCCCTTTTTCAAAAGAGGAATCCATTGCTCACTTTGGCAGCACATATACTAAAATTGGAACAATACAGAGAAGATTAGCATGGCCCCTGTGCAAGGATAACATACAAATTTCTGAAGCAGTCCATATTTAAAAACAAAAGGGGTGAGGGAAATATAGGGGATAAAAAAGTAAGCACTTTAGGGATGTTTCCAAACCCATTCATTAATTCTGAAAAAGTAAAATGTAGCCAACCTGAAGGAATTTTTAGAAAAATTGGGAGCTCACTGTCAACTAAATCACGTTTATTTAATCTAGTATTAGACTGCCTTTTTTTTTAACCAGATGGAAACCATTAGCAGTAATAGTGAACAAATATATCCAGGCTCCCAGAGGTCATTTTTAACCACCATTAACAATCTGGTTTTCACAGATTAGTAATATACGAAAGGCAACAGTCCAGTAAAAGATACACAAAAGGCAGCGGAAGCTTCTGTGCTTTTTATTTACCTAACATTTAGCCATTTTAAAAACCCTTTGTAAGTGAGGCATTCGAATCCTCTAAGCTCAAAATTGGCAGATTTTACCCAGAAGATGCAGCAAAATATCTGTTTGAAATAGATGCCAATGCAAATTGTTAATAAAACCTCTACAAAGCTGATGAAAAGACAAGCTTTTTATTAACATCATCAGTAGATTTGCCTGTGTTTAATATAGTTTCCATTTACTAGCTGCTTGTTTAGTGGTTTCATACCAATGTAAAGCTACTAATTATGAAGTAGGAAAGAAATGCATTTTACATATCATATTTTAATTTTTAAATTCAACTATCTAACTGAAACATAATATAAGATAAACAGTCCACAAAATATACTAATGAGTCAAAAGGAATCTGGTCTATAATTTGATAAGACTATGGTTTCTAGAATTGCCTATTCAGGAATAAAGATCTCATTTAAATCATGCTTTGAGTGGTTGAGAAAGTTGTAGAATGATAGTGTCATTATGCCCTGCAGATAAATGCAGAGATACATGCATGCTTCTTTCTTCTCTTGTTCAGATTCAATATTGTATGCCAGTATTTTTGAAACTTCTACACCTTTAACTGGTTAACTGAGACTGCACATAATATGCATGTATCTTCATCTCAAAATACTATTTTTCTTGGTTTACCCATTAATAATTTGTTATCAACCTTCATGTTACTCTTGTTTTAGATAACAGTGTTTTTCTAGGAATTGCATTGAGGTCTATATTTAAAATGCTTCACAGATATTTCCTCTCTATTTTCTTTTTATATGGAGAAGAAAGCCAAGGTATCAAGGTTCAAGAGTACATCTGAGCCTATAGAGAGGTCATGTCCAAGATGAGAATGAGAATGAGGCTATAGGAATCTGATCTGGATATTAGAGAAGATGCTTGCTATTAAGGAACTTAGGGATGCCAAGGATATTATTAGGCTCCTTCCTCTAATGATGCATATGTCCTGGAATATTTGTGTATATTTTCACAGATGTATTTACCTACACACACACACACATGCACAAACACACACAAACATACTCCTCACAGTCATCAAGTAAAATGCACTTGAATTGCCATTGATAATATCATGTTGAAAATTTCCCTGTCTGTCCATGATACTGTTATAGGTCAGCACTTCAGGGAGAAATTCTGTTTCCCTCTTTGCAGAAATTTTTACCTCAGCAAAGAAATCTCCCCGTACTTCTACAAGTGCCCAGGGCCATTACATTTTGGTTTTTGCTGAGGGAAATAAATAGTAAGGAGATCTTTGATGAATTCTGGCCCCCGCTTACTGTAATTTAGAATTTACGACCTCCTGGGGTCCTTTTCAGAAACAACTGCAGACCCTTTATTGAGTGCTTATTGTATGTTCAGCGCTGTGCTAGGCACTGGCCATACCTAACCTCTGCCGCCAAGTAACACATGGCCCACTGACTGAGGAAGGGGAGTAAGGAAACAGCACCATGCCTGAGGCCTGTGCAGGGAACTCTGGGGACACAGAGGAGGGATGGGGTGAAAGGGAGGGGGATCCATGAGGCCTCAGAGCCCCTTTGTTTGTTCTACCACACCTCTTCAGACAGAAATGAAAAGCTTGATTAAATTATGTGAGCATTGAGGATAGGGGGTTGAATTTTTTAAAAATTCTGATTGCCTGAATGATTGGATTCTGGTTTATTTAGACCAGATTTGTAGACTCAATTCATGACTGTGGATAAAGACATTTTCTTAACTTGCCATCCTAGTCAGCATGTAAGCGAAATAGGAATAACGATCTAACCTTTATGCGCAATATAGTTTTCTTTGGTCGAGGAAGAGCAGTTAAGAGATATCAGCAAGCAAGTCACTGTTTACAAACTAATATAAGTTAACTTATTTTGTCTCTGTTTTAAGTTGATTTTTAATTTTTTTTTACTTTTTATTTTATTTATTTATTTGTTTTTTTGAGACAGGGTCACCCAGGCTGGAGTGCAGTAGTGCAATCACAGCTCACTACAGCCTCAATCTCCTGGGCTCAAGTGATCCTCCCACCTTAGCCTCCAAGTTGCTGGAACTACAGGTGCACATCACCACATTCAGCTAATTTTTCTATTTTTGTAGGGACAAGGTTTTGCCATGTTACCCAGGTTGGTCTCGAACTCCTGGCCTCAAGCAATCCTCCCGCCTCAGCCTCCCAATTACAGATGTGAGTCACCACACCTAGCTTTAAGTTGATTTTTTTTTTTTTTTTGAGATGGAGTTTCGCTCTTGTTGCCCAGGCTGGAGTGCAAAGGTGTGATCTCAGCTCACCGCAACCTCCGCCTCCCGGGTTCAAGTGATTCTTCTGCCTCAGCCTCTCGAGTAGCTAGGATTACAGGCATGCACCACCACGCCCAGCTAATTTTGTATTTTTCATAGAGACGGGGTTTCTCCATGTTGGTCAGGCTGGTCTTGAACTCCTGACGTCAAGTGATCTGCCCGCCTCGGCATCCCAAAGTGCTGGGATTATAGGCGTGAGCCACCGCGCCCGGCCCAAGTTGTTTTTTTTAAAAAAAAACAAACTATCAATTATTAGGGAACCCCTCCAGGCTTATCATTTACAACTCAAAGCCTCCTCACATTTCTTTTTCAGTGTCCCAAATTTTGATGGCCCGAGAAGGCTGGGCACCTGCCTCTAGTCTTGAGAACCTTTCCATTCAAACCAAGCTTCCTCCCTTCAAGGAGCAGTGGGACTCCAATCAGATTTCTACCAGAAATCTTGACTATCCAGACTCCTCTTTTGCCCATTCTAGCAATTTCCTTCCTTGTAAAGATGGATGGCGGTAGGGGGTTGGAGAGGGAATAACTTCAAGAATCTGCTTTTCGGGAGCTGCCATCACAGGCCAGGCAGGCTCTGCCCTCCTTTTCTGCACCTCCCCTCCGTGTTTCAGGAGGATTATATGCGAATAAATGAGGACAACATTTGGTTATGAGGACTTCCAATTTCAGGTTATATTAAATAAACTGTTTTGCAGATATTAAAAGAAAATGTAAAGGAAAACTTACAGAACTAGCCTACACAAAACTAATAGTATTTTTCCTGCTTTTTTAAAAGGTGAACATACACAAGAAACCAACTCACCTCATTCACTGAAAAAGGATGTAGAAAATATGGGGAAAGGTAAATGAAAGTTTCAATTCTGTAGAACTTCTCTTAGCTTTAAACGACTGTGGAGATAATAGGAGGATATTTTTGTTCTCCACCATATTTTTAGCTTGACAAGCAACATATGAATAATATATGGACCATTGGGTGGATATAATTGAGATTAATGCATACATATCAATCAATACATGACACTGTAATATAATACTTTAAAATAATATATTACATTGATTTATATTCATGGATTTCTGCACAAAATCTATCCTATGTCTATGCAACACTTTTTAAACTGGTAAAATATTTTGTCTTATAATAATAAATTGCCATATATAACAGTTCTCTGGAGAGTTATTTGTAAAGATTAGTAAAATGACTCTTCTTTTTTTTATTAGAAGAACTTCAGAAGGTTTTATTTGAACAAATAGATTTACGGAGACGACTGGAACAAGAATTCCAGGTGTTAAAAGGAAACACATCTTTCCCAGTATTCAGTAAGAAATCACTTTTATTTCATTGTATTTATGATAATTGATTACGTTTCTATTATTAGGCTTAAGAATGTGATTCTAAGTATTAAGCGATTGTGCAAAACACACACAGTCTTCCCATGGTCTGCCTAAATATTCATAAATTTTAGTTTTATTTAGGCTTTGAATTGACTCACAGATAAAATTTCTTCCAAGAACCTTTTGGTATTTGTGTATGGATATATGTGTATCTGTATGTGCATGTTGTACGTATTTTAAAATGTGTGTAAATATATAATTAAATATGTAAATATATTTAAATATTTAGATATAGTTCGATTATAGATTTTAAAACAAAAGAACTACTTTGTATTTACATTCTCTAAAGTAGGGAAAACAAGAAAAAGTTAACTTTCATTCTCAGATTGTTCCTGATAGCTTCCTGATGCTTGAGATATGTATAAATATGAAAATCTAAACTTTAAAGGCTCAGTATACACAATCTATTTTATTAAATGAAATTGTTATAATTTTAGTAGTTTTAGATTTCCCATCCATATTTAATGTTAAAATTCCATTCTGAATTTAGAGGCAGGAGATATTGTAGCCTAAAAACTGTTAGTTCTACTCCCAGAGTCTTGGAATTTCCTAAAACTTTATGGTAGGTGTCCAGATTTTTAAAATTCACCTGCCCTGGTCTGGGTCACATCTGGACAAATACATCCCAGTAGTGTTTTTCAAGCTTTCCGGACTTTGATTTAGTCATATTACCTCTCCAGAGAAAGGAAAGTGGGAAAATAGTATGCAAACTTATTTTTTTTTTCTTTTTGAGATGGAGTCTTGCTCTGTCACCCAGGCTGGAGTGCAGTGGCACAATCTCAGCTCACTGCAACCTCTGCCACCTGGGTTCAAGCAATTCTCCTGTCTCAGCCTCCGGAGTAGCTGGTACTACAGGCACACACCACTACACCTGGCTAATTTTTGCATTTTTAGTAGAGGCAGAGTTTCACCATATTGGTCAGGCAGGTCTCGAACTCCTGACCTCAGGTGATCCGCCCACCTCGGCCTCCCAAAGTGCTGGGATTACAGGCATGAGCCACTGTGCCTGGCCTGCAAACTTATTTTTCTAATTATATATATTTAAAATTAATTTTTTCCAGGGCACTTTTTTAGAATGTCAGCATGCTTCTTGTTATTAATCCAGAAATCACAAAACTCAAGTTGGCAATTCCTGTGCCAGATGATTCCTGTATCAGCATCTGGAAGATTTTTAAATAATTATGATAATTTCAATAATGTCAGCCTGAAGGTCTTCATTCATTAGGGCTTCCTAAATGTAATCACTGGCACAACTGAATGACACACTTAGGTAGCATTTTTGAATAGCACCAGGTTCCTGGTAACATGTCAAACTAAATTTGACCAGAACATTTAGTGAGGATTCAAAATGTAGAGGTAACTGCATGATGGAAGAGAACTCTGACCACAAGGAATGGGAGGGTCTGCAAAGTGTGTCCTCTCTGCATACTCCAAAGGAGGCTGGAGCTCATGGTACTTCAGTTATTTTGAATTCAGAGAATGCCTGCAGGGCTTTAGAATGAGACTGAAAGAAGGAGAATGGCCAATAGCTTTTGATAGCATAATTAGGAATATTGTGATACTTATAGCTTTGAGAAAAGGAGAAACATTTAAAATATCTTTGAAACCATAAGAAACAGGTGCTTTGAAAGGATCTAGGATTCTCTAACTTTTGAAACTGTATCTTAAGAAAGACTGCACAGTTCCTTGCCCCCAATGAGAGGCATTGAATACGTTTTCCCAATAGCTGATGTTTATCTAATTGTTGAGTTTGCAAGTCCCTGCTTTTAGATCTAGCAGAGTGGGTCCAAGTCCCATTGAATCCCTAACATGCCCTTCTAACTCCCTATGAAACCTCTGTAGTCATAATTCATCCCATTAATAAAAGCCAATTCATATTCATTCTAAGGAATTAAGTAATCCATAATAATTTATATTTTTCATAGTAACTGCTCTGTAGTACATGTTTCCGTTAAACAAAATGTTAGAATGTTACAGTACTGGCCAGTTTCAATTCAGACCTCTCATTCATCATTTTGATGTGCACTAATATGTATCCTCTGTGATTGCCACATGTATGAAACACTTCAATTAAACAGTAACAAAAAAAATTTTCCTCTTTTTCATCTGCAACATACTCCACTGACCAAGGAAGTGGCATGTGTGTGCCCAAGTTTAAATAATGCGTGGTTTAGATACACCACAAAGAGGCAGTCAATTTCACACGGATGAAAATAGCAAATGCACATTATGTGCTTGTTAACTAAATGTGAGGGGCCGTGAGGCTAGGGGACAGATTTAGATTCACTCAGATGAAAAGGGGAAAACCAAGATTTGCAAAGCCTCATCGGAAAGAAGCATAGAGGAATTCTCGTGAGAGTTTTGCAAAGCTTTTTACTAGGAGGTGAACAGATGCTCACAGTCACCACACTTAAAATCCAGTTCACTTAGAGCACTGTGGACCTAGGCTAGGAGCTGTAGCATGTGAGAATTAAGAATCTAGGCTCAAAAATCGACCAGACCTGAGTTCACTTTCAGGCTCTGCTACTTGCTGGTTGTATGACCTTGGAAACTGTAAAATGGGGCAAATAATTCCTGTCGCTTAGAAGAATGAGAGGACTGAATGAGAGACCTATGTGAAGTGCTGTGCACATGCTGGGCACAGGATAAGTACAATTATGATGGTGATTATGAAGCAGAAAGAAGAAAAGGAGAGGAACAGCACTGAGCTCTAGAAAAGCATTTCTAAACTTGGGTCCAAATTTTTGGCTTCTGGCCAGGCACAGTGGCTTACGCCTGTAATCCTAGCACTTTGGGAGGCTGAGCCAGGCAGATCACTTGAGGTCAGGAGTTTGAGACCAGCCTGGCCAACATGGTGAAACCTCGTCTGTACCAGAAATATAAAAAATTAGCTGGTGTGGTGGTATGAATCCCAGCTACTCAGGAGGCTGAAGCAGGAGAATCACTTGAACCCGGGAGGCAGAGGTTGCAGTGAGCCGAGATCACGCCACTGCCCTCCAGCCTGGACAACACAGGGAGACTCCGTCTCCAAAAAAAAAAAAAAAAAAAAAAAAAAAATTGGCTTCTTGTCGTGGTTCCAAGGGTTAATGAGGACCACAGGAATGGTCGTAAGAATGGAGAGGGTACAAATAAAGATAACAGAGAGGAGGGGCAGGTGGAGGAGGAGGAGGAGGAAGGGTAGAGGGAAAAAGGAGAAGGAGGAGGAAGAGGCAGGAAAGGAGGAAGAAGGAGGAAGATGGAGGAGAAGAAACAAGTCTCCACATTTGGGGAGCAGCAGTTGGGAGGAGGAAGAGAAACAAGCAAGTCTCTGCGCTTGCTGGAACAGAGGCTTCCAGAGCTGCTCTCCACTGATACTTATGCATAGCCCTGATGGGGAAATCTGGGGAGGAGAAAGCAAGGCAAGGCAGGCATTTGCCATTACAGCAGAGGCAGAGAAGTATGGCAGGTCATAGAGAGGGTTCCAGGTGTGGATGCTGACTGCTCTACTCACTGGCTGAGTAACCTTAGGAAAATTCCCTGATCTCTTTTCAACACTATAACAATACTACTACCTACCTCTTGGGGTTGTGGAGAGGATTAAATGAGTGAAAGGCATGAAGTGCTTAGCATAGTGACAAATGAATAGTAATTACTATTAAATGTGAGTTGTTGCTACTATATACTGTTTTAAAGTTTGATGCTGACATTCTTGTAGTGACTGTATAGTAAACCAGCTAATGTAAGAAACCAGAACTTGTAAAGGTTTATTGAGCTGTCACTATAGAGGGAGGAACAGGGAGTGAAACTTGTTTTAATACTAAACAATAAGTTTAATCAACGAACCGGGTAGGACACAACAGAGAGGTAGGGAGGATATACTAAGGAAAAAGGAGAAGCTGGAATTGAGTGGGAGTAGGTGTTTGGGGAAATGGATTAGGAGGGGCCCCACCATTATCAAGGTTACTTTGAGATGACAATAGGATGGCTGGTCAAACATGTTTTGCAATGAAAATCATGTTCAGTTGGACAGGTTAAATTATTAAAGGTAACTCCCAATTCCACCATTCCAAACTCCCTCACTCACACTGGTCTGATCATTTTTGCAGCTGTAAATCCAGAAGTTATGTTTGCCACTGCATTATGTACACCTTCCCCAGCAATTGTATCTCTTCTTCCTCTCTTTTCCTCCAGCACCCTATGCCTTCCTTTATTACAGCATTCATCGTTTTGCTGTAGTTTTTATTCATTTTTATTTCTTCCCATTAGCCATCTTAAAACCTCAGAGCCTAGCCCCAAACCTGGGACCTGCTAAAGGTGGCAATGAATGGAGAAGGCCGTCACCAGCAGGGTGGCCTGCATCCTCACCTCCCTTCTCCACTCCAGCCCTTTCTGCCTGCTGCTCTTAGCCCTGTCTTCCTAAAACTCTAGATTTGGCACAAAATCTTCACCTCAAGAAGCTAGAACGATTTGCACTGTGTATCATGGTATATCTAAGTTAACTGACTCTCAAAACCTGTCATAATTGTGTGCCCCTCCCCCAACCTCTCCACCCTTATTTCTGCTTCTCCCCCGGCTCAGCTCCAGTTACCTGGCAGACCACTCTCACCCCTCTCCCTCCACCTCTGCACACCGTGTTCCTCTAGTCCAGAGCGCCTCCCCTCATCCAAGTCCTCCTTCTTATCTGGAGCACAGCTAAAGTTTTGCCACATCCAAGAAGCCTTTCCACTCTTGCAGTAGGCACGATTTTCTGAAGTCCTGTTGTGTTCATTTCTAGTACCATGAGTTTTCTGTGTTGACTCCTCCTCTGTTTCACTCGTGTTACTCTCCACTCCCCCAACCCACATTGTAAATAGATTCAGGGAAGAGCTACCCAGAATGTTCTTCTGTTGCCACCTGCAGCACCTGGCATATTGTGGGTATGTAGCATACTCTCAATAAATGATTGATAGGAACATTGGGGTTATACCCAAAGAGATTAAAACTGACAATGGAGGATGGAATTGGATCACTGAAGACTTGTATAAAGGTGAGTATCCAGGGCTCATGAGTTGAATCCTTAGATTTGCAGATCTAGTGACAAATTCATGGCACTTACAAGAACTGAGTGGAAAGGCCAGTTGGTTATTACAGGAAAGCACTAATGAATGGGGCTTTATGAAAAATGTTAGATTTCATCTAAAATGTCATCATTTTAGATTCTTATAAAAAATTGCTCTTCCAAATTACTGTTAAGAGTCCTTGTTATTAAAAACAAACTACATCTCATCTCCCTGAATATGGTTGTCTGCATCTTTCATCTGTGGCCATTATTGAATTCATTTTATGTTCAGTGGTTCCCTTCCTTCCTTCCTTCTTCTTTCTTTTTGTAGCATACTCTGGGAGATGAAGTGCAGGGTCGGGGTGGCAGGGCAGATTCCAAAATACTGTACAGATTAAACTCCTTTCAGTAGAAGATGGCTATGAAAAAAATTTTTTTTTAAGTTTTGGCTGGGCACAGTGGCTCAGGTCTGTAATCTCAGCACTTTGGGAAGTCGAGGCAGGAGGATTGCTTGAGCCCAGAAGTTTGAGATCAGCCTGGGCAACATACTGGGACCCTGTCTCTACACAAACACATACACACAAATTAGCCAAGTGTGGTGGCATGCACAGGTAGTCCCAGCTACTAAGGAGGCAGAGATGGGAGGATCACTTGAACCCAGGAGGTCAAGGCTGCAGTGAGCTCTGGTCACACCAGTGCACTCAAGCCTGGGTGACAGAGCAAGACCCTGTCTCAAAAAAAAAAAAGTTCAATGGTTCTTTAAAAATAGAGATAACAAAATGAAGACATTTGTAAACAAATTGAACCCCAAAGCCCACTGCTTGCTTAGAACATTCCAGGTGAACCAGATGTGAACCAGATGTACCCTATGGGTTTGTCTTCTTACTTATGGTTCTAGGAATGTAGGCTAGATACTTTTTATTGCTGTTTGGAAAACCCTTTGGCTTTTCCAGCTGTCTGAGTTTGCAGTGTGCAGCCTTGCTGTTGTGTTGGCTGACATGCTGCACTTCAGTGCTCTTCTTTGCTACTTCCTTTCGTATTATCATTTTCCAAAAATAGTTGGGTTATAAGTGATTCTCATTACAGAAGTTGGCTTAATGATTTTTTCCATCTCCAATTAAACTCTGTCTTCATCAACCTTTAGAACATAGAAAAAATATGGTCGGGCGTGGTGGCTCATCCTGTAGTCCCAGTACTTTGGGAGGCCAAGGCAGGTGGATCACTTGAGGTCAGGAGTTTGAGAGCACCCTGGCCAATATGGTGAAACCCCATCTCTACCAAAAATACAAAAAAAGTAGCCAGGCATGGTGGTGCATGCCTGTAACCCCAGCTACTCGGGAGGCTGAGGCAGGAGAATCGCTTGAACCCAGGAGGCAGAGGTTGTAGCAAGCTGAGATCATGCCACGGCACTCCAGCCTGGGCGACAGAGTGAGACTCTGCCTCAAATTTAAAAAAAAAAAAAAGAACATAGAAAAAATTTTAGATTTTTGTATGTTTGCCAATTAACAATCTTTATATCTCAAAAGCTATACACATCCTTGTTGTGGAAAATTTTAAGTATGCAGAAATAAAAAGGAAAGGAAACAAAAATCACCCATAATCTTGCCACCTAGAGATAACCAATGTTAACATTTTGGAGTTTCAGCCTTTTTAAATGCTTGTTAAATGCTTTTATAAAACAAAATGAAATGTAATACACAACATTTTTTACTTCCTTTTTGTTTTAGCTAAAATGTGCCTCGTTCTGTTACTACACAGCAGTGTATAAATATACTGTTATGTTGGACATTAAGGTTTGTCCAAGTTTTAGATAATGGACACCCTTGTAACTAAGTCTTTGCATGTATCCACTATTATTTCCTTAGGTTAAACTCCTAAAAGTGTTGTTGTGTTAAAGGGTATGAACTTTTTAAAAGTCTTAACATATAATTTCAAGTTGCTTTCCAGAAAGTTTCAACTAATTTCTGCTCCCATCTTTGGAACAGCATGTATCATCTCTTCATTTAATCTTTGCCAACTTAAGAGGAAATTTTGGTATTTCATATTATTTCCTTTTCTTTCATTGCTGGTGATGTTGAACATTTTTCATGTGTCTAGCATCCTTTCATATGTTTTGTGAATGCCCATTTATATTCTCTCCCCATATTTCTGTTGATGTGTTCATTTTCTTATTGATTTGTATAAACCCTCTTATACTAAAATGTTAATTCTTTGACATGTTGCAAGTATTTTTTGGTTTGTATCAATTACCTTTAAATGTTGACTATGGTGTTTTATGTTTGGGGAGTTTAATCTGTTTGTAATTTATTGGCATACCAAAGTTTTAAATTTCTGTCTGATCAAATCAACCAGTCTTTTCCTTTTCAGTTTTTGCCTTTTATGCTCTTCCCCACTCCAATCTTAAAAAAAAATTTGCCATTATTTCGAATACTTTAATGGCTTCTTTTTTGTTTTTCATTTTAACTTAAGGAATTATATTAAGTGTACTATCATAGAAAAATGAGCATGAGTTAAGTTAGGACTAGTTTTCATCATTCCACTCTGAATTGCCCTTAGCTGTTCCCTCCTCTAAAATTAGAATCTTCTGTGATCCCAGGGAAGTGCTCCAGCCTGGTCGGCTTCAGGCAGCCCCTCCTTCCTAATTCATCTTAGTTTACCACCCTGGTCAAAGGCATCTTGGATCCCTAGAGGCTCAGAGGAAAGTTTTCTTCTTCACAAAGGGAGCCATGCTTGCCATGTGCTCCAGTGTCTGGAACCACACTGATCTTCCTGGAGGCCTGCGGGCCACAGCGCAGGACCAAGTGTTGGAACCAGGGCAGTTTGTGGAGGGCTGGTTCCCCTGTTGCCCTGTACCCTTAGACCCACCTCTAGAGCATCCTGACCTGGTGAGGTGGATGCTAGCTCCTCACATGGTACCTTTCGCCTAATTGTTACTGGTGTAAATCAAAATCTTTCCCTCACTTCCCCTGCACAGGAAAGACAAGTGGGTGCATGAAGCCCAATCAAATCAATTTATTTTGTCACCAAAAATTTTTTCTTTTTTTTTTTTTTGAGGCAGAGTCTCACTTTGTCACTCAGACTGGAGTGCAGTGGTGCAATCTCAGCTCACTGCAGCCTCGACTTCCCAGGTGATTCTCCTACCTCAGCCTCCTGTGTAGCTGGGACTACAGTTGTGCACCTCCATGCTCAGATAATTTTTTGTATTTTTAGTAGAGACAGAGTTTTTCCATGTTTCCCAGGCTGGTCTCAAACTCCTGGGCTCAAGCAATTTTCCTGCTTCAGCCTCCCAAAGGGCTGGGATTATTGGCTTGAGCCACCACACTCGGCCTGTCATCAAAGCTTAAAATGCTAGAGCAAGAAAACACCTGAAAGAGCACATTATTTCACACCTTTGTTTCTTTAGATAAAGGTCTGAGGCTCCAGAGTGGGGTAGTTACTATAGATGGCAGAATCTCAACCTGCTGGTGGATAATTCTGTGTGTTTTTACTCCTCGTTTATTAGCTAGCCCCTGCCGTGTGCCAGGCACTGTGGTAGGCCTTAAAAATTTTTAAAGTGTCTAAACGTATCTTCCTGCCCTCTAAGAACTCAACTGTTTAGCAGGGAGACAGATGGATAACAACTAATCATAGCATGTATTATGGATGCATTAATACAGGTATGGACAGGGTGCTGGAGAAGTACAAAAAAAAATGGGTAAATAATTCTGGCAGGAGGGGCTGCAGAATTGGAGAAGACTTCCTGGAGGAGGTAGCATCTGGACTGGACTTTAAAGAAAAGGCAGTTGTTTGCTGCAAGGGCAAGACCACAGCAGGGGCAAAGGCACAGAGGCTGGAAGTATAATGCATAGTTGAGGACTGGAGAGTGGTTTGGTGGCTGGTGTGGTGCAGGGGATTTCCTCCGTGCCCTCGGCTGCAGCCAGCTGAGCCATATGCAGTTCCCCTCTCCTCCTTCCATGTCTTTATGTAGAATGCTGTTCTCCACGTGTCTGCTCAAGCAGCTCTCCCCTCTAATGTTCCCAGAATGAATGACAGCTCTTCTCTCAATCTTTGCATGGCACCACATACTTCCCTCTATTACAGTGACTTTGACATCAAAATCAGAGGTGACAGTAGGGATTGGGTCTTTTTAAAAAAATTAATTAGAACACATGTTTGGGGTTGGATAAGAAATTCAAATAGTATGAAAAGGTAGAAGTTGAAAAAAATAAAAAGAACAAAGCCTTTTCATCTCTAAGTACCCAGAGTCTCATGAGTGGTAAAGGATTTACTATCCTGAAAGTGTTGGAAAGCCATTGGAGATTTTTAAGCAGGGAATTAAAGGTATTTGGAGAGAAAGGGACTGGTGGCAGGTGGTCAGTCGGAAAATGATTCAGGGATGAGGTGCCTGCACGTGGGAGGTAACAATGGCAAAGAGGGGAGAATATGATGGTGGAACACATAGAACTCACACACCAGTTGGCTGTGAAGATGAAAGGAAAAGGAGAAGAAAAGATAATGATGAAGTTTCTGGTTTCCTCAAGCTGCTGCCCTATCAACCACAAATTCAATAAGAAATCGTGCTCATTTCTCCTTCAGTGCAGAAAAAGGCAAAGTTAGCCACGTCCACACTTTTAAAAGGATCACGTGGAGAAGATGTAACACTAAACTGTACATTTGGAAGTCATTTTTTCCCTAATGCAATAAATATGGTCAATATGTAGAATAGCAAAAATATTTTGCATGACAATATCTCTTAAAGTTCTCTTCTTCTCAGATTAAGGTAAGGTCTGTAGAAAGGCACCAGGACAAAGCAGGAACATAAAATAAGGCTGATCCCAGGGTGAGAGAGTTTGCTGCACAGGGGAGTCAGGCCGAAGTATTCTCTCTTAGGAGTGAGATGAGCTGCAGTGAAGCCAGGCAGGCATTTTTCACAGACTCACATCTTATTTACCCGGAAGGTATTATGTGCAGGAGGGGCAGCATTTCCCATGCTCAGCTCTATCTGAGGCCTGCCCTACTGACTCTTGCTGGACTTCTGAAGACAGTGGAAGCTCCCAATACCTGTGATTTGCACAAGTGTGCAAAGGTTAAAGAACATGATTGTGTGGGATATTTCTGTGTAATCATATGCAAGAGATTATACTAGATGGAATATGAGATACTGTAAAATATAAGACACACTCAGAATTTACTGTCTAGTCTGATTAAATTATAGAGTGTTGAAAACATTCTTCAAACAAGCATATAATTTGCCTATGAAAAAAATACTTAAAAGTAGGGGGGCTGTCCATGGGACTGTCAATAATGTTTTTACTAGCTAAACTAAAAGTAGATTTTACACTTTAGTTAATCTTTCTCTATCTCTCTCTCCTACCAGATAATTTTCAGGATCAGATGAAAAGGGAGCTAGCCTACCGAGAAGAAATGGTGCAACAGTTACAAATTGTAAGCTGCATTTCTACTTAAAAATAAATGCAACTTAATTGGTTTGTTTTCAGACTACCCAATATGTATGAAACTGTTCACGTTTTTGCATGAAATCCTTTGGTCCACTTACCTCTCAGCTGGCTTAGATGCTAATTACCAAGAGATTTACTTAGACACAGGATAAACAGATGTGGCAGTATGTTTCCTCTAAATGTAACTACCTACCATGTGTTAATAGACAGATGTGTAAATTATCTCTGTGGGTAAACCAAAGGTACCTGCATTTTCTTCCATTATGCAAACTTCCCAAACACAGTGCTGGGCTATGCTACGAGCTCAGTGAAGGGCAACTGTCTTCCATCCTCTCTTCCTTTCACTACCCACACTTGAGCCAGGCCCTCCACTACCAATAAAACACAATTAATGAGCACAATTAATCAACTAAATTCACTTGAAGGATGATGAAAAGAAACAAATGATTTCCAAATGAAATGTATTACTCTATCCTAATCATTTCTAAAAATGGACACTCACTAAGATCTATTTATATGGAAAAAAAAAACAGGAAGATGTCTGATAAGTAAATGTAGTGGTTTTGTTTTGGGTTTTTGTTTGCTTTCTGAATTTCTTGCCCTTTGTCCCCATGTAGATACATCTAGTACTATTCATTAGGGCTTTTAAAGGAGTCTCCCAAGCCTCCTCATTTTTGTGAGTACAATGGAGAAAATTATTTCTGCTCAATATTTTCAAGATATATTTAATCACCTGGATAAAAACACATATTGATCCTTAGTGCTATTCTCAGCATAATTATTATACTTTGGGTTTCTTGACATTTCTGTACTGATCCGTGCTACCTTTCAACCATTAATCATGGATCCATGCATATGTGCCTGTCTTGTCTACAGAGCCAGATATCTAGTTCCTTTGTCAGGATTATTTAAGAAAGATAGTTATTAATGTTTCCATTCATTGGAGAAATCATGCCAGTGTTAGTGGAGATTCCTAAGGGTCATTTTTGCAGCAATTGGTTTTCCTTGATCTCAAGTGATCGTTAACAACTCTCAGTTCTGAAAACCACTACATAAGATGCTGCTTAAACAAGATTTTCTTCTCATGTTGGTTTTGTTTGCACCTGAATTCACTTGGGAGCAGAGGATTTTCATAATTGATTTAATAACAAATTCCCATTCTTAGCTTTTGATTCCTTGATAATAAGAGCTATAATTACTGCTGTGAATGTATTTATTGTATTCTCTGTTTAAAGGAAAAATTTAAATAAAAGATTCGATGTAGGGGAATATAAAATTTTAACACCTTCCTTATTTTACAAAGGACATCATTTTCAGATTTTTTTTTTTTTTTTTTTTTGAGACAGGGTCTCACTCTGCTGCACAGGCTGGAGTGCAGTGGTACAATCATAGCTCACTGCAGCCTCCAACTCCTGGGCTCAAGCAATCCTCCCACCTCAGCCTCCCAAATAGCTGGAACTGCAGGTGTGCACCACCACACCCGATTAATTTTTTAATTTTTTGTTGAGACAGGGTCTTTCTGTGTTGCCCAGGGTGGTCTTAAACTTCTGGCCTCCAGCAATCCTCCCACCTGGGCCTCCTAAAGTGCTGGGATTACAGGCATGAACCACTGCACCCAGCCCATTTTCATACTCTTAAAACAAAAGAAAATAATTGCCACACTTGCAACAAAAAAATTGTGATTTCAGGGGGTGGTGGTGAGTATAGCAAAATGGGCATTAGGAAAGGAAACAGTATTTCTTTTAGTGCCCTTATTTAAGGCCAGTTATGTGACCTTAATGTCTTAATTTTCTTTGGCATTTGGTTTCTTTAGTAAAAGAGGAAATTATATTGTCTCCATGTACTAAGCAGATAGGATTGATAGAACAAAAAAATATCTCATGTCTTTTGAGATATTTGGTACATGGAAGATTAAAACTGGTATTACCAAATCATTTTATTATGCTGTCTTATAAAATATTTTACAACATGTATTCATCTATCTAGACAAATGTTGTTAATTCACATTCCTATAGATAGTAAACTATTCCTGGTAGCAAATTAAATAATTTGGGAAAAGCTTGAATTTCCCACCCCCACCCTCCTGCCCTTGTAGGTATCATATAATTCCTGAAATACACAAAGCTGCTTCCAGGGTAACAACATGAAAATTGGTGAAATCGACATGATTTGTCCCTCCTGCTTCTTCCCCTTTTTGTGTGTCCCCTACCATTAGATGCCCAAGGTTTTCCTGCTGACTCCAGTACCTATCACAGTGTGCAGCATCAAACAGCTGTTCATAAACATTTGTTGAATGAATCACCACCCATGATGATCCTGACCCAGCTCTGATACTCTCATATAGCAGTCCTCTTAATTCTTTTCCAAATTTCCCTGGCTTGGTCCTGGTTTCCTCAAATGTTATTTTACACTAAGCAAATACTACTACCACAACTCCTAAAGGAAGGAATACTAGCAAATTTTGGGGAGCTTCTGTATTACTGCTCTGTCTGCACCTAACAGAGATGAGCTTTAACATCTGTAACTTGGGATTGAGACCCATCCCATATAGTTCATTAAGTGTCAGTTCCTCAACCAAAATGAACGGCTATAAGGTTTAACCTAGGGCCTTGGTAGGAATATTATAAGGTGCAAGTGAGTAATAAACATGAAATGTACATACAAGCCATAATATGCTATGCCAATGTGAGTAATCAATTTAATGGTGTGGCCCTTCTCAAAGTAGTACCTACAATAGTGGAACTATTACAGGTGTAAGCCACCATGCCCATCCGGCTAGATATATTTTTGTGCAGGAAGGACCTATGTTTACATGGTACTATCTGCTTTAGAATTGAGGCTGCAGATTCAGTGTTACTTGAACAGAAATGTGTCTAATTCCTTATTCAGCCTGATGTATCTGTCAAAGTACCTGGGGGAAAATGTCTTTAGAAAATTCTATCTAAAGATTATCAAGAAATTGTAAAATATCACAATTACTGGCTTTCTGAATATTTTAGTTGGATGATCTTATTCATCAGTCAATATGGTTGCATGCTTTGCTTCCTGAAAACAGAACAGTTCACTCAAATTATTTTATATTTAAAGTTTACAGAGCATATATTACAAAACAGGCTTTTTTTTTCTTGAGATGACATAAAAGCCCACTCTATCTTGCAGTCAAGGAGAATTCAAATATATTAAAACCATCATATTTTGTAATGATTCCCAAAGACCCACAATGCATTTATCCTATGTTGTTAAAAAGTGTTTCTATTCAAAAAACTTATATTGAAAGCGTCTTGGGTATCATTGCCATAGAAAGAAAACTTATGAATTTCTTTGGCTCCTGCATTTTTAGATTCTCTGTTGACTGTCATTTCTGCACCATTGCTTCTTTTTCCCGTGTTAAATGTAAAGTTGTGATGACTACAGAGTCAAATGATTGACTCTCTTTGTGTCTTTATAAATGAATGTGTACTTATCTCAATGTGAGATTTAAAACAGTGAGGAATTAGTTAACATTTATACATGGTATAAGCTACCTTTTTAAAAAATAGCTCAAAATTTGGGTATTTTAGTATTTAACGTGGTTTGTGTTAAAGTCCCCCACCCCTGCCCTGGGTTTTTAAGTGCTTATAGCATTTGTATTACTAAGCCACATTTAGTTATGCAAAACAAAGAAATATTTTTCTATCCCTATGAACCAATACAAAAGTTTTTTAATTTAGCATGTTTATAAAAATGTAAATGTTTAGTGTAATAAAGGGTAAAGGATTTCTCATTCACAAATGAATTATGATTCTAGGACAAGTTTATTCAATTTTAAAAGCAAAACTTAACAGTCCTTAGGCTGAAGAAGCTGACTGAAGATTTTTATTCAGTGAATAGCTTTTTGATTAAAGTTTTTCCAAGGACTGGAATATAAAAACTTACAACATGAGCTGAGACTGTGATGATGCCTTGATAACCTTTTTTTATTATGAATTTGGCAATAATTTTATAAGCAAGTGCATCTGTGTATAAGCTACTACTGTAGATTTGTTGAAGACATGCTTTTTTATTTTTTAGTCATAGTTCTTGGAGAACGTTGTGATGCTGCAACACAGAGCACATGATAAATGGCTAGACCCAGATTCACATCCTTTGAACTTGTCAGATCACTACCACAAGGCGTGTTGATGGGGAAAATGTGCTAGTCTTTAAGTGCCCTCTGCTGTTTTTCCAGAATTCTGCAGTCACACGCAGCTAGGGGGAATTGGTCTCAAAGTTCTTCATTAAAAGCCTCAATTAAAATAATGTTCAATCAATAGATTAAGGACTAATGTTTTGTTCACGGTGGACTTGTAAAACAGCAGTTTACAACTTCCTGATGATGGGAGTGCAGTGCATCGTCACAGGGAAAGGAGTGAGAGGTCGTTATCTTTGCTGGAGGAGTGCTTGTTCTTTGGCAAGGACACAGCTCTTCAGTAAGATGGTCTTTTCTTGGAGGTTCTCCAATATTCATTAGGATGGGAACTTGCCCAGATTTCTACTGTATAACCTACAGAGTTTGTAAAAATATGTCTTACATCTTTTTTTTAAAAAAAGGTAGATAGGACCATTACTATTTTGCATTATATTTTTAGAAGAAGATCCCTGGGCCACTAGAAGATTTTGGTTCTGTGTCTAAATATGCATCAAAAGGAGATCCCTGCAAGTCAGAAGACTTAATGCAAGCCTGAACTTCTGTGGAGGCTGCCTTAAAATTCTCTAGCAGTAGACAGACTTTGGCTACTGTGTGTCCATTTCCAATTATTGATCTACTGTTGTGCACCTTGACAGTGCAATCAGTTGTTCCTTAGTTATGTAGCATTTTTCTTCTCATCTTTCTCTTTTTGAGATGTTGACTGACCTGAATGTGTGAGCTCAGGTTAACTCTTTTGGCACAAACTAGGAAGTCACTTTTTTTTTTTAAACTCCAGTACTTTTGATCTACTATAACCAAGTAGGTAATTTAGAAGTTACATAATACTTTGAATTTTTTTTCTCCATGCCAATCTCGGTAATTTCTAAGCTGGTCAAGATGAAAAGAAAGCTTTTGTAAGTCCTATTGTAGGAGATTTGCATGGAATAACTAACTAGTTTAAATTGAGCCTCTAAAATCCTGAGCTTCCAAGTTGGGGAGAATTTGCTGAAGTGTCTGCAAGTCCAATGTTGCATTTTATGGAATCTGAAGCACCATCAATTGTAAGAGGCACCACTATTTGATGAATCATAAAGTAAAAGGTTTCAACTGTAATTCTAATACATCTGATTTCAGAAATGTTAAAATGTGAGGGGATAAAGTGCATCCTGGAATCAGTGAAATAATGTTGTTTCCAGGAACAACTGGCCATGCTACTATAATCTTTATTTACCATTCATGATTTAGGACTTAGAATGGAAAAATACATGATTCTCAGCTCATTACTTTTTGCTTTTTATCTTTGTTGTTTTTTGGCTTTTATTTCATTTTGTTTTAATGAAATAAATGAAAAAATCAACATTCTAGTAGGGATAATTCTTCACCCCAGTTTAAATTCCAATCTGGACCCTTGGGACTCAAATATGCTTATTTGGAAATGTCCTTTTTTTCTTGAGTCCTTTTTTTGCTTTTCTTTTCCTTCTCAACTTTCTACCTTAATGAAATGCTGTGTTATTGCTTCTGAAAAAAAGAAAGAGGAAGCCATTTTGACTTAGCTCTGAAAGTAGAATCCTTCAGGCGGGTTTCTTTGGATTAGGTTGAGCAGTTTACTCCTCTAATGAGATGGCCCATGGTGATTTAACTTATCTCTCCTGGTGGCTGCCATAGAACAGACACTGGCTAAACCTTTGTGGTGTCTAATGTTGATGTTGAGGGCTCTTCTTAAATGTGAGAGTGGCACAAACCATTTTATTGGAACTCCTTGTGCCCAAAAGTTTACATTGTTTGTTATCCTAAATAATGGAATTCCATTCCAGGCTCTGTCATGTCATGCATCTAGAGAAGTGATCCATATGCTTTGGCACATTGCAGCATATACCATAATGGAAAACCAATATTCAAAGGGGTCTGTGTTAATAGCAGCTATAGCATAACCTAGAGTGAAAAGAAGAGGTAACTGGAGTAGGTCCCTGTGTAACTGTCCTTGTCATAGTTATCTAGCTGATCTCAGCCTGCATCCTAAAATACGAGATTAGGACACTGAACTTTTAATGTTACTATATGAATCATTAATTTCAGTGATGCTATCTATGCCCTTTATCAGATATATGCCTATCTGACATGTTTATGTTGTGGTTATATATCAAAATAGCGAGATGATTATTTTATTATTGTCCTTTTTTTTCCTGTTAAAAAGACTGTTTGATTCAGCTGACTAATTATTACAGTAAAATGGTCCAACTCTTTTTAGCCACTAGCATCATTGTAGATTTATAACTCTTTCTCATTAATAATAAAGGTTCACATGTGTGGACTGTGGATCATGAGAGGAAAACATACAGTATACTGGTAATGTGGGAAATATTATATATATATAATATTTATATGATATATATAAATATATATATAAATAAATATATATATATCATTGCCTAATTGAATGAAAGTGATTTTATTTCCCTCACTGCTTTTACTTAACAGCCATATTTCACATTACATTCTAGAAGGGTGAATATTCATTCTTTACATGTAGAATAAAGTCTTTAGAGCCCTGAGTTTAGCCTTGTAATGATGAAGGTCGGTAACATAAGGATAGAGCACCTTAACGGGGGTTAGTGGAGAGGCAAATCTAAATAATACCTTGAGTCCAATTTCAACCATTGGAATTTTATAATGAAAAGTAGCATACCAACTGTGATCAGCTTTTATTCAAAACCCCAGTATTCGAAAGTACTTTTCAAGTTTATCAAGGTAGAATTCTCAAGGTCATATTTTCCATTCAGTGCAGTTATTTCTGATGCTTCTTTGTGTGTGTAAGAGAGAGAAGGGGTCTTGCTCTGTCACCCAGGCTGGAGTGCAGTGGTGCAATCATGGCTCACTGCCGCCTTGACCTTC
Source organism: Homo sapiens (assembly GCF_000001405.40). Classification (NCBI taxonomy): domain Eukaryota; kingdom Metazoa; phylum Chordata; class Mammalia; order Primates; family Hominidae; genus Homo; species Homo sapiens. The sequence goes on along the minus strand of NC_000018.10, from coordinate 47,212,889 downwards.
TGGGCTCAAGCGTTCTTCCCACCTCAGCCTCCCAAGTAGCAGGTGTGTGCCACCACACTTGGCTAATTTTTTAATTTTTTATAGAGACAGAGCCTTCCTATGTTGCCCAAGCTGGTCTTGAACTCCTGGGCTCAAGTGATCCTCCCACCTCAGCCTCCCAAAGTGCTGAGATTACAGGTGTGAGCCACCGCACCCAGCCTCTGATGCATCTTATCAATTATTGGGAATCTAATCAGAGTAATAGTTTGGGTTTAGTTAGTCTTATTTGTGATTTATAAGGATAGCATATGTTATAAAGAAATTACGTCTGTTATAAAGAAATCATTCTAATAAACTAAACAATTACATTAAACTAGTTTGTAAGCATGTTCTTGTTTTATGACCTTGAACATACATTAGAACATCGTAACTCAGTTTTTGTACCTAAATAAATATGATACCATATTATTAAATGCAAATTTTTAAAAACTTTAAAAAGTGAAACATCACATGTTAACCTCAAGGACTAGCTGTAGCAGCAATCCAGTGTGATCACCTGTTCTGTCCTCACTGTACTTGTTAACAGGCCTTAAGGATGCTATACCCCAGAAACCTCATACCGCTGAGCAGATGGAGACCTCTTTTTTTCAGGGAGGATCTATTGGCATTCAAATTGTTAGGCATGATGAAGGGTCTCCATTACATATCTGTCTCCAAATCTAGCTTACCTGGATGGTGTTGCTTGTTTTTGTCTTACAGATCCCCTATGCAGCAAGTTTGATCAGGAAAGAAAAGCTTGGCGCCCATCTCAGCAAAAGCTAAAAGGTAAGATCACCAGAGGAAAGAGATTTTCTTAACTCTCTGTATTGTTGTGTGCTTGAACATATTCTTTATTGATGTGTTTGAAATAGCCCAAGGGATTGGTAAAGTTGCATCCTGTGTTTGAGTCAATATACCAATAAACTTCATTATGTCTGGGGATGGGACTTCCTAAATGAATGACCAAGTACTTCTTATAAATTCCATGGAAAATTCCTATAACTAAAAATTCTGTATTCAGTCTGCAAAAGTGATCTTCTTTCCGTTTTAAGATTTTCTGCTCTTTATGGTTCTGACACCCCAGTTACTGCCCCAAGGAAACCAAAGTGTCAGCAGTCATCCTCAGGGTGTCTCATCTCTGTCTCTCCTTCGCTTCCAAAAAGCCTGCCTGAAATCTGACTTTCAGAGAGTTACTGCAGGTGGTAATATGAACAACTGGGGACAATACAGACCTTTGAGACCTTCTGCTCTAGGAATAGTAACTAATCTTTTCCCTAAACCAATAATAGTTTCTCTACAGCTGAAGCCAGATTCAAGGTCATATCAGTTTAAAAGAAAATTGAAAAGACAATTATTTTGGACTCTTAAGGAAAAGCAGACAGTGAAAATTCAATGGCTATATTCAGAACATACCGAAGTATTTGAAAAGAAACTTTTTCAGCCCATGGAAGAAGACACATGTAATTATTAGAATTGTGGGAATGCAAAAACTAGGACATTGTTTCTGTAACAATATATTGGGATGACCTAACAACTAGGATTGCTAAATCAGGGGAAAAAACCACAGACGCAAAAGGTAGCATTTGTTAGTGCTCATGGCCAGCTAGGACCGCAGCCATTTATCAGTTTGATCCATTCCCATCAGAATGACTCTTCCCACTCCTCCCCTCTGGAACATATTTTCAACTCAATAGAATTTGTTGGCAAAAAGAACTGTGCAGGCTCATGGTTCCTTTTGTTCCTTCACCTCTCTTCTGCCTATCACAAATTTCCTCTATCAGGTACAAATGACTTTTCTTGCCATTATCTTTATTAGTAGTAGTCTTCAGTATTTGTCTTAAATAATAATAATTATGTTACATTTCATCAGGTGCTTAAAACCCTTTACAAAACAGTCTTTCATCCATGTGCTTTCCCTTAATTTTACACATGGGGAACTGAGGTTTACAGATAAGAGATGTGACATTTTATGTTCATGTTGCAAAGCCAAGAAGAGATTCTGGGGGCCCTGATTTTGGATCTAGTGCCTGCCTCTTCCTAATGCATGGACTTATTGTTCTTGGTGAGCAGATGATACTGCAACAGAGGTGCTCAGAGAGTAAGTCATTCTGTTTCCATCTCTATGAAGTTATTCACAAATGCACCCGTGAGGTTGGCTCTGTTCTATATATTAAAGTATTTTTATTAAGTCTGAAGTTGACTTTGGGCAATTTCTTTCTCAGTGTAGTAGACCAGGTTTGCACGAGCAGTGTGAAATGAAAATTTTAGAACATTTAGATTCCACTGAATTTTAACTTAGAATATCAAGATAATTAAGGCAAGAATGGTCCAAATTAATTCTGATAAACTCCATATGTATAATGGTTGAAAATGTCAAACTAATTTTCTTTCAAGAGAAAATATTAGGATGTTTTTAAAAATAACCTTCTTATTCAAAGTTTATAAATCATAAAGTCATACAAATCATGAGGTTTACGAATCAAAACTCAGTGAATTGCACTCACTCAGGGACACACACAAACACACACATACACAAACACGCAATGAAAACAAAAACAAAAAGGAAACTCAGTAAATGTTCACGATGAGCTCACTTAGCTTTCCAGCCCCTGATAACAACCTTGTGCTCTTGCCCAGCTTCTCCCACTCCCTACCCCCAACGATGGTAAAAACTTTGTCTGTTTTTGAACTTTATGTAAATGACGTTGCATAGAACATTCTCTTGTGTCTGGCTTGTTTTACTCAGCACTTGTGAGATTCATACATTAGAATGGGGTTTTTGTTGTTTTGTTTTGAGACAGGGTCTCACTCTTCTACCCAGACTGGAGTTGCAGTGATGCGATCACAGCTCAATACAGCCTTGACTGCCCTGGCTCGAGCCATCCTCCTATCTCAGCATTATAGGCGTGCACGCCACCATGCCCAGCAAATTTTTTTTATTTTGTAAAGACAAGGTCTCCCTATATTTCGCAGGCTGGTCTCAAGCTCCTGGGTTCAAGCAGTCCTCCTGCTTTGGTCTCCCAAAGTGCTGAGATTACAGCCATGCCCAGCCTTAGAATGTGGTTTGATTTATACTTAAGAGCTTCAGTAAACTCTCTTTTTACTCCTTACACTTCCCCAACCCATCTTCCCTGTTTGTCAGACCTGAGCCCATTTTGCACCTACAAATTAAGACTCACTGCCCAGAAACTACACCTCTGATAGTGACCTAGCATATGGCTAGGTGGGAAAAAGAAAAAAAAAGATTGATTTGTGTTTAGTAACTAATGCTTCCTCCATGCTGATTTTGTTTCCATCCTTGCAGACAACAGGGATTTCTCTAAGTAGACCCTGGTGCTTTCAGAAGATTAGTGGTTACTTAAATGCTTAGCTAAATCAGCCAAGCAGAGAATCATGACTGTATTGTTAGAGGCAGTCTCTGATTCTCAACATGCCAAGTCTGCAAGGAGTTACCCCAAGAGAGATTACAAAATAAAAATCATTACACCAAGGGAGAGAGACACATTCTGTCTTGCAGAGTGACCACAGGTTTCCAAATTAGGTACTGATGCATTAATGTCTTATGCAAGAGTGACCCTTAAGGTAGTATGCAGTGTTCTTGCCACCCAGTGGATTCCAATATGACTATTAAGAGGAGGAAGCTTTTCAAAACCACAGGCAATCCACTTAATAAGCTGAGCGAGTACTGCCACATATCACTGATCTGCACATTTTTTTTTTGTCCTACATTAGAACATAAGAAATTCCACGTTGCGTCAAAATAAAGATCCATGCAGGCCAAGATACTTTAAGAGCAAAATTGTTGTTCTTAACGATATCAACCTCAAAATTTAGGCATATACACTGAATACTCTTAGCTTTCCCTTGATAACGCCATAAAGATCCATTACCCTGGATTTATCTGCACCTTTCTTCAACCTAAGCATAGTCCCCATTGGGACAATGAATTCTATTTGTTTAGCTACCAGCTGTTAAAGTGTAGTTTATTTTATTTACCTTCAAACTACCTCCTAAAACAAGCCCTATTAGATTAGACATTGTACCGCTCTTCGTATTTGTCTCATTATAAGCTCATGAGTACAATGGAAAGGATTTGAAAAATACTTCAAAATGTTGCAGGCATTATCCTTTCACCTGGGCCCATTTTTAACACCAGAATTATTCCCGACGGCCTTCCTTACATCTAGTTATTTCTGTGACGCACTTCCTGCACAGATAACCCAGTGTAATCTGTGTGAAATCTGTCCCCAAATAAAAATAGTATGATGTTAACACTAATTTAATTATTACTTTACATTCATTTTCTCCCAAACACATTTAAACATTTTGCAGTTATCATTGATGTAACTGGTTGAAACACCCACACCTTTCACAGACAAGAAGTAAACCATTTTACATAAGTAGGAAGCGAATCAGGGAAATGTCTCATTCATAGTCATGCAGAAACTCATTGGCCAAACTGGAAATGATAGTAATGATCATTTATTGAGCACTAACTATGCCAGATACTGGCTAAATACTTACTGTGTTATCTTTACAATGCTGTAAGGCAGATCCTGTTATTACCTCCATTTCATACTTAGAAACTGAGGCTCAGAGGAGTCACATAGCTCTTAAGTGACAGATACAGGATTCAATCCAGGTCTATTTGACCCTAAAGCCTTCTCCCTGTCTTCCTTGGGTCCTTAGCTGGTGGTGAGGGAGACTGGGTGCCAGATCTGATGCCATTTCTCTGTGTTATCTTGAGTAACATCATTTAATCTCTTTGAGTCTCACTCTTATCTATAAAATGTGGATGGCCAAACCTGATCAAAATCTCTACTAGCTCTAAAATTTTGGCTGTCACTTTTGTGTGCCAATTTTCTGCTATATTCTCTCTTTTTTCCCAGAAAGGGGCCACGTTCATGAAAGCCAGCCCAAGACCACATGTAACACCCAAGGGCATGACCCACCTATTTTTGCCTTATGTCTGCATTTTCTTAATCACTAATTGCTACGTTGCATCTTTCTGGAGAGTCTGGAATATTATTTTTTGTTGGTATTTTAACTATATCTACCTCTTTGGTAAACTCATTTTTGTTTCACTTCTGGAATAATTACTACGAAAGTAACAACAAGAGTCTTTTAAAAAAGGATATTGGATTTTAAAGGAACATTCTGTGTCTTCCTTTTTGTATAGATCAAAGATAAAGAGGGGGAGTGGTACATTCATTTCTCTCATCTTTAGTCAGACATAAGAGGTTCTTTTAAGAATCTCCTTAGAGAATAATGGTGTGCCCCCACTGTTCTAAGGACTTTATGTCGATTATCTTATTTAATCTTTGGACCAACACACTGAGGTAAGTATTACTGCTTTCACCCCCCTACAGCTGAGAAGGCTAAAGAGACAAGAGATGAGTAAGTTGCCTGTGGTCTCACTGCTAGGAAGTGGCAGGATTTGAGCCAGGCTGGGGCTGGCTCTGCATTCCATACATTGTCTGCTCTCCTCTGGTTTGTCACCTAAAATCATGGCCTAATTCACATCTTGTATTATCAGTTATAAATATGCAGTTAATAACCAATCCAATCATTTTATTGATTTTGAATCACAAAACCTCCACTCATACTTCTATGTTGCCCTGACACCACAGAACAAGAAAAATAAACGTAACTTGGGCCATCCAATCAAAACCAGCAGAGCACCAGAGCATGAAATTCTGTCTGCCCCTTTCACTGCAGGCTGCTTTTGTCTTTGCCCTACAACAAACCCCAGCTTCTAAACCCATCTAAATGGCTTTACTGTGAAAAGCACACAGCAAACCAGCACACTCTTGTTTAGTATTTCTGGTTTGGCTTGATATCATCAGAGATATATAACCTAGGGTAGCAGACAAAATGTCTTCTCCTAAGGAGGGTATACTAAATATTACTTTAAATGTTTTAAAATTATCTGATTATATTAGGTTCAGCTTGTCATTCTATGCTTTTGTCTTATCCCAGGTGCACAGAACTACTTACTCTTGTTCTCTTGTAAGATACAGCCTGCCATGGAGCACTTCTGACCCGTGTTAAAGACTGCAGATCGAAAGGGCTTGGGAATTAAATACAAAATCAGGTTCAGGAGAACCTAAGGACAAGTGACCTCAAAACAGCATGGACAACCATGTAAAATAGACTGTAGCAGCCATTCATTAGTGGGGGGAGGGGGGAGCCAACCAGAGCAGTCAATGCTTGTTGCATCTTTTGGTGGAACCAAAGTTCGAGTCTTTGTGTTTTTAAAGGATAGCTGAACCCAGAGCATGGGAAGTGCTGTTAGCCAGTTGGGATGGGAAATCAGCGGATGGTCCCAGGCAGTCTCAGTCCTGCACACATGGAGAAAGCAACTCTACAAAACTGTCTTCTCTTTTTGAAGAAGTGATTCTTGGTGGAAGAAAACACAAGACCCATCCTAGGAGTGGGGATAGCGTTTCAATGGATGGGAAGGCACCAGCCGTACAAACCTGCTTTTCATAGCAAACTGGACAGACTTACATGTGGCCCCTTCCTCTCTGTACTTTGCCTGCTGTATGAATGAGGATTGTATTCCTTTGGAAATATTTTACAGTTTAATATTGAGTGTAATTAAGAATATAATCATGTTATCAAAAATGGCATTTAACTCTGTTGTAGTTTCTTTAACATTCATGTGGATAAAAAAGTCTATAATAAAAAAACTATGAAGTAATGGTTGTGTTCATGTAGTTAAATGCACATTTGCTTGAGGACAACTAAGAGAAATTCATACTTTTAAAATTTTTTTGGTATAAAAATATTTGAATAAATTATTTTTGAAAACAGAATTCCTTCAAAAATGATTATTAAAGGCTAGCCCAGCGTTTGGTCATTGTCAGCATCTGGACAACTCCTCCATTGTTTTAGGATCTTTGTATAGGTAAAGGAATGTTCTAAATTCCTGCTAGGTCTTCCAGTAGTGTTGCTGATAGAGCCCATCGTAGGCCTTCCTACTTACTGTGATGTTAAATCCAAGTCCACAAGATCATATTATGCCCCAAATTCTGCTTTTCAGATGAGAGAGTTAAATAGTGAACACTTTGCAGCCAAGATTTCTAAGGTAATGTGGGTTGCACAGAAGTCCACCATGGATGACCTCCCAACCTGAGGTTGCCAAAGCCCATCCTAACTGAAAAAACATCTCACCATTGGCATCCCTCAACAGATTTCAAAACAGCCTTCAGATGCATCGCCATGAGATTTAATACTTTTTCCCCACCAGCTTTATTACCATGAACTATCCCAAAAAGCTTCACAACTTACCCTTGAGATAAATGCTCTTATCTTGGCTGTGACAATAAAAAACCAAAGGAGGGATACTCATTTGTGATCTTCCTAGCCTATGAAGGATGAGAAGCTGCATTCGAGAAGGAATGTAAACCAAGTCCCAGAGTCTGGAAACAGGTTCTCAGTGACCACTAGCAGAAACTAATATGAAGATGCTGTGACAAAAAATGTTCTCTTTGAGCTGTTCTTCCAGGAGGGGCCTGGGTGCAGGTATGAGTCTCACACAGTCCTTTGGACATGATACATGTTTCTAAAACTGGTAATTGTACCTAGGTGTGTAATTTGAGCAGTCAGGTAAGTGGAGAATTTTCTCCGATATAAGCATGAAATTTCACAAAGGGATGGAAGCCCTGTGGCTCTTAGCTTTGTACTTTAAGCCAAGGATATCAGAGGTGGCAGAAAATCATCTGGGAGGTCACAAACCTGGCTTCATGACTAGCCACCAGGGGACAGCAGAGGTCATTTTCTATAGAATCCAATGCAAACTCTAGGACCAGATAGCTTCTCAGAGCAAGAGCAGCTTGGCCCAGGAGTTTGGAGGGAGAATAACAGATTTACAGATAAATTTAAGGTCTTTGTCCTGCAGCTGCATCAACTGGCAGTGTAAACCGGCCTGAAATGTCATTCTTTCCTTTCCAATTGCAACTTTAAATATCTATGAGTTATTAGTGGTAAAATATCAGCAAATGATCTTGTAGCAAAAGAGAGATAACCCAATAACTTGACCAGTATGTCTGCAGCACTCTGGACATATTAACCATGGCATAACTCTGCATTGAGTTCATGGCCAAGTTCAGTACAGAAAACCATTTGCCTCTGCTGCTAAGAATGTTAAAACTATCGCTTCTCGGCCTTTTGGCTAAGATCAAGTGAAGAATGTTAAAACTGCATTGGTGCCTTCCAGTTCTCCACCTAAATTCCAGATTCCAAAGAAGCCCAGCTATACATGTCTCTGAGTGCCAGGGGACTCCTGTTGACCTTACTCCCATGCCTTAGAGTCTCCATTCATTACAAGCACTAGAGCCTAACAATCCTCCGAGTAACCATAAAGCTACACGCCAAAAACCCAAAGCTTCAGAGAAAAAGAGTCAAGGAAATCACATATGTGATGTGGAAACATGTCATTTACCCCATGTGTTTTCTCATTAAGAAGAGTGAACATCTTTTTCCTGTTCTAGTAATGTTTATTGCTTTTAAGTTGGAGCAAAAGAATTCTTCCCTAAAACTGGATATAATTGTGTTATCTGAGCTGCCTTGTGGAAACAGACAGGACATCCATCTCAAGTGCTGCATGGGGCTAAAAATAAAGCTACTCCTCAGAAAGACATGTAAAAATTCTTGGTGTACAAAATGACAGCAGAAAAAAAATGCTGTGCTCTTTTCTTTGTTTTATCATGTCAAAATTCCAAGGTCAATCCAAATACTAGCTAATAAAGCATGCAGGCAATGCAAATACAATTCTCTATTTTAATTCCAAATTAAATTATAAAATCAGAAAAAGCATCAGCAAATCAAAGCAAAAATCCAGGCCCGAACAATAAAGTATTTCCTGTTGGGGCAGACCAGACATTTCAGACTGATGCTTTCCATCCTCAGAATGCCTGAGTAATTGCTTGTCTGTTTGCCACAGGCAAGGAGAGAGGGACATCACATCCCAATTTCCTTAGATTGAACAATGAGTGTGGCCTCTGCTCTGTGGGAAATAGAGAGAACTCTCTCCTAGCTACAGGGGATATGATCAAACTGATAGGAGCTCTTTCATTTAAGAGTTAAGAGTTAAGACGGTGTTGGGGTGGTCAGCAGTGAGAGAGGTTAGAGAAAAGGAACACTGTCTGAGTGGTAAGGATGTGTAACCACTGTCATTTAACTCCCAGCACTCTCCATGCTACGGGCAGAGGGCCTTTGTCTCTCTCTACAGAGTTGAGCACACAAAGTCTGACCATCTTACAAGATTCCTTATAGGCAACCCAAACCATGTTTGTAATAACAGACTCTTGTGGGGGAGATGTGTACTGTAAACTTTAGGAGGACAGAAGATGTTTGTTTCAGCTCACTACCCTCTCCCTAGTGCTTAGCATAGTCCCTGGCAGGTAGCAGCAGCACAAAACAGTTTTGTTAAATGAGTGATTCTATCTCCTTTATTTTATTTGAGCCAATCACAGAAGCAAATCAGTTCACTGTTATCGATTTAAGCTCTCTCAAAGGTTGACTTCTCATCTGATTTCAAATGATCATAATGTGGCAAATGCTAGTTGCCATCCTGTAATACTCATTCTCAGGTGGTAATACACCTAATTGAAAGATTACCTTCTCCAGGTTTACTTGCAGTTAGACATGGCCATGTGACTATATCCTGGCCAATGGGATGCAGGTAGAAACATGTGGAACTTTCAGAAAGGTAGCTTCAAAAGAGCTTTGACTTAAATATTTATTTTTTTCCTTTCCTTTTCTCTCTTTTCTGATGTCTGTAAGATGGATGGAGGCCCAGCAGCCATCTCAGGCCATGAGGTGATTTTGAAGATGAAAACCATATACTGTTAATACTATGGCATAAAAAAAATAATAAAAGCCAGGGTCCTTGGCAACTACTGAACCACCACTCCAACTCCAGACTGCCCATTTCCAAATTTATTTTATGTTGGAAGAAAATGAGGTTCTATCTTATTTAACCACATTACTTTAGATTTTCTATTAACTCTGATTATAAAACCTTTTGCTCTATTTGAGGGCCCCCATCAGCCAACAATTGCATGATTTCTTATTTATGTGACAACTTTCCAATGCATATTTATGCTGTTTATTTCATTTTATGAGCTCATTGGCCCTTTGATTTAGCTAAGGGTATTTGATATGGAGGCTAACTAGTTGCAGAGTCAACCCTAAATCCAGTTCTTCTTACTGCCATGGCAAGCTATTCTTGTCTATTTCTTGACCTCACCATCACACTAAGCCAACTGTGTAACATCTCTGATATCTCCCATTGCAGTATACGCAGGTGAAGATACGGAAAGGGGATGAACCTGAACTTGGCTGGCTTTCCAGGGTAGGATAGGAGACGGACTAGAAAAGTAAACTGTCCAAAAGGCCTCATAGGTTCTCATATGACACAAAGAAAGATGTGAGCAGGTATGTAGCCAGACCCCAACATGGGAATAGATCTCAGCAGCACAGGCAAGTTCAAAAGTAGGAGGTTGTCAATCACCATCATCCATGATACAGGGCCCTGCCACTCACATTTCACTTACGGGCAGGTTCTGTCCTTGGGGAAACACACCATTGAGAATAAATAGGTGGCAAGAAGCAAACCGAGTCCTAGACTCAAAGACATGATGGGCAGACAGCTCTTTGGCTCAGGAGCCCATGTGGGCATTGGCTCTCCCACTCAGAGGGGCAGCAAGGTAAGCTTGGGAACCCAGGAGAGGGCTCTGGGACTTCCAGATTTGAGCCTGTAACTACCACACAGGACTGGGAGGAAAAAAAGCAAAGTCTTTCTAAACGTAGCATGACTCCAGTCTTGATTTGGGACCTGAAGCAGTGTTGGAGCTTTAGGAAGAGGGATGAGAAGGGGGCTGGTTTTGAGCTAAGAAAGGTGCTGAAAAACACTGAGAGCTGACAAGACTTCTCTGCAGATGGCCACTTATTTCCATACCAAGATGAATATACATATAATTTAGAAAAAATAAAGTTACCTAAAGTAAACAATCATTCAGAAAAGCCATGACTCTGTGCTGAATTAAGAACTTCTCTAAAAGCATTGTTAACACCTGGAGTTTTCAAATAATAAAATTCATTCTTCACATCCAACTTTTACATCATCTCACTATTAAGGACAGTGGCTTCCTGGATGATTGTTAATGACAGTTTTCTTTACTATATTTTAGACCATTTAGCAAAGTTTATTGATTTATACTTCCTTGTAATTAGTTACAGTGATTGAAATAGCTTTTATGGCCCTCTAGGGATTGACTTTTTAAAGAATCAACATTTCCCCCAAATTGTGTGTTTTAAAACACGGTTAAATACTGTTTGAATTCAGTACTAAACTATCATTGGTGAAACTGTAATTTTATGTGTAGTTGCTTTTTCATCCCTCTGCTTATATGGCACTATCATCCAATTACTTGGCAGCCAATAATAATACCAGCAGCCAACTTTCATTGAGTGATTACAGTAAGATGAACATTGTGCTAAGTTTATGCACAATGCTTAATGCATTATTTCATTTAATCCTCTCAACAACCCTATGAAGTAGGGACTATTTAATTGAAATTTAAAGGAGTTAAGCTACTCAGCTGATTAAGTAGAAAAGTAGGAGTTTGAAACTAGGGCGATTGTGACTTCAAAAATCTCTGCTTTTAACCATTACATTGCTCCCTACACAGGTGAGTTGGCAGTGCCCAGACTTTCACAATCTGAAGGGTGCTGGAAGACCCCTCTTAAACAAAAATATCTCCCCTCGCTAATCTCACTTGAAGCTGAAATTTCACAACTAGCATGATTTCTTTGACTAAGTATTATATGTTTCTAGTAAGATAAACACTCCAAGACAGTGCTATTCAAAGTGTCTTCTGTCAAAGAGCTAACACTATAAAGCTCTTAGAAGAAAATATAAAAGTAGATCTTCATAACCTTGGGTCAAACAATGTTTTCACGCATACAAGACCAAAAACACTAGTGACAAAAGAAAAAATAAATTTGACTTCCTTAAAGTTACAAACTTTTGTGCTACAAATGATAACATCAAGAAGGTAAAAGAAGACCAGCTCACAGTAAAGGGAAATGTTTGCAGATAATATATCTGATAAGGGACTTGCTTTCAGAACACATAAAGAGCACTTACAACATGATAATAAAAAGACAAATAACCAAATTTTAAAAATGAACAGAAGACTTGAATAGATATTTCCCCAAAGAAGTTATATGAACACTGAATACATGAAAAGATGTTCAACACTATGAGTTATCAGGCAAATGCAAATCAAAACCACAATGAAATACCATTTCACATCCACTAGAATGGCCAATATCAAAAAACAAAAACAAGTATTGGTGAAGATGTAGGAAAATTGGAACTATTATACATTGCTAGTGAGAATGCAAACTGGTGTGCAGCCACTCCATAAGCAGTTTGACGGTTCCTCAGAAAAGTAAACAGAATTACCATATTACCCAGCAACTCCCCTCCTGGGTATATACACAAAAGTTTTGAAAACAAGTACTCAAATACTTGCATAAAAATATTCACAGCAGCACTATTTGCAATAGTCACAAGGTGAAAACAACCCAAATGTGGTTTATCCATAAAATGGAATATTACTCAATCATGAAAAGAAATGAAGTATTGACACATGCTACAACATGAATGAAACTTAAAAATATATCCTAAGTGAAAGAAGTCAGACATAAAACGTCACATATTGCATGATTCTATTTTTATGTAATATTTATAATAGGTAAATCCATAGAGACAGAAAGCAAACTGGTGGTTTCCAGTGTCTGTTTAGGGATAAGGAGACAATTGAGAGAGCTTGCTTAATGGGTACAGAGTTTTCTTTTGGAGTGATTAAAATGTTTTGGAGCTAGACAGAGGTGGTAGTTTTACAATATTGTGAGTATATTAAATGCCACTGACTAGTACACCTTAGAATGGTTCCACATAAATTTTATGATTGCTTTTTCTATTTCTTTGAAGAATGTCATTGGTATTTTGACAGAGATTGCATTGAGTCTGTAAATTGCTTTGGGTAGTATTGATATTTTAACAATTTTAATTCTTCTAATCCATGAATGTAGAATATCTTTCCATTTCCTGGGGTCCGCTTCAATTTCTTTCATCAGTGTGTTATAGTTTTCCTTCTATAGATCTTTCATTTCTTTGATTAAATTAATTCCTAGGTATTTTATATATTTTGTAGCTATTGTACATGAGATTGCTCTCTTGATTTTTTTCAGATTGTTTGCTATTGATGTGTATAAATGCTACTGATTTTTGTATATTGATTTTGTATCCTGCAATCTTAGTGAATTTGTTATTCAGTTCTAAGTTTTTTTGGTAGAGTCTTTAGATTTTTCTAAATAAAAGATTATGTCATCTGTGAACAAGGTTAATTTGATTTCTTTCTTTCCAATTTGAATGTCCTTTATTTTTTTCTCTTGCCTAATTTCTTTGGCCATAACTTCCAGTATTACGTTGAATTAAAGTGATGAATCTGGACATACTTGTCTTGTTCCAGATTTTAAAGGAAAGGCTTTCAATTTGTCCCCGTTAATGTTAGCTGTGGTTTGTCATATGCGGCCTTCATTATCTTGAGATATGTTTCTTCCTTTCTTTCTTTCTTTTTTCTTTTTTTTTTTTTAGGCAGGGTGTTACTCCCATTGCCCAAGCTGGAGTGCAGTGGTGCAATCTCAGCTCACTGCAGCCTTAACTTCCCAGGCTCAAGTGATTCTCCCACCTCAGTCTCCCAAGTAGCTGGGACTACAGGCACGCACCACCATGCCCAGCTAACTTTTTGTATTTCTAGTAGAAATGAGGTTTTGTCATGTTACCCAGGCTCGAGGTATCTTCCTTCTCTACCCAGTTTTTTGAGAGTTTTTTTTTTAAATCATAAAGGGATGTTGAATTTTACTGAATGCTTTCTCAATATCTATTGAAGTGATCATATGAGTTTTGTTCTTAGTTCTGTTAATGTGATGTATCACATTTATTGATATGTGTATGTTGAACCATCCTTGCCTCCCTGGGATGAATCCCACTTGATCATGGTAAACTATCTTTTTAACATGTTGTTCAATTCAGTTTGCTAATATTCTATTGAGGATTTTTGCATCTATGTTCATCAGTGATACTGCCTTGTAGTTTCTTTGTTGTTGTTGTGTCCTTGTCTGGTTTTGGCATCAGGGTAATACTGGCCTCGTATAATGAGTATGGAAATATTCCCCCTTCTTCAGTTTTTCTCTCTCTCTCTCTCTTTTTTTTTTTTTTTTTTTTTTTGACATCTGGCTCTGTCACCCAGGCTGGAGTGCAGTGGCACAATCTCGGCTCACTGCAACCTCCACCTCCTAGGCTCAAACCATCCTACCCCCTCCGTCTCCTGAGTAGCTGGCACCATAGGCACATGCCACCACACCTAGCTAATTTTTGTATTTTTGGTAGAGACAGGGTTTCACCCTGTTGGCTAGGCTGGTCTTGAACTCATGAGCTCAAGCAATCCACCCATCTCAACCTCCCAAAGTGCTGGGAGCCACCCTGCCTGACCTCCTCTTCAATTTTTTTTGAAGGATTTAAGTATAATTGATATTAGTTCTTCAAATGTTTAGTAGAATTCAGCAGTGAACCATCAGGTCCTGGGCTTTGATGGGAGACTTTTTATTATGGCTTCAATCTTGTTACTCATTATTGGTTTGTGGAGGTTTTCTGTTTCTTCGTGGTTCAATTTTGGTAGGTTGTATATGTCCAGGAATTTACCCATTTCTTCTAGGATTTTTATTGGTGTATAGTTGTTCATAATAGTCTCTAATGATTCCTTGTATTTCTGTGCTCTCAGTTATTATGTCTTCTTTTTCATTTCTGATTTTATTTGAGTCTTCTTTCTTTTTTGCTTAGTCTAGCTAAATATTTTTAAATTTTGTTTATCTTTTCAAGAAACCAACTTTTTGTTTTGTTGATCTTCATATTGATTGACTTTTTAGTCTCAATTTTATTTATTTCAGCTCTGATCTTTACTATTTCTTTACTTCAACTAATTTTGGATTTAGCTTGCCCTTGCTTTTCTAGGTCCTTATATTTAAAGTCTTTCCACTTTTTTGATATAGGTATTTATTGCTATAAGCTTCCCTCTTAGTACTGCTTTTCCTGTATCCCATAGATTTTGGTATATTGTATTTTTATTTTCATTTCTTTCAATAATTTTTTAAAGTTTTCTTCTTAATTTTTTCATTGACCCATTGATCATTCAAGAGCATGTTGTTTAATTTCCATGTGTTTGTGGAGTTTCCAAGGTTCCTCTTATTATTGAGTTCTAGTTTTATACCACTGAGGTCAGAAAAGATACTTAATATGATTTCTGCTTTTTAAAATTTGTTGAGACTTCTTTTGTGGCCTAAGATATAGTCTATTCAGAGAATCTTCCATGTGCCGATGAAAAGAATATGTATTCTGCAGTAGCTGGATGACATGTTCTGTAAATGTCCATTATGCCTATTTGGTCTAGTATGTAATGTGTCTTTGATGATTTTCTGTCTGGATGATCTGTCTTACTACTGAGAATGGGGTGTTGAAGTCCTCCACTATTACTGTACTGCAGTCTGTCTCTCCCTTTAAATCTATTAATGTTTGCTTTATATACTTGGATACTCTGGTGTTAGGTGCATACATATTTATAATTGTTATATACTCTTACTGAAATGACCCCTTTATCATTACATTGTTATATCCTCTTGCTGAAATGACCCCTTTATCATTACATTGTTATATCCTCTTGCTGAAATGACCCCATTTATTATTACACAGCAGTCTTCTTTGAGTTCTTATAGTCTACTCTTTTTTTTTTTTTTTAATTGAGGCTAAGTCTTGCTCTGTCACCCAGGCTGGAGTGCAGTGGCATGATCTCGGCTCACTGTAATCTCCACCTCCTGGGTTCAGGTGATTCTCCTGCCTCAGCCTCCAGAGTAGCTGGGATTACAGGCATGTGCCACCACACCCAGCTAATTTTTGTATTTTTAGTAGAGATGGGGCTTCACCATGTTGGTCAGCTGGTCTCGAATTCCTGACCTCAAGTGATCCACCCACCTCAGCCTCCCAAAGTGCTGGGATTACAGACGTGAGCTACTGCGCCCAGCCAGACTTGTAGTCTGTTTTATCTGAGTTAAGCATGGCTTCTCCTGCTCTTTATGCTTTCCACTTGCATAGGATATCTTTTTTCATCATTTCACTGTAACTCTATACTTTGCACTCTGCACTTTAACTCCATCCCCACAACACTTTGATTTTTGGTTGTCTCAATCTACATATTTTTACATTGTCTATTTCTTAACAGGTTGCTGCATCTACTACTGTTTTTGATAGATTTAGGCTTCATACTAGAGTTATGAGTGGATTGCACACCACAATTACAGTATTAGAATATTTTGAATGTGTTTGTGTACTCACTTTTACCAGTAAGTTTTATACCTTCAAATGTTTTCTTAGTGCACATTAGTGGGTGATATGGTTTGGCTCTGTGTCTCCACCTAAATCTCATGTTGAATTGTAATATCTAATGTTCGGGGAGGGATCTAGTGGGAGGTAATTGGATCACGGCGGCAGATTTCCTCCTTGCTGTTCTCATGGTAGTGAGTTCTCATGAGATCTGGTTGTTTGAAAGTGTGTAGCACTTCCCCCTTCACTCTCTCTCTCTCCTGCCATCTATGTAAACATGTGCCTGCTTCCTCTTCACTTTCTGCAATGATTTTAAGTTTTCTGAGGCCTCTGCAGCCATGCTTCCTGTACAGCCTGTGGAACTGTGAATCAATTAAACCTCTTTTGTTTATAAATTACTCAGTCTTGGGTATGTCTTTATAGCAGTGTGACAATGGACTAATACAGTGGATTATTTTTTCATGTTGAAGAATTCTCTTTAGCATTTCTTGTAAGACAGGTCTGGTGGTAGTAAATTCTTTCAGCTTTTGCTTGGGAAAGAATTAATCTTTTATATTGAAAAGATAGCTTTGCTGGATATGGTATTCTTAAATGGCAATTTTTTATGTTTAAGCACTTTGAAAATGCCAAGCCACTCCCTCCAGGCCTATGTGGCTTCCATTGAGAAGTCTGCTGCCAGATGAAATAGAGCTCCTTTACATGTTATTTGCTTCTTTTCAATCATTGCTTTTGGCATCCTCCTTTGTCCTTGACTTTTGAGACTTTGATTATTACATTGGGATAGTCTTACTTGGGTCAAAACTGTTTGTTATTCTCTGACCTTCCTGTGCCTGGACATTTATATCTTTCTCAAGTTTTGAAAAGTTTTCTATTACTATTTCCTTGGGTAAACTTTCTGCTCCCTGCTCTTGCACAACTCCCTCTGGAACACCAATCATTCTTACATTTGAAGTCTTTTGAGGTAATTTTCTATATCTTGTAGGCAATCTTCATTTCTTTTCATTCTTTTTTCACCTCTATGTATTTTCATATGGCCTATTTTTGAGCTCACTGATTCTTTCCTCTGCTTGATCAATTCTGCTGTTTCCTCCTACACCTTCCTCTTTTGTTTTTCTGCCTCCTCTTTGTCTTCCTCTTCAACTTCCTCTCCTTCTTCTGCAACCCCCTCTCCTCTTTGTCTTCTTCATCTGGAACATTGAAGCTAATCCATTCTGGAAAGAGCTACTCCCCTTAGTTCCCCTTCATGATCCATAAAGGAAAGCTTAGAGCCTCTCATTCTATGAATTTAGGGGTCTTTGTATCTTTCAGCCACAAAGATGACCTCATGATGATGGCTTCTTCCTCTGAGGGTCCCAGGGCTCTTCACTAAACGTCATCTCCATTTCTGCACATTCCCGCACAATAGTATCATGTGAAGTGGGTTGTTAGAAGCAGCAAATGGGAAATGATTAGGTTATCAATTTTTTCAAGCCACAAGAGCCCAAAATGGAGCTGTCAGCACTAGTAAAGAATAGTTGGCTGAGCATGGTGGCTCACACCTGTAATCCCAGCACTTTGGGAGGCCGAGGCGGGTGGATCACGAGGTCAAGAGATCAAGACCATCCTGACTAACATGGTGAAACCTCATCTCTACTAAAAATACAATAACAAAATTAGCGTGGCTGCGGGTGCCTGTAGTCCCAGCTACTCGGGAGGCTGAGGTAAGAGAACAGCATGAACCCAGGAGGCGGAGCTTGCAGTGAGCTGAGATTGCGCCACTGCACTCCAGCCTGGGCGACAGAGCAAGACTCCATCTTAAAACAAAACAAAACAAAACAAAACAAAACAAAACAAATAAAAAAACAGAATAGTTGTTTTGCTACAAAGAGAAAGACCTTCCTCAAAGCAGATACTAAAGAAATCCAGATAAATGCCCCTAAAGTGTCACCTCTTCAACTAATGACAATCCTCAAGCAAACCCAGACTTGTAGTCATTCACCATGCATTAGGAAAGATTTTCAATGAGTAAGATTCTGAAACTGTGCCATCTTACCAATAACCCTTCTCTGAAATGCTAAAGGCAGCTCTACAGGATGGCATAACTGTGGTTCTGCTTAGGGTCATGGAACAGACAGACCTCCCTACAGATCCTTTCAGGAAGAATCACGAATAATAACTACCATTTATTAAGAACTTACCAAGTATCAAGTACTAAATACTTTATTATATAATACAATAACCCCATAAGATAGGGATTCTTACAACCATTTTACAGATCAGGAAAGTGGGTATCAGAGGGTTCAAGTGATGTGTTCAATAAATAAAATGAATAGTCCACCTGGGATTTGAACCTAAGGCTCTTTGATTCCCAAACTCATGCTGTGAATCAGTAAGCCAGGCAATAAAGAAGCCTAAGTGAGTGAGTACAACAGAGTGAGTGAGTGTCGGATAGCACTAGTAGGCAATGCTTCATGGAGGAGGTGAGATTTAATCTGTACCAATAAGACTTTGATTAGCAAGGAGGAGGGTAAAACCATTCATGAGTATTCATCTCTTCCGTTACTACACAAAGTGTATTTTTAGGTATGGATACTGTGGTCATTGTCATGTTATACTATTGGCAAGGCTATTTCTCTGTAAGTGAAGGAGCAAGATTTCATCTGAAGTGTAAAATATTGGATTATTTCTTCAATAAACAACTGAATGACAGCTAGGTGCCAGGAATGGTGCAAGGTACTGGGCTTAGGAAAGCTTACATTCAAGATACATGCTGTGCAGTGAAGAATACAAATATTTATGATGCAGCAGGAGTGCTGTGGTAGAGATAGACAGAAGATGCTTTGGAAACATAAAGAACATCTGACGTGGACTGGAGGATGAGGAAAGGCTTCTTTCTAACATCTTATTTTCATCCTTCTTGGTACACTTTGGCTAGAGGGGGTGATACATGGACTGAACATTTGGTCAAATAAAGTGTGAGTGCAGGGGAATGGGTGGCAAAGATGGGGGAAGGAGGCTCTAGCCAAAGGAAGCTATATCACATTAGGGTACTCCCATGGGATTTAGTTAACTATTGCTGAAATAAATCACTGTAAACCTTAGTGGCTTAAAACAATGATGTATTAATTTTCATGAGTCTGTAGGCAGATTGGGCAGTTCTGTTGGTCCCACTGGGCTCACTCCTGGCAGGTGGGTGGGAAGTGGGCTACGCTGAGACAACTGGGATAACTGGGACTCTCTTTCCATGGTCTTTCATTCTGGGTTTTCTCATGTCATGGGGGTGCCAGGGCAGCATTCCAAGAGCAAAGGCAGATGCTATAAGGCCTCTTGAGGTTTAGGTTCCAGAATTTGCACAACATCACTGCATCTGCATTCTATTGATGAAAACAAGTGCCAAGGCCAGCTCAGATTCAGAGTGGAAAGAGGAGCTGCAAAGAAGTTGTGGCCATATTTAATCTCCCATACATGTCACACCATGTCATCACCTCTGAAATGCTACATTCAAATATCCTACTTTCTAATCCCAATCACCCATTCTTTCTGCATTTTCATCCACCTCTTCAAGACTTCCAGTCCCCGATCTCTCCCTCTTCTCAGCTTCTTTCTAACTTTTCTTTTCTGCCAATGCAAGTAGTTGATCTTCTGAGCTCTCCTCTTACCTGACCCCATCATTCCTACCCAGGGGGTGGGGGTGGAGGTTAGGCAGGACTGAAATCACACAGTCAAGAAGAAATCACACAAGCTACATGAATTGGCAGATTGGTCTCATCTACTCTCACACCTCAGCTCTCAGCTTCACCTGTCAATGTTTTCACCTGTTTCAGGTCAGTTCTTCTCCATCTAAAGCTAGTCCAAAACAGTGCTCTACAATCTCCTTTCTCAAGCCTAGGCCCTCATTCTCAGCAGACAGTGCTATCCCCTACTTGACTACTGAGACAAAAGTTATCAGACTTGACCTCTGAACTTCTTGTTCTCACCTACAGAAGTATCTACCTCACCTTTTCCCTTCAGTCTCAAAAGATGACTTTTCTCCTTGTCCGATTGAAATATTAAACCCTCTGCTGTGCCCTTGGCCCTAGACCTGCATTTGAATTCAGGGAATCTGAATTGAAGACATATAGAGTGAGTAACTGGTGGCGGGAGGGCAGAAACCAAGACACAAAGAGAAAGAAGCAATAGGCAGAAGCCATGAGGCAAGAAGAGTAACTAATAAGCAGCAACTGAGAGGAAGCAGAGGCTGTGAGTCATCTGAAGCAACAAGGCAAACAGGAGTCAAGAGAAGGTGATTGCCAGAGCCTGGCCTAGTCAAAACAGAGACAAGCAACACCAAAGTCAGTAGAAATGGCATACACAACCAGAGGGAGCTACAGACCCATGGCCGGGCTGGAAGCTCACTGGCTATGTCACTTCCCAAGCTCCATTCCTGCTTTGTGAGCCCCATTCTGTGGTGTTCCTGGGTCCTTGTGAGGTCTGGATATACAGGCAAGATTTCTGTTTTTATTGTTGTCATAAATATTTTTGAATCAACTCCCATTGCTTGAAGTAACCTGAATAGACCTTTACAAATAAATGCTTAACACACCATCTGTGGTCTCACTTTTTTTTTTTTTTTGAGAGGGGGTCTCGCTCTGTTGCCCAGGCTGGAATACAGTGGTGCGATCTCGGCTCACTGCAAGCTCCACCTCCCAGGTTCATGCCATTCTCCTGCCTCAGCCTCCCGAGTAGCTGGGACTACAGGCGCCCGCCACCCCGCCTGGCTAATTTTTTGTATTTTTAGTAGAGATGGGGTTTCACCATGTTAGCCAGGATGGTCTCCATCTCCTGACCTCGTGATTCACGCCTCTGCCTCCCAAAGTGCTAGGATTACAGGCGTGAGCCACCGTGCCTGGCCTGTGGTCTCACTTTTACTTAGGCTATGTCTGAAGCCAGAAGAGAAAAAAATCTGTGTTTCCTGCTCAGGGAAAAGTATATTAGAAGAAAATCGTGTGGTTTTTCTATTACTTAGAAAATACAAAGCTCTTCCATAATATAACAGGTTTTCAGGGTCCTCAGAGTCCCCAAATTCTAACATCTATAAACATCCTTCTTAATATGCTTTGGTTTCTTCCTCTACTCTCAAACCCCAACTATTTTTCCTGAGTGCATACATGGTTACCTCAACAAAGATGAATAAGGTGATATTTATAAAGAAAGATCTTTTCCTTAATAAGCTACATAAATAACAACAGACGTAAGAAAGCCCCTAGGAGATACTGATTAATTCTCAGAACTCCTAAGAGGTTTCCTTCTTTAACATTAAGTAACAGGGAACAGAAATCTTGGCAACAACAGATGGGTGTTCCATCTTCAGGAACAGAACTTTTTATTCCAAACTCTCAATAAGCCAAAGCTAATTGACCCATGTAGCTGGTCCAGAACCAAATTGAATTAGGATAACATTCTCAAGCAGCATAGCCAAAAGCTTAAAGTTAATACTACAAAGAAATATATGGCCTAATGTTTCATACCACCACTTTTATCTTGAAAATTTTTGATGCTACCTATTGTCTACAAAATAAAACTCAAATCTTTACCTGTCGTTCAATGTCTTATATAATGTGGATCCAATCTACATTGCCATTTCATATCAGGACTTTTTCCATATGTTGGCCCCCTTTCCTGATGTTCTTGCCTTTGGTGACACCATTTCCCCGCTAAGAAGGCCCTCCTTCCTTCCTCTCTTTGAAACTGGCCCAACTGCCCCATAGAAATAATATTTACAAGTTTTTAAGTAAACATAGAAATTGACCCTCCATCTTAAAACTTGAAACTTACTTTAACTGAGTTCCTTCCTCAGGAAACTGACCCTCAGAAAAGCAACTGAAACTTACTAGATCATTGCATCCAGACAATGAGATGCCAGACCCCTCATTCATTGTGATTGCTTCCTTACCCCTCCTTAGTTCCTGTTTTCCTGTCTCCTTCAATATATACACATCCCAATTTTGGTCAGTCTGGAAGATAGATTTGGAACTTTATCTCCCATTCTCCTTGGCTATAGCTACAGTACCTGATTAAAGCCTTCTTCCTTGGCAATACTTGTTGATTCAGTGATTAGCATTCTGTGCATTGAGCAGCAAGACCTAGACCATATCCCTGGCATTTCAGTAACATCTTAAGTTGTGCCCAACCCTCAAGATACAGCTCAAGTCCACCCCAGCCCTGGTTCTCCAAACCCTTATATTTTCTTCCTTCTCTGAATCTTGTAAGGGTACTTGGTTTTCTGCACTTGGGCCTTCTTATGCACCACCTTGGGTTTTTGGGGTTTTTTTAATTGCTATTTCTGTCTTATGCATGTCCAGTGAGACTGCAAACTCCTTTAGGGCAGGAACAAATAGTCTCTATCCTAAATTGTACTCTTCTTGGCTCAAGAAATGCAGCTGCCTCTGTTAAGTGTTTTCTAATGTAGATGATTTGGATGCCTGAAATGTTCTAAAATTGTATGCAAGTTTGTAGAGAACTATCAGAATACTCAATATACAGAAATGCAGCCAAACAAACTAATCTTTCCTGAGCTTTGTTCTATTCATTATCACTCCCCCCTCAACCCTCTGCCTTCACAGTCTGCATCCACTCTGCTTATACAAACAGATGCTTTTTGACTTTCAATCTCCCATATATTATGTAGCTTTGCTCCAGATCCAAGGTATATTAGCTCCACCAATACCAACAGATAACTCTGCCAGTTATTTGTATGGTGCCACTGGGTTTAAGAATAAATGAACCTACCAGTCTTTCTTGTTGTATTACTATTACCTAAGATAATGCCAAAATAGGTACTTAATAAATAGTTGACAATTAAATAAAAATTTGATGAGTCTTCCACATGCTTAAAATCCTTTTTGGCCACGCACAGTGGCTCACGCCTGTAAACCCAGCACTTTGGAAGGACAAGGTGAGAGGATCCCTTTGGCTCAGGAGTTCAAAACCAGCCCGGGCAACATGGCGAAACCCCTTCTCTAAAAAAAAAAAAAAAAAAAAAAAAAAAATTAGCCAGGCGTGGTAGTGTGTGCCTGCAGTCCCAGCTACTATGGAGGCTGAGAGGTGGGAGGATCACTTGAACCTGGGAGGTGGAGGTTGCAGTGAGCTGAGCTTGCATGCCACTGCACTCCAGCCTGGGTGACAGAGTGAGACCCTGTCTCAAAAGAAAAAAAAAATTGAATAATTTTTGTTTCGAAAATGTTAGTTTTGCTTTTGTTTTTAAAATCTTTAGTAGATAATTTGGCTATAAAATTTTATTTAGTAGATAATTTGGCTATAGAATTTTATTTATTTTAAAATTTGTTTTTATTTTTTTAAGACAAGGTCTCGCTCTGTAGTCCGAGCTGGAGTGCAGTGGCATGATCACGGCTCAATGTGCCTCAGTCTCCTGGGTCAAATGATCCTCCCATGTCAGCCTCCCAAAGTGCTAGGATTACAATCATGAGCCACCGCACCCAGCTGGCTGTAGAATTTTAAATTCAAATTATTTTCCCTCAAAATTTGGGAAGAAGTGTGCCGTTGTCTACGTTTGGGGCGAGTTGATTTCTTATTTCTTTATAGATAACATTTTTCCCCCTTTGAAGCTTTCAGCATCTTCTCTTTAATAAGATGCTTTGAAATTTCATGATGATGGGTCCAGGTAAAGAAAATTTAAAAAATGATTTAGCCTACTTGGCACCTAGTAGGTCTTTTCAGTTTGAACACTCATGCTCTTTTCATCTCTGGAAATTTTTATTATTATTTTCTGTCTTGCATTCTGTCCTTATAAAACTCTCATTTTTACTGTTTTCTATCTTTTTATCCCATATTTGCTGTCTGTATGCTTTTTTTTCCATATTTTTAGAGATTTCCTCAGCTTCCAATGAACCTCTCTGGTGGGCTATCAAGCTTTTAATTTTGAGAGAATTCTTTCCTTTTTTTGGTTGTTCTTTTATAAAAATTTCTGGGGGAAAACCCTTTGCTTAAATGCCACTTAAATAACTTTTATTATCACTAATTAGACATTTTTCTGAATTATCTCTTCCCCCTTCTGAAGTTAGTTTTACTTATTTTTTTAATTTTAAATTATTTTTAAAATTTTGTGTAGAGACGGGGTTTTGCCATGTTGCCCAGGGTGCTCTTGAACTCCTGGGCTTGAGTGATCTGCCCGTCTGCCTCCCAAAGTGCTGGGATTACAGATATGAGCCACTGCACCTGGCCAATTTCACTTATTTTTCATTCTAGTCTTCTTGTTCTTGTGCTGGTTTTCATTACATGTCCTGATTGCCTATTTGTATTTAATAATAAGGAGCGTGAGTTCTGGAAGCTCTGTGAACTTGTGAAAGCATGAAACCAGCAGTTTAGCGGTGGATTGACCTAGTAGGGAATCCGTAGTCAAGCTAACAGCCTCCCAAATGCCACAATAAGAACAACCCTAGCTCTCCTCGATAGTTTAATTTCCTAAGAGGAAAGTACTTTCTATCTTGCGCAGTAGCAAATGCCATACTGTTTGTTATCTTGTCCAAGCGGGTTGGGAGTCAGTGCCGAGAAGGCTGACTATTGCATATACAGATCCCCAATTGATCCATCTGTTTTCAGCTCAGCTTCTCTGCTGGATCTCTGTTGTACCTGCCAACTCTGAATTGGGAGCTTTTGTGAAATTTTTCAGGGCAATGACTTCCACCTCCACTGCAACCCCTTCCGGGCTCATTCTGGGCTATAGCTTTCTCTACTGTGTATCGTCTATTGATATACTTCCTGCCACTTTTTGTCTTCCAGAGATTGTTCAAATTGCTTATGTTTCTCCATATCTTTGCTATTACAAATATGTTTCTCTTTATTTCTAATTTAATGGAAGCTCAGGAAAGAGTGAAGAGAAATACATGCATTTGGTGCACCATCTTAAACTGGAAAACAATTATGTGTATTAAAAAATCCCTAGATGATTCTGATGATCAGTCAAGTTTGGAAGACACTGACCTAAACTCTCTTTTCTTCTCACTTTCCCTTTGTTAAGCACTGAGCATTTACTGCTTTCTAACTCCTTGCATTCTATGGCACATTTTTCTTACTATTTGATCATTTTCATCAGAGCAGGAACGTATCTGATTATTATTTGTGCTTAGCCTACTGCACCTCATCCAACCCCTTGCATGATGTAACACCGTCTTAGAAGTTCAATAAATTCTCATTGAATGAAAGAATGAACAAATGAATGAAGAAATGATAAGCATTAAAGTAAGTAGTTTCTCTAGTTTTTATTCTGACTTTATTTACTTAGATGGTTTTTTTTAAAACTAAGACTAGTCACCTATATGTAGCCATTTGAGATTAATCCCCTTTTAAAATAGATGCAGTGACTCATTTTTACTTTTTAAAGAAACTTTCCATTTCCAAGAGCCCTATTTCCAGAAACACTTCATAATGTACAAGCTTTCAGCTTGCAAATGGTTTCATTTGAGCCTCATACCAGGAATAGCTTGTATGAATCCATAAACATGAATGAGGCTCTTCTTGTAGGATTTTCCTATTTTGGTCCAATGCTTACCTCAAATAGAATCCATTTGGGTGAATTCTGCTGCCATAAACCCATTTAATCTCAAGGCTGCTATTGTAAATAACAGGATTAAAAACAAACATACCTCAGTCATCATTGATTCATATCTCAGACACAGACAATAAAATATATATCTATTAAAATATATTACCAGGATAAAAATGTTAAAAACCATAATCCATTTTTGTCAGTCTTCAAGGTTTTAAATTTTTAATAAAATGAATCAGCCTTATCTTGATGAACTATTTTATAATGAATGCAGGAATAGAGATACTGAAATTTAAAAATAGGAAGAGAAAGAAAGCAAAGCCAGCAGATTTTTTGAAGAATTATTCTAATATCTGGCTTGTGAAACATTTTTCTTTACCCCATACCTGATTTTTAAAATTGAGTTAGTAAAAGCTTTTAGTCATTTCAATTAGTGACTATTTTCTTCTTCAATCAGCAAGTGCTTTTATTATTATTTTTTTAACCAATGATTCAGGTATTGTGGATGGCATTTAAATTAGTCAGGGTTATGCAGATACAATCAGCAAAATCCAGAATGTGAAAATTTCTAAAGGACAAAAGACACAGTTCTCATAACAAAAAAATTGCTTTCATTACTTGACTTTAAAAGAAATATTCGGGCTGCTCTGGGGAGAATAAATTGTAGAGAGGCAAAAGGGGATGTGCAGAGACCTGTTAGGAGTCTATTGCACTACCTACACAAGAGTGATGGTGACTTAGTCCAGGATTTTAGTGGATGAGAAATGGTCAGATTTGAAAATATATTGATGTTAAATCAACAGCATTTGCAGATGGGCTGTATGTGGTGACTGCAGGAGAAGTAGGTTTCAGAAGGAAAATCAGGAGTTCAGTTTGGGACAAGGTAAGTTTGAGATGTTAATTAAATACCCAGGTGGTAGTCAGCTGCAAATATCAGCCAAGAGTTCATGGGTAAGTTCTGGGTAGGGGATATAAATTTGGTAGTCTTTAGGGTAATGACATGTTTTAAACCATTAGAATAAATTAGATTACCAAGTGAGTGTAGATACAGTAAAGAGATATCTGTTGTTTCAAAATATTATGGAACAAACAACCTCAAAATGTAGTGACTTAAAACAATAATCATCTATTCTCACAGATCTGTGGTTGGGTGACAGTTGGTCAGTCTAGATTGGGCTTGACTGTGGTGATTTGGTTCTGTTCTACATGTCTCTCATGCTTCCCCTGGAGTTGAGGCAGGACAGGTAGTCAAGGAAGTGACCATGTCCTCAGAACACAGCCACCGTGGTGACCATACAGTCAACATAGGCCCCAGCATTTGCACTGTAGTCCAGCTCATTCAAACAAGCTATCTCCAGAAGGGAATTTCCCCTGTAAAGAGCATATGCATTTTGATTTTTACCTGTCTTCAGACTGACCCTTTGCTCATTATAATACTATAAAACACACTCCTGGGTGGAGATTTAAAATGCTAATGAGACATGCAATGTATGAACAAGCATGTATGGCTACTGTACATGGGCACCCAGAGGACCACTCACCATGCTTACTAGTAACACCTCTTCCCACATCTTTACGAATAATCATGGAAGACTCCCAGAAAGGGAATTCCCTAGTGCCAGTCTTCACTATCTCATCCTTACGAGCAACCTGCCCTGAACTCTGTCTCTCAGGGTATACTGTCTATTCTGCACTTAACTTTCAAAATATTATTTTGCCTTTGCAATACATTGTTCTATGCTGTGTCTCCTTTGCTGTGTGTCTCTTGTTTAAATTATTATAAGTGAAGAAGACGAGGACTGAGGTGTCAGGTTTGAGCCCAAGCTGAGGTCTGAGGGGAATTGGTAGATGGTGGCAGGTAGCTGGAAAAACACTTGAGGAATTGTAGGCAGCTGCAACATGGCTTTATTCTTTCTCTGGGCACAAGCCATATGGACAGCACCAGCAGGGTAGTTATACCTTTTACAGATAATAGTGGCTCCGAGCCAAGCACGAACTCATGTGAGTGGTTATCTAATGCATCTCACTCACATGGTGTGGTTTCATAATGTGTGCAGTTGTGCGCCTGCTCTCCAAACCTGCTGAGTCATGCTGCACCAGAAGGCCACTTCAGCCTACTCCAGACTAAAGCACAGCTATTACCCTTACATGAGATATCACAGCAGCCATCAACAGAACCAGTGGACCAGTCCAGGAATATTTTATTCATGGCAGTGCCAGAGATACAAGTAAAAGTAAAAACATATAAGGCCTTTAGAGTCTTGGCTCAGAGCTGGTATAGCATCACTTCCTCTTTGTTCTGTTGGCCATTTATAGCTGAATTCCAAGTCAAGCGTCAGCAAAATTATAAGGCTAAGGCATTGATACGGGGAAGGGTGAAAAATTTGAGTTCAACAGTGCAATCTTTCATATGTAAAAGGCTAAGTCCTGGTGCATTTTAACTTTAAAAGTTCAAGTTTGAATCCTACATCTACCCTGCTCCCATTTCTAATCAGGAGCCAAATGCAGACTATGCTAGACATAATCTTAACCATTGCTCTCCCTTGACTAAGAAAGTCTGTAGCAAGATGGTCCAGCATACCAAAGTGTGCTATCTGTGGGTCCAAGGAGAAAACAAAACAAAAAACACCTTGAGGAAGAAAAGAAGGAGACATCTCCACCTGAAACTGGAAAAATAAAGTTTCATCTCCAATAGTAGCGTCTGATGAGGCAACTAATGTGAGCACATGACACCATATCAAACAGACATCAGAAGCTCAGCACAAGCAGCAAGTTCTAATTTTAAATAGACAATAACCAGGAATTTTTTAAGCTGCTAAGATGCACAATATGCATTTTTATTCTGTTTTTTTGTTGGGAACAGACTTTATTTTTAACCATGACAACTATTTTATAAATATATAGTAAAATTGCCAGGCTTTTGAGTTTCTTTAGAAGTAAGGACATCAAAGAAACAATTATTTTAAAGGATATAATCTGCTATTACCAGCATAGGCTACAAGCTTGGATTTTTGAAAAATAATAAATTACATGGTACTAGTACCTGTATACTATGTTGTATTTTAAGCTGCTTTTACTGGATCTAGAGATTTTTGGAGCTCAAGGGGCCTCAGAGATGATAATCACCTAATTTTATAGATAAAGTAACAGACGTCCAGAGAAGTTAAACTGATTCTTTGATCGTAAAAGAATTGGATTGTGTGACTTGTAACCTAGTGGCAGAAAAAAGGGGTAGCTGAGGGAGGCTCTACCCAGACCTCCACTCCATCCATGACATTATCTCCAGTCATTCCCTTGCACCTGTCTTCCTTTAGTAACCAATCCAGTAAAACATGTGATTCACTGAGCAACCAAAGCTCCTGACCATGTTTCCCCAGGTGCCCCTTCCCCACGCCCAGCGTGTATTAGTCCCTTTTCAAGCTGCTGATAAAGATATACCCAAAACTGGGAAGAAAAAGGGTTTAATTGGACTTACTATTCCACATGGCTGGGGAGGCCTCAGAATCATGGTAGGAGGCAAAAGACACTTCTTACATAGTGGCGGCAAGAGAAAAATAAGGAAGAAGCAAAAGTGGAAACCTCTGATAAACCCATCAGATCTCGTGAGACTTATAAACTACCATGAGAATAGCAAGGGAAAAACTGGCCCCTGTGATTCAATTACCTCCCCCTGGGTCCCTCCCACAACACATGGGAATTCTGGGAGATACAATTCAAGTTGAGATTTGAGTGGGGACACAGCCAAACCATATCATTCTGCCCCTAGCCCCTTCAAATCTCATGTCCGCACATTTCAAAACCAACCATGCCTTCCCAACAGTCCCTCAAAGTCTTAACTCATTTCAGCATTAACCCAGAAGTCCACAGTCCAAAGTCTCATCTGAGACAAGGTAAGTCCCTTCCACCTATGAGCCTGTAAAATCAAAAGAAAGCTAGTTACTTCCTAGATACAATGGGGGTACAGGCATTGGGTAAATACAGCTGTTCCAAATGGGAAAAGTTGGCCAAAACAAAGGGGTTACAGGCCCCATGCAACTCTGAAATCCAGCGGGGCAATCAAATTTTAAAGCTCCAAAATGATCTCCTTTGACTCTAGGTCTCACATCCAGGTCACACTGATGCAAGAGGTGGGTTCCCATGGTCTTGGGTAGCTTCGCCCCTGTGGCTTTGTAGGGTACAGCCTCCCTCCCGGCTGCTTTCACAGGCTGTCATTGAGTGTCTGCAGCTTTTCCGGGTGCGTGATGCAAGCTGTAAGTGGATCTACCATTCTGGGGTCTGGAGGACAGTGACCCTCTTTTCACAGCCCCGCTAGGCAGTGCCCCAGGAGGGACTCTGTGTGGGGGTTCCAACACCACATTTCCCTTCCGCACTGCCCTAGCAGAGGTTCTTCATGAGGGCCCTGCCCCTGCAGCAAACTTTTGCCTGGTCATCCAGGCATTTCCATACATCTGAAATCTAGGTGGAAGTTCCCAAACCTCAATTCTTGACTTCTGTGTCCTTGCAGACTCAACGCCATGTGGAAGCTGCCAGGGCTTGGGGCTTTCCCCCTCTGAAGCCACACCCTGAGCTCTACGTTGGCCGCTTTCAGACATGGCTGGGGCGGCTGGGACACAGGGCACCAAGTCCCTAGGCTGCACACAGGAAAGGAACCCTGGGTCCTGCCCACAAAACCACTTTTTCCTCCTACACCTCTATGCCTGTGATGGGAGGGGCTGCCATGAAGGTCTCTGACATGGCCTGGACGCATTTTCCCCATGGTCTTGGGGATTAACATTAGGCCCCTTTCTACTTATATAAATTTCTGCAGCCGGCTTGAATTTCTTCTCAGAAAATGGGTTTTTCTTTTTTACTGCATCGTCCGGCTGCAAATTTTCTAAACTTTTATGCTCTGTTTCCCTTTTAAAATGGAGTGCTTTTAATAGGACCCAAGTCATCTTTTGAATGCTCTGCTGCTTAGAAATTTCTTCTGCCACATACCCTAAATCATCTCTCCCAAGTTTAAAGTTCCACAGATCTCTAGGGCAGGGGCAAAATGCCACCAGTCTCTTTGCTAAAACATAACAAGAGTTACTTTTGCCCCAGTTCCCAACAAGTTCCTCATCTTTATCTGAGACCACCTCAGCCTGGATTTCATTGTCCATATCATTATCAGTATTTTTGTCAAAGCCATTCAACAAGTCTCTAGGAGGTTCCAAACCTTCCCACATTTTCCTGTCTTCTTCTGAGCCTTCCAAACTGTTCCAACCTCTGCCTGCTACCCAGTTCCAAAGTCGCTTCCACATTTTCAGGTATATTTTCAGCAACGCCCCACTCTACTGGTACCAATTTACTGTATTAGTCCATTTTCATGCTGCTGATAAAGACACACCCAAAACTGGGAAGAAAAAGAGATTTAATGGACTCACAATTCCACATGGCTCCAGAGGCCTCAGAATCATGGCAGGAGGCAAAGGCACTTCTTACATGGTGGTGGCAAGAGAAAAATGAGGAAGAAGCAAAAGTGGAAACCCCTGACAAACCCATCAGATCTCGTGAAACTGATTAACTACCACAAGAATAGCATGGGAAAGACCTGCCCCCATGATTCAATTACCTTCCCCTGGGTCCCTCGAACAACATGTGGGAATTCTGGGAGATACAATTCAAGTTGAGATTTGGGTGAGGATGCAGCCAAACCATATCACAGCCCAATGTAGAAATCCTAAAATAGCCACTCTCCACTCTCAGAAATAACTTTTCTTCACTGTTTTATAGACAGAATGCTTGTGTTTTCCCAAAATTCGTATGTTGAAACCCTTCCTACTAATGTGAATTATGAGGTGGGATCTTTAGGAGTCAATTAGGATTAGATTAGGTCATGAGGGTAGAGCCCTCATGTATGGGATTAGTGTATCAGAGTCCTGAGAGAGTTCGCTTCCTCTTTCTCCGCCAGGTAAGAATACAAGAAGCAGCAATTTGCATCCCTCACCAGAATCTCATCATTCTGGCACTCTGATCTCAGGCTGCCAGCATCCACAACTGCAAGCAATAAATTTGTGTTATAAGCCACCCAGTCTATGGCATTTTGTTATAGTAGCTTGAACAGGCTAAGATATTTACCATCACCAGTGTCTAGAGTTTTATGGGCCTTGAAGAACAGGAGGATTTTTTGGTATCCTGTTGTTTCCTTTATTCCCTTTATTTTATCTTTATGTGTCTTTCTCTACCTGACTTGCACTTAGGGCTAGATTTTGGAGATAGTGTTTGTGCACATCTGTGGGAAATAATACAGCTTTTCTTCCCTGTAGGCACAAACTAGTTGGCCTATTTAGGCTTAATATTTTCTTGGGAGTTTAATTATTCTTTTCTTTTGGCCAGTGTCTTTTCCAGCAGTAGCAACTTAGGGCCTTCCAAAGTCCTTTCTGGGACTTAATGTGGTGCTTTTCCCTTTTAGGGTACTCTGTGAAGTTCAGGAAGTGATTACTTTGCATACTTGCTCTGAAATAACATCTAAAATTCAACGTGTTCTAACTCAGCCTTTTATTAATGCTGTGAAAGATAAAGCCAGATACTACTTAAACTGGTAAGGACATATTTTAATCAGTA
Source organism: Homo sapiens (assembly GCF_000001405.40). NCBI lineage: Eukaryota > Metazoa > Chordata > Mammalia > Primates > Hominidae > Homo > Homo sapiens. The sequence continues at coordinate 47,180,310 of NC_000018.10, read as the reverse complement.
ATATACTGTTGCAATAGGAAAGAGGATCTAGCATGAACTGAACTCAGCTTCAATTTGTACACAGGTGGCAGAGCTGAGTAGCTTGGTACCACAAGCACGTGCCACCACTCCTGGGCTCAAGCAGTCCTCTCACCTGAGCCTCCCAAAGTGCTGGGATTACAGGCATGAGCCCGGCTGACAGGGTGTTTCAAAGGGAGAATGAAGGAGTAGGGAGGAAGATGAGTGGTGTCTCAGTAGAGACAGGGAAGTTAAACTTCCAGGATATAAAGCAGGCAAAAAAAAGTGAAAAGGGTAGACTGGCTTAGCCTCCCAGCCTACATATTCCTCCCATGCTGGATGCTTCTACCCTTGAACATTGGACTCCAAGTTCTTCAGCTTTGAGACTTGGACTGGCTTCCTTGCTCCTCAGCTTGCAGACGGCATATTGCGGGACCTTGTGTGAGTTAATATCCTATAAACGACAAAGGATTGGTTGATGCAGTTAGGCCAGCTGTGTCTGTTGGCTGCCTTCCCATAGAGATTGGAAGACAGAGGCTCTTAACCTTCCTGATGATTGATTACATTTTAAAGGGATGGCTTTCAGGTCCTTGAGAAAGATGCTCCTGAGTTGTAGGAGAAACATGTACATCTCAAAGGGACAGGAGAAGGATTCACAATTGTAAGCCCTCTTGAGTAAACGCTCTAAGAAAGGAAGGTTGGGGCCTATTGTAAGGTGTTGGCTAAAACAAACAGTAAATTTTTTGGCAGCCTGAAGCTTTTTCAGGCAAGTAGCAACAGTAGCAACTGAATGCAACAGCGAGCTGTTAGAAACTATGTTAGTATTCAGCCAAACACAGCGGCTCACGCCTGTAATCCCAGCACTGTGGGAGGCTGAGGTGGATGGAATCACGAAGTCAGGAGATCAAGACCATCCTGGCTAACACGGTGAAACCCTGTCTCTACTAAAAATACAAAAAATTAGCTGGGCGTAGTGGCACGCGCTTATAGTCCCAGCTACTCAGAAGGCTGAGGCAGAAGAATCGCTTGAACCCAGGAGGCGGAGATTGCAGTGAGCTGAGATGGCACCACTGCCACTGCACTCCAGCCTGGTGACAAAGCAAGACTTTGTCTTAAAATAAATAAATACAATTAAAAAAAGAAACTATGTTAGTATTCAAGTGTTTTAGTGTTGGGTAAAGGAGATACACAATATGCATATCATTTGTGTGGAGAATCTGTAGTGTTTTTTTTTTTTTTTTTTTTTTTTTTTTGAGATGGAATCTCACTCTGTAACCCAGGCTGGAGTGCAGTGGCGTGATCTCGGCTCACTGCAAGCTCCGACTCCCGGGTTCATGCCGTTCTCCAGCCTCAGCCTCCCGGGTAGCTGGGAATATAGGTGCCCGCCACCATGCCCGGCTAATTTATTTGTATTTTTAAAAAATAGAGATGGGGTTTCATTGTGTTAGCCAGGATGGTCTAGATCTCCTGACCTTGTGATCCACCCGCCTCGGCCTTCCAAAGTGCTGGGATTACAGGTGTGAGCCACCGCGCCCAGCCTGTTTTGTTTTTTAGACAGGGTCTTGTTCTGTCACCCAAGCTGGAGTGCAATGGCTCAATCTCAGCTCACTGCAACCTCCGTTCCCTGGGTGCAAGTGATCCTCCCACCTCAGCCTCCTTAGTAGCTGGGACCACAGGTGTATACCACTAAGCTGAGGCATTTTTTTTTTTTTTTTGTATTTTTGGTAGAGACAGGGTCTTGCCATGTTCCCCAGGCTGAGAATCTGTAGTTTTTAAGTGGCCAATATTGAGGTGTTGTCAAGAAGAGGGCTCAGCCTGGCGGGATGACCCATTCCTGTAATAGAGTGTATTAGTCAGTATTCTCTAGAGGGACAGAACTAATAGGAGATATATATACAAAGAGGGAGCTTATTCGGTACTATTAACTCACACGATCACAAGATCCCACAATAAGCCGTCTGCAAGCTGAGGAAGCCAGTCTGAGTCCCAAAGCTGAAGAACTTGAAGTCCAACGTTCAAGGGTAGGAAGCATCCAGCATGGGAGAAAGATGTAGGCTGGGAGGCTAAGCCAGTCTACCCTTGTTGAGAGCAAGCCCCCAACAGTCTGGCCATAAACTAGCCCCAAAACTGGCCATAAATAAAATCTCTGCAGCACTATAACATGTCCATAATGGCCCTAACGCCCAAGCTGGAAGGTTGTGGGTTTACGGGAATGAGGGCAAGGAATACCTGGCCCACCCAGGTTGGAAAACTGCTTAAAGGCATTCTTAAGCCACAAACAAAAGCCTGAGAGATCTGTGTCTTAAGGATGTGTTCCTGCTGCAATTAATTCGGCCCATCCCTTCATTTCCCATAAGGGATACTTTTAGTTAATTTAACATCTATAGAAACAATGCTAATGACTGGTTTGCTGTTAATAAATACGTGGGTAAATCTTTGTTCGGGGATCTCAGCTCTGAAGGCTATAAGACCCCTGATTTCCCACTTCACACCTCTGTGTGTGTCTTTAATTCCTCTAGCACCGCTGGGTTAGGGTCTCCCCAACCGAGCTGGTCTTGGCATACCCTTTTCATTGGTTTTTTGCCTGCTTTATATCCTGGCCACTCCAGCAGCTGATTAGATGGTGCCCACTTGGATTAAGAGTGGACCTGTCTTTCCCAGCCCACTGACTCAAATGTTAATCTCCTTTGGCAACACCCTCACAGACACACCCAGGATCAATACTTTGCATCCTTCAATCCAATCAAGTTGACACTCAGTCTTAACCATCACATACAGCTAAGCAGGAGGCTAAGGCAGGAGGACTGCTCGAGCCAGGAGCTGAAGGCTGCATTGAGCTATGATGGTGCCACTGCACTCCAGCCTGGGCAACAGAGCAAGACCCTGTTCCTGGGGGGGGAAAAAAAAAAAGAAGAGGCTCAGAGGATCTTGGTTGGAGTTTGGTCAAGGAGGGGATGTTTCTCACTGAGTAATTTTAAAACAGTTATTTTGTTTTAGCATTCTGAAATCTGAAATGGGAATATTAGTATCTCCTGTATCTCCTGGGAGCATCAAGTGCAGTACTGAGCAATAGAAATATAATGCAAGCGTCACATGTCATTTACAGTATCTTCATAACCACATTAAATAAAATAATTAAAAATAAACAAGAAACCTTCCTCCCTTCCTTCCTTCTTTCCTCTTGCTCTGTCACCCAGGCTGGATCTCGGCTCACTGCAGTCTCTGCCTCCCGGGTTCAAGTGATTCTCTTCTCTCAGCCTCCTGAGTAGCTGGGATTACAGGAGCCCACCATCACACCCAGCTAATTTTTGTATTTTCAGTAGAGACAGGGTTTTGCCATGTTGGCCAGACTGGTCTCGAACTCTTGACCTTAGGTGATTTGCCCGCCTCGGTTTCCCAAAGTGCTAGAATTACAGGCGTGAGCCACTGCGCCCGGCCTCAAAATATTTTCATTTCAACATGTTATCAACATTTAAAAATTATTGGGAGGCCGAGGAGGGGGGAATCACGAGGTCAGGAGATTGAGACCATCCTGGCTAACACGGTGAAACCCCGTCTCTACTAAAAATACAAAAAATTAGCCGGGCGTGGTGGCGGGCACCTGTAGTCCCAGCTACTTGGGAGGCTGAGGCAGGAGAATGGCGTGAACCCGGGAGTCGGAGCTTGCAGTGAGCCGAGATCGTGCCACTGCACTCCAGTTTGGGCGACAGGGCCAGACTCCATCTCAAAAAAAAAAAAATTATTGGGATATTCTTCATCCTTGTTCCAGTTCCAAGTGTGTGAAATCCGGTGTGTATTTTGCACCTGCAGCACTGGCCACATCAGAGCATTGATTGCACATCACCGGTCTAGACAAGCGGCAGGACTTGCAGTCTTCAGCGAGGGGCGGTTCTTAGCCAGATGGAGGCGGGGCTTCCCGGAGAGTTCGTTTTGGGCCCCATCGGCTTCCGTAGGAAGGCGCCGGCCGTGGAGGCGCCACGTCCCTTGCGGCGGCGGGAGAGAAATCGCTTGGACTTCGGGGCGGCCTCGGACGGCCATGGCCTTTACCCTGTACTCACTGCTGCAGGCAGCCCTGCTCTGCGTCAACGCCATCGCAGTGCTGCACGAGGAGCGATTCCTCAAGAACAGTGAGTGGGACCGCGGGGCGCGGGCTGGGGCGGCGGCGGAGTCCCCGGGGGCGCGTAACCTAATGGGGCCGCGTGAGGGGACACCAAGGGCCGGGACAGAAGAACAGCGGAAGGCTCGGCTTGGAGTGGAAGCCGAGCCTTTCCTCTCATCAGGTTTGGGCTCAACAGCCGGGAGAATATTCAACAGACACCCGCTGTGCAGGGCCCAGGGGGTTGGGGTGGAGGGATATAGAAGTCAGTCAGGGACGCCTCTGCTTGCGATTACTTCAGGTCAGTAATTTAATTCAGTTTTCTGTGACTACTTTTTTTTTTGAGGGGGAGTCTCGCTCTTTTGCCCAGGCTGAAGTGCAGTGTCGCGGTCCTGTGACTACTTTTAATAGTCGAAAACCCGGGGTCTGAGTTTCGGGCTAAGAGTTGGGGGTGTGGGGCCGGGCGCGGTGGCTCCCGCCTGTAATCCCAGCACTTTGGCAGGCCGAGGCCGGCGGATCATGATGTCAGGAGTTTGGGACCAGCCTGGCCAACATGGTAAAACCCCGTCTCTACTAAAAATACAAAGATTAGCCGGACGTGGTGGTGGAAATACAAAAATTAGCCGGGCGGGAGGCTGAGGCAGGAGAATCACTTAAACCTGGGAGGCAGAGGTTGCAGTGAGCCGAGATTGCGCCATTGCACTCCAGCCTGGGCAATAGAGTGAGACTCCGTCTAACAAAACAAAACAAACAAAACAAAACGAGTTGGGTGTGGAGGGGAAGGAGGCGTGACCCATTTTGGAGCATCAGTAGTTCACTAACTGATGGAAGGCAATAAGTGTTCCTGGGCTTTAGGAATTACAGGAAGGGAACGTGTTGGAGTTATCAGGACATTCAGACACTCATGTTCCAAGAAAAGTTTATTCAGATAGCTTATTGGGTGCATAGAGTGTGCCAAAAACTCTGCTAGAATTTAGAAATTCAAAAATGAAAACACAAGTTATACCTTCCAGGACCTCACGTTGTGTACCAAGTATGCCCGTTTGAATCACTGAAACGTAAACCCAGGAGCAAGATTGATTCATTTCATTTACTTCAGAAGATATTTATTGAGTGCAAAGTATGTGCCAGGCCCATTTATAGTAACTGAAGTTACAGCAGCTACTCTGCCCTTCTGATGGAAGTTAATCTAAATAAAAACTAAACAAATGACAATAACAAGTATAGAGAGTATTATGTAAGAGAAGTACGGGCAGATACTAACTTGTGTATCTGCGAAAGCTTCTTGGAGGAAGCGTGTCTAACCTGAAATCTGATACATGAGTAAACATTAACTCGGTGAAGGTGAAGGGTTGGGAGGAGCTGGAAGGGTGAGGAGAGCTTTAAGCAGTGTAGACCTGGTGTGAAAACTGAGGCAGGTGAGAAGAGGGTCTTAAGACAGCGACATGACCAGATTTGTGTTATTTGCAAGATCCTTGAGGCTACAATACGGAGGAAAGATTGGAAGGGAAAGCAGTGGATGTGGGAAGACCCATTTTTTTTTTTTTTTGAGACGGAGTCTCACCCTGTCCCCCCGGCTGGAGTGCAGTGGCGCAATCTCGGTTCACTGCATCCTCCGCCTCCCAGGTTCAAGCGATTCTCCTGCCTCAGCTTCCCGAATGGCTGGGATTACAGGCACGCACCACCAAGCCTGGCTAATTTTTGTATTTGTAGTAGAAATGGGGTTTCACCATGTTGGTCAGGCTGGTCTCGAACTCCTGACCTCGTGATCTGCCCACCTCGGCCTCCCAAGGAAGAACAATTCTAAATAGGGCAAGTAGATACAAGTGGGTATGACAACAATAATAATAGCTAATACTTACGTAGCACTTACGTACAGGATCTGTATCAAGTGCCTTACATATATTAACTGGTGTAGCCTTCACAGCAACTCTATGAGAGAGTTTCTGTTTTCCAGTGGAAAACTAGAATCACAAAGAGAGTAGGTGGCTTTTGTAAGAACACACAGGTAGAAAGTAGAAAGTGGTGGAGCTAGGATTCAAATGTCATCTTCCAGAGTTCATCTGTTCACCGCTATCCAGAAAAGTAGAAGGGATCAAGTTGGGGTTTGAATTGTGTCCCTCAAAAAGATGTGTTGAAGTCCCAACCCTTGATACCTATGAAGGTGACCTTGTTTGGAAACAGAGTCTTTGCAGATATAATCAAGTTAAGATGAGATCATACTGGGTTAGATTGAGGGCTTTAGAGCCAATGACTGGTGCCCTTATAAGAAAAGAGAGATTTGGAGACACACAGATGCACACGCAGAAGATCATGTGACAACTGAGGCAGAGATTGGAGTGATGCATATATAAGACAAGGTATACCAAGGATTTCCAGCAACTACTGGATGTTAAGAGAGAGGCATGGATGAGATTATCCCTCAGAGCCCCCCAGAAGGAACCAACCCTGCTTACGCCTTGATTTCAGACTTTTAGCCTCCAAAATTATGAAAAAATTTCTGTTAAGCCACCCAGTTTGTGCTGCTTTGTTATGGCAGCCCTAGGAATTTTATGTGGATCAAAAGATATTTTAAAAGTAGAGGCTGGGCATGGTGGCTCATGCCTAGCACTTTAGGAGGCCAAGGTGGGCAGATCACTTGAGGTCATGAGTTTGAGACCACTCTGGACAACATGGTGAAACCTGTCTCTACTAAAAATACAGAAATTAGCAGGGTGTGGTGGTGGGCGCCTGTAATCCCAGCTACTCTGGAGGCTTAGGCAGGAGAGTCACTTGCCTGGGAAGCAGAGGTTGCATTGAGCTGAGATCACGCCACTGCACTCCAACCTGGGTGACAGAGCAAGACTATGTCTCGAAGGAAGAAAAAAAAGGTATAAAAGGCAGAATTTACTCTTGGACTTTGGGAATAAGAGTGGATGAAGTCAAAGATCTCTTGGCCCTCTGGGTTAAGCCACTGAGTGAAGGGTAATACCTTTACTGAGTTAAACAGTATTGGAGGAAAATTTGGGGTGATGGTGCTAGGTAAGAAGGTGAAGATATAATGAAATAAATTTTAGTCATGCTCAGTTTGAGATTTCTATGAGATACGCAAGTGGAGATGTAAAATAGCCAGTTGCATTTAAATCCATAGAACAGCAGCACGAATTAGGGCGGAGATTGAAATTTGAGTTTGTCAAGCATAGATAATAAATGAAGTCATGTGAGAAGATGAAATTATGAAAGAAAACAGTAGAGTACAAAAAGAATTGGTGCCCCAGACAGCCCTAGAATCTCCTCTAGTATTTATTGTTTAGGTAGAGATGGAAGAACTGACAGGAGAACTTGACAAGTGAGCAAAACAGAGAGATGGAAAAACCTAGACAGTGGGATTTCACCAGAGTCAGGAAGTGTTTGAAGAGATACTACAACAGTGGGATGTTACTGAGTAGCTTAGTACAGTAGTCCCCCCTCATCTGTGGTTTGTCTTTCCACACTTTTCAGTTGTAGCCTGCCATCTGAAAGTACTAATTGGAAAATTGCAGAAATAAGCAATTCATGTTTTAAATTGCAAGCTGTTCTGAGTAGCGTGATGAATCCTGTATCATGAGGACATGAATCTTCCCTTTGTCCAGCATATGCACATTGTATATGCTACCCACCTATTAGTCACTTGGTTATCAGATTGAAAAAAATACACTACATATACGGTTGGGTACTATCTTCTGTTTCAGGCATCTACTGTGGAATCTTGAAGTGTATCTCCAAGATTAAGGGGGAGGACTACTGTAAGTTAAGGACTGAAAAGAATCCTGATTCAGGGTAGTGGAGGTCATTGGTGATTTTATAAGAGCAATTACAGCAGTGGGTAAAATCCAGATTGGAATGGATTGGGAAGTGAGTAGAAAGTTATAAAATGGAGACAGTAATATTATCCAATGTTATCTTTAAGTTGGAGGAAAAGAAGAAAAGGTAGCTTGAAGGGATATGGGGGTGTGTTTTATGGTGGTGGTTTTGTTTTTAGAGCTTGAGGTATCTCAGCAGTGACAGTGAAAACTAGCCCTGTCTCTTCAACAAGTCAGCACTATGAAGAGAGTGGAGGAGGGGATGATCAGTGAGGCATATACACAAAATGTTTTCTAAGAAAGACCAAAACAGAAGGCCCAGCACCGTGGCTCATGCCTGTAATCCCAGCACTTTGGGAGGCCAAGGTGGGCGGATCACTTGAGGTCAGGAGTTCGAGACCAGCCTGGCCAACGTGGAGAAACCCCGTCTCTACTAAAAATACAAAAAATTAGCTGGGTGTGGTGGCACCCAGCTACTGGGGAGGCTGAGGCAGGAGAATGGCTTGAACCCAGGAAGCGGAGGTTGGAGTGAGCTGAGATCCCACCACCACCCTACAGCCTGGGCGACACAGTGAGACCCTGTCTCAAAAAAAAAGACCAAAAAAGAGAAATGTCAGTCTGCTAAATCTCAGAACAGTAATAGTCTCTGTCATTTGAGCCACAACCTGCTCTCGCAGCCTCCACAAAAAAAAAGCAAAAGGAAGGAAGTAATAAAGATTACAGTGAAAGTTAATGAAATACATAGTAGAAAAATACTAGAATTAACAAAACCAAAAGCTGATTCCTTGACAAAATTGACAAGTCTTTAGCTAGACTGACTAGACTCAAGTAAATGGGAAATCCGAATAGACCTATAACATACAAAGAGAGATAATGAATAATTTAAAAACTTCTCATGAAGTCAAGCCTTCAGCATTGCTTTCTACCAAACATTTAAAGAAGACTTAATACCAATTTCTCACAAACTCTTCCAAAAGATGGAGGGGATAGGACACTTTTCAATTCATGCCATGATGTCAGTATTAACCTAATATGAAAACCAGACAGCGACATCACAAGAAAAGAGACTATCGACCTATATCTCTTTTGAATATAGCTGCAAAAATTCTCAACGAAATACTGGCAGACTAAATCTAGCAACCTATAAAAGAGATTATATACCATGAACAAGTGGGATTTGATTTATCTTGGGAGTACAGGATTGGTTTAACATTTGAAAATCAGTTATGTAATCAGTGATATTAATAAAAATCACACAGTCTTCACAAAAAATGCAGAAAGGCATTTGACAAAAATCCAGTACCCTTTCATGATAAAAAAAAAATACTCAACAAACTAACAATAGGAGGGAACTTTCTTAATCTGATAAGGAGCATGTATGAAAATTCCCTAGTTAACATCATACTTAATGCTGGAACACTAAATTCGTTCCCTGATGTGGAATAAGACAAGGATGTCCTCTCTTGCCATTTTTATTTAACATCATAATGGGGATTCTAACCAGGACAGTTAGACAAGAAAAAAGAAAAGACATCCAGATTATGAGGTTGAAAAAATAAAACTGTGTTTATAGATGACATAATTTTGTATATATAGAAAATCCTAAAGAGTCCACTACAAGGCTATTAGGACAAATGAATGAGTTTAATAAGATTGCAGGATTTAGGAACACTATATAAAAATCATTTGTTTTTCTGTGCACAATGAACAATTGTAAATGAAATAAAGGAAATAATTTTATTTACAATATTAAGAAGGATGAAATACTTAGGAATAAATTTAACAGTACAAGTTTCATGCTATGAGAACTATAAGGCATTGTTGAAAGAAAGAAGATTAAAGATCTTTTTAAAGATAAAGACTTCCCATATTCACAGATCAGAATACTTAATATTATTAAGATGATAGTACTTAATATTGATTTATAGGTTTAATGTGGTGTCTATCAAAATCCCAGTTAGCTTTTTTGAAGAAACTGATGAGTTGATCCTAGAGAAAATGCAAGGAATCCAGAATAGTCAAGACAATCTTGAAAGAGAAGAACAAAATTGGAGGAGTTGTGCTTTCCAATTTTAAAACTTAGTGCAAAGGTCCAATAATCAAAACAGGATGATGCTGGCATAAGGGGAGACATAGATCAATGAAATAGAATTTAAAGTCCATTAAAAAATCCTTACATTTATATCAATTGATTTTCAATAAGGGTGCCAAATAGCCTTTTCAACAAATTGTGCTATAATAACTGAATAGCCATATAAAAAAAAGTAAAATTGGACTCCTACCTCACACCATCTTCAAAAATTAACTCATAATCATAGACTTACAAACTGTAAGATAAAAAGCTATACAACCCTTAGAAGAACATACAGACAAAAAGCTCTGTGAGTTTTGGTTGGGTAAAACCATCTCAGATACGATACCAGAAGCACAAGTGCCAAAGAAAAAATAGATAAATTGGATTTCATCAAAATTTTAAAAAGTTCATGCTTTAAAAGACAACCACAGACTGTGATAAAATATTTACAACTCAGGTATCTAATGAGTGATTTCTATCCAAAATATATAAAGAACTATTTGAACTAAATAATAAAAGATAAATAACTCAATTAAAACATTTACAAAGGAACTGAATAGAATTTTTTCCAAAGAACATAAGCAAATGATCAATAAGCACATGAATAGATGGTCAACATTATTAATCATTAGAGAAGTGCAAACCGAAACCATAATGAGATACCACTTCACACCAACCAGGATGGCTATAATAAAAAAGTTAATAAATAATAAATATAATAAATAAAAAAGTTAAAAACACTAAATAATAACAAGTATAGGTGAGGTGGTGAAGAAATTGGAATTGTCGTATATTGTTAAAGAGAATGTAAAATGGTTCAGCCACTTCGGAAAACAGTCTGGCTGTTCCTCAAAATGTTAAACATGGTTACTATATGACACAGTGATTCTACTCCTAGGTATACCAAGAGTATTGAAAACAAACATGGAATGTTCAAAATAGCATTATTCATAAAAGCCAAAAAATGGAAACAACCCAGATGTCCATCAGCTGATGACTAAACTGTAGATATCTATACTGTAGAATACTATTTGGCAAAAAAGTAATGAAGTATTATTACACACTACAATATGGATGAACCTTGAAATCATTATATTAAGTGAAAGAAGCTAGTCGTAAAAGACCACATATCATATGATACTGTTTATAAGAAAGACCACATAGCATGTGATACTCTTTATGCTAGGCAATTTTATATAGACAGAAAGTAGATTAGTGGTTGCTTGGTGCTGGAGGGCCTGAGGTTGTGGGAAGTGGTTGCCAATGTGTACAGGGTTTCTTTTGGGGTGGTAAAAATACTCTAAAATTGAATGTGGTGATAGTTGCACAACTCTGAATGTACTTCAAACCATTTAATTATATGTATGAATTGTAAGGTATCCAGAAAGCTGGAGGGTCTTTGTTTGTTTTTTGAATTACACATTCTTACCTGAAAATAGGAAGTTTTGATAAGGTTATAGAACAGTGTGAACTCATACTCTGCTGATGGAAGTATAAATTGGCACAACCACTTTGAAAAACTTTTTGGCAGAAGTAACTAAAGCTCATCATACACATCTTCTATGGTCCTACAGTTTCACTCTTATACAAATGCTCATAAATATGTGCACCAAAAGACATGTATGAGAATGTTCATAGCAGCATAATCATAATGAAAATTAGAAATGGTAGAATGACTAAATTGTATTCATATAATGGAATGCTGCATAACAATGAAAAAGAATGAACTGTGGTCCTACAAAGCAATATGGATGACTGTGACACAATTTGAGCAAAAGACAGGCACAAAAGAATATATATTGGATAATTCCTTTACCTAAAGTTTAAAAATAGACATAACTAATCTATATTGCTATCTTCCTTCATGGTTTTGAAATCTAATGAGCTTTTAATACTCACTAATGCTACAGGCTGAATAATGTTCATTTCATCTTGTTAGTTATGTTTAATAACAAGTCTTTGATTATTCTACCCTTAGGTGAAACTTAAGGGATTTTTTTTGTCTTTTTTTTTTTTTTTTTGTGATGGAGTCTTGCACTGTGGCCCAGGCTGGAGTGCAATGGCATGATCTCTGCTCACTGCATCCTCTGCCTCCCAGGTTCAAGCAATTCTGCCTCAGCCTGCCGAATAGCTGGGATTACAGGAACCCACCACCACCTAGCTAAAATTTTTTTTTTTTTTTTTTTTTTTTTTTTTTGAGACGGAGTCTTGCTCTGTCACCCAGGCTGGAGTGCAGTGGCACGATCCCGGCTCACTGCAACCTCTGCTTCCCAGGTTCAAGTGATTCTTCTGCCTCAGCCTCCTGAGTAGCTGGGACTACAGGTGCTGCCGCCACCACGCCTGGCTCATTTTTGTATTTTTAGTAGAGACTGTGTTTCACCATGTTGGCCAGGCTGGTCTTGAACTCCTGACCTCAGGTGATCCACCCGCGTCGGCTTCCTAAAGTGCTGGGATTACAGGTTTAAGCCACCACGCACAACTGGGATATGTTTTAGAACACCTGCAATGTGTCTAACATTGTTTCAGACATTTTGGGTTTATAAGAGAAATACTTGGTTCTTGCCTTCAAGGAATGTAATTTATTTAAATAAACTATATGAGCTAATTGGAGAATAATAAGTGACAGTTAACTTCACATTATTGATTGGGGTAATATAAAATATACTGTAATTCCATTCCATCTCCACAGCTAATTTAGGAAAGCATAGATTTGTATGATGTCTGTAGCATCTCAGAATTTGTAGAATGGTCTCAATTTTGTGTATTTAAAGCCATTGTTCCAATAAACCAGTAATTCTCACTTGAAAGTATATTTCAGAATTATTAAAAGAGCATTTAAAAAATATAATGCCCAAACCCTACTCTAGATCTATATTCAGATTTTTAAAGTGAAGTTCAGTAGTGTGTATTTTCCAAAATTTGTGCAGGTGATTGAGATTTGTGCCCTTACATTAAAAACTCCTGGTACAGGGGGCCGGGTGCATTGGCTCATGCCTGTAATCCCAGCCTTTTGGGAGGCTGAGGCGGGCAGATCATCTGAGGTCAGGAGTTCGAGACCAGCCTGGCCAACATGGTGAAACCCTGTCTCTCCTCAAGTACAAAAATTAGCCGGGCTTGGTGACACTCTGCCTGTAATCCCAGCTGCTTGAAAGGCTGAGGCAAGAGAATGGCTTGAGCCCAGGATGCAGAGGTTGCAGTGAGCTGACACTGCGCCACTGGACTCCAGCCTGGGTGACAGAGTGAAACTCCATCTCAGAAAAAAAAAAAAACTGCTACAAACTATTAGAATGGCCCAGAAATATTAATACTTTGCCGTCTGGAACTTTGTCTTCCACATTTTGTCTTCTCTACAGAGGTAGCCTAGAAATATTTTGCCTGAGAATGTGTTTTGAATGTGGTCTCCAAATTAAGGGAACACACTACATTGGCTTGTCTAAGTGGATAAGGTTGTTTAAAAATATCTAAATATGTTTTAAAATAGAAGTTTAAAATATTTTAAATACTTACTAAATATTGTTTATATAGGTGCTTTCTTGTTGCCTAGGTTTTTTTATTTTATTTGTTTTTAATTTGGGTTTTTAGATAAGCAAGCATAGATTTTTGTAGCAAACTCCTTACTGGTCATCCTGCCTCCAGTTTCGCTTCTCTCAGGTGAAGCTGAGCTTGTTCTTCAGTGGTTTGAAATTCTTCAGTTCTTCAGTATCTGTAGCCTTCAATATAAACTTCAACACTCTCATGTGATTTACAAGCCTACCATAAGGTGCCCCTTCCTCCTCCCCCTCCTCTTTTATCCTTCCCCAGTATTTGTCCTGTGTACCATTTTTACCACTGCTGAGCCTTTACTCATTAGTGACCTTGACTTAACCCCTTTAAGTGGTTAACTCCTCAGCCTGTCAGTTAAGACCTACCTCTGGCATTGCCCTTTCCCACAAACTGTCTGTGACCCATCTCCATGGGTCATAGCATCACTGTAGTTTCTTTTCTGTCGAGGCCAGTAGACTGAGAAGGATCCTCTTATCTTTACAGTTCTGTCAATCAACGAATGTTTTCTAAATAATTAAATAACTTTATCATTATATTCTTGCAATTCCTGATATGAGGGATATGTGTATTCTTATAAATAATTTAGCCAATATTTTGACAGTGATACAGGGAATATGTGGTTTCTTCCAGTTTTCCACAATGATGTTAATTTCCTTTTAGTGCAAGAAAAAAAAAATGCCACATAATGAAGTGGATTTTGATACCTGCAAAAAATTGTTCTTACTAGAGTTTTTGTTTGCTTTATCCAGTACCAGTTTGACAAGTATTTATCATATCCAGTACTAGGTATATGTTATGAACACCACAATAGAAACATCCCTCACATAAATCAGTGTATTAGTCAGCTCAGGCTGCCATAACAAAATACTATAGACTGGGTAGCTTAAACAATTTTCTCACTGTTCTGGAGCCTGGAAGTCCAGGATCAGGGTACTGGCATGGCTTGGTTCTGGTGAGGGCCCTCTTTCTGGCTTGCAGATGGCCAGGCTTCAGGCCATAGCAAACAGTTAACATACCACACACTATTACTTGATTTAGGGTTTATTAATAAATGATGGCTCTAGACCAATATATTATTTTAGATTTTAAAATAGTGAGTGAGCTATTGTTGAATTTTAAAAAGCTTTTGTTGAATTTTATCAGGGATTAAATGGAAATAATATAGAACTAAGAAAAAGCAGTATACCAGATAATTTACTTCTGCATGTATCTTTTTTTTTTTTTTTTGAGACAGAGTCTTGTTCTGTCCCCCAGGCTGGAGTGCAGTGGCACTATCTCAGCTCACTGCAACCTCCATCTCCTGGGTTCAAGCGATTCTCATGCCTCAGCCTCCCATGTAGCTGAGATTACAGGCACATGCTACCACGCCCAGATAATTTTAGTAGTTTTAGTAGAGGTGGTTTTTTGCCATGTTGGCCAGGCTGGTCTTGAACTTCTGGCCTCAAGTGATCTGCCCGCCTTGGCCTCCCGAAGTGCTGAGATTACAGGCGTGAGCCATCACACCTGGCCACCATTGATCTTTCTGATAAAGGTACTTTTTAAAAACTTACATTAGCAGAGTTCTTTGTGTAGTTTATTAGGCACTTTCATGTTTATGATAGCATTTGATCACATGTAAACTTGGTAACATTGACAAAATCACTTTCATTTTCTTTTACAGATATGGAAATTGATCTCAGAGAGGCTGAGATCTGCTCAGGGTCAGCAAGCTCTCAAAACTGTTACTAGTACTTTTTCTTCAAAATATGTGTGTCGAGCGTTTTTGGCTGAGCCTGGATGGATTGCCATTTTGTATGTGACTTTTTGAAGTCTGGACAGCAGAAGAATGTGTTTGGTGGTTGCAGTCAGTAACTTTTTCTATTCAACTTTATTTCTGAAATTAAGGCAGCAAGTACTGCTGACTGGTCTTATCATTTATTCTCTGCCAGGCCCTCTAGCTGTGGAAGTGACAAGAAAGCCAGAGAATTAAATCTCTCTCTCTCTCTCTTGTTTTTTTTTTTTGGAAAGAGGGTCTCTGGCACCCAGGCTGGAGTGCAGTAGCATGATCACAGCTCACTGCAGCTTTGGCCTTCCAGGCTCAAGCAGTGCTCCCACCTCAGCCTCCTGAGTAGCTGGGACTACAGGAGCATAACACCACACCTGGCTAACTTTTTAACTTTTTGTCAGGCTGGTCTCGAACTCCTGGGCTCAAGCAATCTTCCCACCTCAACTTCCCAAAGTGCTGGAATTGTAGGTGTGAACCACCACACCCGGCCAAATCTTTCTCTTAAAAAGAAAAAAAAAAAACGAAAAACAGCAATGCTTCTTAAAGCTTTGGCTAGGTTCCTGAGAAAAACAACTGAGACTCCCTATATAGCAGTTGGAGGGTAAACTATTTGTTTTAGTAAAAGATAATCCCTGGCCCCTGATCTTTTACTTGTCACATTTTTATTTGTATGTGGAATATCTAGACTAATTATTTACTCTCTCCATCCAAAAATTCTCCATCCATTTTTTTTTTTCATTCTGGTGGCATAAGAATAGAGACTGGGCTGCAATTAACTAACTTACTATATGTTTAAATTACTTCAGTGGTGATGCTTAAATTATGTTAATTCCGGTATTGTAGAGTTTTATCTTGTTTTGTTGAAGAGCAATTTTTTTTTTCTGGGAGTCACTCATCTCACATGTGAAAAAATATGTTTAAGCAATTTTTTGGAACAGATCTAAAAGAAAAAAAGATTGCTGGGAAGTATGGTTTCCAATAAAAATTGAGTGCATAATCCATATAGTACTTAAGACAAATCCTTTTTACCATATGCGAAATTGTGGCTGTGGATGGAAAGGATTGATAATTTTACCAATGATACATTTTAAAACAAGTAAAGAAAATGAAACTATCAATACCATGTAAAGGTGGTTTTAAAACATAATTTTAAATAACATGATGCCACAGAACTCATCCTAGCCCTCAGGATATTCATGTTGTGGGGAGGAAGACCTAATTGCAGAGGGCTTTCTTTTTAAATTTTGTTTTTACTTTTATCAAAGTAATATGTGTATGATTTTCAAAGTCAAAAAGCTCATCAGTTTATAAAGAAAGATAGAAGCCATTTGCCTCATTCCTCCTCGACCTGAGCCCCATTCCTTAGAAGCAAACTATTGACTTATGCTATGGAAGGGTTTCACACAATTATACCACCAGCAGCACACTCAGGCTTGAGCGAGCACAAGTATACTAGTCCTCCCTTATTTCACAGTTTCGCTTTCCACAGTTTCAGTTACATGCAGTCAATCACAGTCTGAAAATACTGAAATGGGAAATTCCAGAAATAAGTAATTTATACACTTTAAATTGTGGGCTGTTATGAGTAGCATGATGAAGTCTTGCACCGTCCTATTCCATTCCACCTGGGACATGAATTACTCATTTGTCCAGCATCTCCGTGCTATGTATGCTGCCTGCCTCAGCTAGCTGTTAGTCACTTAGCAGTTGTCTTGGTTATCAGAGTAAATGTTGTAATATCGCAGTGCTTATGTTTAACCCTTATTTTACTTAATAATGACCCTAAAGTGTAAGAGCAGTGATGTTGGCATATTGTTATAATTACTCTATTTTATTATGAGTTACTGTTATTAATCTCTTACTATGTCTAATTTATAAATTAAACTTTACCAGAGGTGTGCATATATAGGAAAAATATATATAGTATATATAGGGTTTGGTACTATCTATGGTTTCAGGCATCCCCTGGGGATCTTGGAGTATATGCCCCATAGATAAGGGGGGATTACTGTACACATACTTCTCAAACTCTCCCTTCTCCAACCAATTATTGGTTATATCAGCATTCCATATTTACATTATCACTATGAATATTGCTCATAGCTGAATGGTAAAAAAAAATGACTTTTATTCTTATAGTTGATTTGTGATGTAGATATAGCATTCTAGATTGAAACTAATTTTTCTGCAGAGTTTTGAAGACATTGTACCTTTTAATTTTCTCATTCATTGGGCTGTTTTCTGATTGGACCCTTTTGGCTAAAAAGGCTCATGTCCTTCGTTTGGGGATCTTTTCACTTATTATTTCTTCAATAATTGCCTCTTTTTTTTTCTTTCTTTTTGGAACTGATTATTTTGACAGATTTATACTCCAATTTTCTTTTTTCTTCAATTGTGTTTGGTAGGTGTTCTTAATTTCATCTTTCAACCCCTGTTTTTGAACTTTTAATCCTAATGTAGCAAGAGCTGCTTGATCCCTGGATGGGATCTGTTCTTAGGGTATTCTGTTTTTGTTTCATAGCTACAATGGCTTTTATCTAAGGATGTTCATTTAAAAAATGCATTTTTCTACTTCTTGCATCTTCTCTTCCTTAGAGTCTCCATTTCTATTTGATATGTCTTTCCATATTAAGAATTGTTCTTTCTTGACTATTTGTTTAATTGTAAGGGACTGAGAAGCTCTTTGGAAGTTCCATGTGTGTAGTCAGGGCTTGTTTACTGGTGTCTCAGTGTTAAGTGAATGAAGAAATTGGCTATTTCATTGAGGTGAGGCCCCCAAATGTCAGTATTGGGAGGAAGTCTTTCTTCCGACAACTGGCCAATTTCCAGAATAATTTTCCTAATAGGTCTGTGGCCTGGGGGTTGGGGACCCCTAAATTACTCTCACGGACCTATTAGGAACTGGGCCACCCAGCAGGAGGTGAGTGGCAGATGAGTGAACTAAGTATCATCTGTATTTACAGCCACTCCCCATGGCCCACATTAGTGCCTGAGCTCTGCCTCTTGTTAGGTCAGTGATGGCATTAGATTCTCATAGGAACATGAACCCTGTTGTGAACTGTGCATGCTAGGGATCTAGGTTGTGTACTCCTTGTAAGAATCTAATGCCTGATGATCTATCACTGTCTCCCATCATCCCCAGTTGGGGCCATCTAGTTGCAGGAAAACAAACTTAGGGCTCTCACTGATTCTACATTATGGTGAGTTGTATAATTATTACAGTATGTATTACAATGTAATAATAATAGAAATAAAGTACACAATAAATGTAATGCACTGGAATCATCCTGAAACCACCACCACCCCCCAACCCATCTGTGGAAAAATTGTCTTCCATGAAACCAGTCCCTGGTGCCACAAAGGTTGGGGACTGCTGGAGTAACTGACTGCAAATAGGAATACTTGGAAGGGTGTGGTAGGATATAAAACTAGAATGTCAATTTAAGGAGTTTGGTCCTTATTCAGTAGGCAATGGGAATCGAGGTAGCAAGATCTAACCCTTTAAGGGAGAAAACTCAAAGGGTTGAGACATCAAGATTACAAGGTTATCTATTGAAAGAGTCTTGCAAGAGATAGCAAAGGCTGCGATAGTGACAACTGTGATGGTAGTTGTACTATGGGAATTCAAAAAAGAACGAAACCCCTGTGGACTGGAAGCGCTATAAGCAGAACCTGAGCTAGGTTCTGTGAAGAGTGAGTAGGAGTCAACAACAGCCCTGTTGTAAACTTGAATTTTAAATTAGTTTTATACCACAGCATATCTCAGTGACAAAAAAGCAAACAACCATTATTTAGCATTTTATTTCAACCAAATAAAAGTTGATTAAAAGTGAAGTCTTATTTCCTGATATTTGAGTCTTTCAGGTATATCTATTTAAAAAAACTGTTCTCTTCAAGTTTAAGGGTTAGCGTGTCAGGAATTAATTAAGCCCTGTAGTCATATGAGATAGGAAAAAGTGGACCTGAAATGAGGACAAGAGAAGGACAAATTGCAGAAATGAGGACATGTAAGTCTTCAGAAGAATGTGTCACACAATAGAATTAATGCGTAAGGGTGAAGAAATAATGATTTGTAGTATCATAGGAGAATAACAAAAGAATGTAAAAGACTCACAGAGAATAAGAGGGGTAGTGGGCTAAATTCCTCAACTCAAAATTAATAAATGAAGAGGAATGATCAAGGAAAAAGGGGAAAAAAGATATGTCCTCCTGGCAGGCTAGAGCATGTTTTGGAAGCCTAACCAAGCTATTACAGGTTTGGATCATAATCTCAAAAGTCCTGGATGCCATAATTCCTAATGTTTTGAACCCCAAAAGATTAAAATCCTGAATGTTGAAATCTTGAAAGCTGAATTTTGGGGAAGGGATTAGTGTGTTTTTGGGTATAAACAGGATAGTTATATCATGTTAGGTGCATCATGTTAGGCGGAACTATTACCATGTTCTTGTCTTTATTTGCATTTGGTGGGAAATTCAGGTGAGTGGATTGGCTACCAGATGCTGCAGTGGTGAAAACTTCAGTTTAAAAATGTGTCATTTGCCTGCGTTAGCATTCCTTCCAGCCGATGGCATTCCAGGAACTTTTAGTGAATTGAACCCGCATTTGCCTGAAGAAGCCAGCGAAGTTACTGACTGGTTCAAAAATAATTATGTGCATAGTAGGGTAAGAAGACAGTGATGCAGCAGTATTGCTGTTTGATCACCAGTGTTGTTTCCACCAAATTTGTGGTCTCTATATAAGTGGATGTGGAATGTATTTCTGGGTACCCAAAACAACACAGAAGCATGGCACAGAGGATGGGAACTTTTTTTTTTTTTTGAGACGGAGTTTTGCTCTTGTTGCCCAGGCTGGAGTGCAATGGCACGGTCTCGGCTCACCACAACCTCCACCTCCCGGGTTCAAGCAATTCTCCTGCCTCGGCCTCCTGAGTATCTGGGATTACAGGCATGCGCCACCATGCCCAGCTAATTTTGTATTTTTAGTAGAGACGGGGTTTCTCCATGTTGGTCAGGCTGGTCTCGAACTCCCGACCTCAGGTGATCCGCCCACCTTGGCCTCCCAAAGTGCTGGGATTATAGGTGTGAGCCACCGCGCCCGGCCAAGGATGGGAACTTTTAATAGGGAAAGCTCATGTTGATGTATATCAAACCATAGAAGAATTTCAAAAAGAGCAAGTGCCACCTAGAAAATGAACGTGAACATTTTGTCTGAGGAGAGCCATGTCCTAAAAGAAAAAAAAAAGCAGCTATTCATTGTGACGTAGGACATCAAAATATAGTTAATGATGGAGAAAGCCAACCAGCTCTTAAGGAATATCTCCATGCAATTGCCCATAATCTCTCCCTGTAATAACACATTATCACATGTTGATTTTTTTCAGCTTTCTTCTTTTTCTTTTTCAGTTGTTTTCACTATTTTCAATTGTCAGCATGATTTTTTACAATTCCCAATGCTATGTATTTCATCTTTACATCATTTGCAATACTGGAGGTATAAACTGTGTAGAGACTTTTGAGAGTTCTAATTTGTTTTATGCATTCTTTGCAAATTTGACTGCAAAAGTACATTACCACAGTGTTGACTTTGTGTTTAGGCATTGTGCATGCATGTAAAAACGTTGAAACTTCCTCAGTAAATAAAGAAAGGTTCTTTATATCTGTCTGCATTAGTGAAAAATAAAATTTCTTGTTATCTTGGCTCTTTGGTCAATTGCATATGCAATGGTGACCTACTGTAGTTTTTGATCTGTCAAAAGACTTAGGTTGTTTGTCACAGTACTTCAGATGACCACAGTTAGATAAAGCTAGGTGAGCACACTTACTAACCATAGTGATAATGTGTTTATACATTTCCTTTTTGACCTCTTTGTGAATATGGTTCACCTGCTCATGGCTGTTATACCTGTGTGACTGTCATTAGCATACCTTAGTGCTGCAAAAATATATATATGCTGTCATTGCCTATTTTTTTGTGTAAAGTGGCCTTTGAAGTGTTCTGTTGTGTTTTTATGTTTCTCAAATGACACATTTGCCTCTTTAAAAAAAATTTTTAATTTGAGACAGGGTCTCTGTTGCCCAGGCTGGAGTGCAGTAGCATGATCATGGCTCACTGCAGCCTTAACCTCCCCCAGGTTCAGGTGATCCTCTCACCTCAGCCTCCCGAGTAGCTGGGACTACAGGCGCACGCCATCACACCTGGCTAATTTTTGTATTTTTAGTAGAGACAGGGTTTCGTCATGTTACCCAGGCTGGTCTCGAACTCCTGGGCTCAGGCGATCCACCAGCCTTGGCCTCCCAAAGTGCTGGAATTATAGGCGTGAGTCACCATGCCCAGCCCCCAAATTCTTTAAAAGATAACTCCCCTTTTAAAAACGTAAATGAGGGCTGGGTGCGGTGACTCATGCCTGTAATCCGGGAGGCCAAAGTGGGTCGATCGCTTGAGCCCAGGAGTTCAAGACCAGCCTGGGTAACATGACGAAACCCCATCTGTACTAAAAATACAAAAATTAGCCGGGTGTGGTGGCGTGCGCCTATAGTCCCAGCTACTCGGGAGGCCGAGGTGGGAGGATCACCTGAACTTGGGGAGGTTGAGGCTGTAGTAAGCCGTGATTACACCACTGCACTCCAGCCTGGGCAACTCCAGCAGGGTGACAGAGTAAAACCTTGTCTCAATTTAAAAAAAAAGAAAGAAATACTTAGGCCGAATGCAGTGGCTTGTACTTGTGTAATCCCAGCACTTTGGGAGGCTGAGGTGGAGGATCACTTGATATTAGCCTAGGCAGCAAAGTGAGACCCTGTCTCTATATTATGGTAATTTTTGAAAAAGAATCTAAAAAAGTATTCTTCCTAGAATTACGTTTTTGAGATTTTGATATTTCTTGTCATTTTGGGGATTTTAGACTTCAGGATTTTGATCTTTTGGATTTTCAAGATTTGGTATCCTGGTGTTTGAAAAGATTTGTGTATTTTGGTATTATGATTGACTCCCACTTTACCAGGTTTACTTTAAAAGTTTCCCCAAGTAATGTAGACAGTGATTCTCAGCTACAGCATTTTTATATTAATGATTGTGATGGATTTTATAAATTCTGAATTGAGCTAATTATAATAATTATATAGCTTGACAGTATGCTTTGGTTTTTAGTTGTGACTTGAGAAGTATTTTGTATGATATTTTAAAAAAAGGAGAAAAAAACAGTTACAAAGATCATCTTCACTAAATTAAATGCCATGGAATAATTTAGATTGTAGTTTGTTTTATAAAATCAGTGTAAATGTAGTGAAATGAGGGTGTTGCTGCTATCAAAAGTTAAAAAGAAAACAAATATTTAACTCATTATTGTTTTAACTTTTCTTAAAAGTCATATGACTTTCTACTTTGTCTTTAACAAGGTCTCAAACTAATCTTTTAGAAGATGACAGGGAGGAAGGCAAGTGTGTAATAACTTTTAACACAGCTAATCTTTACATTATACAGTTGGCTGGGGAACAGACCAGGGAATTGGTGGATTTGGAGAAGAGCCGGGAATTAAATCACAGCTAATGAACCTTATTCGATCTGTAAGAACCGTGATGAGAGGTAAGAAGAAAAGCTAATAGAGCATTCTTAAGTTTTAATGTTGTGGTTTAAGTAGCAAGGCTTCTGAGTGTGAATACCATATATGCCATTTGTAGTGGGAATTTTTTTTCTCTTTAACATGGCTTTGCTGCTTGAAAGTTACTGGGTTTTTTTTTTTTTTTTCTTAGTTTGCTTCTTACTTCTATCTAAGCCAGTTGGTACAAATAGAATGCTTAGTATAATACATATAATCTGTTTGTGTGTTACCTGTCAGAGCTAAAAGACAAAATTATATTCTTGCCTTTTGGAAACTGTTGTTTCCAAGTTGTAAAATCACATACAGTATTGGGAGGTTTCCAAGAGAAAGCTGGGCGTGTTGGTTTACTCCTGTAATCCCAACACTTTGAGAGGCCAAGGCAGGCAGATCACCTGAGGTCAGGAGTTTGAGACCAGCCTGGCCAACATGGGTGAAACCCCGTCTCTACTAAAAATACAAAATTAGCCAGTGGTGCATACCTGTAATCCTAGCTATTTGGGAGGCTGAGGCAGGAGGATGGCTTGAACCCGGGAGGTGGAGGGTGCAGTGAGCTGGGATTGTGCCACGCCACTGCACTCCAGCATGGGAGACAGAGCAAAACTCTGTCTCAAAAAAAAAAAAAAAAAAAACCAGAAAAGAAAAAAGAAAAATAGAGATTTCGTATCTGTCATTCTATTGGAAAATATTTTTGAGCAATTCAAGAAAAAAAGAGTTCAAAAATCTTTTATTTAAAACCATTATAATTAGTACCTCTTCTCCCTTTACTCACAACCTTGGATACAATGTTAAATAAGTTCATTTTTAATGTAGTAAAATGACACTACAGAATCTTCTATGCACTATATTTCTAATATCAAGTGTCAGTGGCAACCCTGTGGGTCTACGTCTGCCAGGCTCCAGTGCACTCATGTTCTTGGGGTTGCACCGGGACTATCCACAGATGTTTCACATTGATCTAGCTGTTCCAGTGCAACCCTTACTCCCAGTTATACAAGTTCTCTTTAAAATAAGTTTTGGATCTCATGATCCAATGTATTTTAGAATGTTTCTTTGTTATAACTTTTTACAACATGATTATGATGACATATTGTTAGATATTTCTATTGTTCCTGGAGGCTAATTATTATTTTCTGGTTTTTTCTCTGTTTTTTCTTTATAGTAACAAACTTTTTTTTTTCTCTTTACAGTGCCATTGATAATAGTAAACTCAATTGCAATTGTGTTACTTTTATTATTTGGATGAATATCAGTGGAGAAAATGGAGACTCAGAAGAGGACATGCCAGTAGAAGTTATTACTTTGGTCATTATTGGAATATTTATATCTTAGCTGGCTGACCTTGCACTTGTCAAAAATGTAAAGCTGAAAATAAAACCAGGGTTTCTATTTATCTGTTTTTTTTTTTAATGTTGCACTTGTAGTTTCATTACAAAAGATCAGATCATGAAAGGCAGTAACTCTCCAGGACTGGAATATCTGATTGCTCAGTGTTAATAGTAGTTCATGCTGTGGTGAGATTGTTAAAAGGGTGCAAGACTGTTGCTTCTCTTTTTTTAGATATTTTTCTATCTCTCACTTCTCAGGGATGAAATTCTTTTTCAAAGTTTTGAAGTTCCTTGCAACTTAGCCATGATGTGAGTGGTTATCCCTAGATAAAATTAAAAGGATTTTTAAAAAGTAATTACTGCACATAAAATGATAAATAGGTAATTTGAATAATTTTATTTTAAGCTCCTTGGTTAATTATTTTGTCTATTGTCTCAGCTATAAATTCAAATTTATACATACTATTGAGTATTAATATTCTCTGATTTCAGGGAGAATTCTGTCAGTCACATGATGATTATGTTTTTGTTTAACATTCTTTCCATGCACTTGTTATTTTATTAATTTGCCTGAATGATGAGACCAGACCAGTGTCTACAGATTTTCATTGTCAGAAAAATCTATAAGTCTGCCCTTTTTACAATGATGATTTAAAAAAAACAACAGCGTAAATATTAGCCCACAAGAGCAGTCCTAAACAATCACAATTACACTGTACTACCCAAGAAGACTGTTTATTGTGAAGCATTTACCTTTCAAAAAATCATTACATTTCTATTTCTTGGTGGAGCAGCACATTGTGGAGTGTGATTCTTAATTCTTCATTGAGTTTGTCAATAGGACATTGATGCTGGATAGGTTGTCTTTTGTTTTTATGTCTCAGACCATCTTGTGAGATTGTTTGCCTATCTCATAATACAGTTTTATGCAGAAAGGTTGAAACTATGTAAATGGTTTTTATGGAAATTATCAGTTACAATATTTTAAAGGTGTAGAATGGCATCTTTGTTTATAGGAGAACATTTGTAAATAAAGTTAAATTTCTAAGTCAAGCACTTGTTTTTGTACCTTAGTATAAACCTGTCAGTGTTAACTGCATTAATCTCCATTTTGGGTGAACACCTCTTATTATATGTTCTTTGCTGTAAAATTGCCGAGTATAGAGTTAATGAAAGTAAATATTTACATGTATTTTTTTTTCTTCAGTGAATTAACTGAATTGCTGACATACATCCAGAAGACTCATGAGCACCTTTTATTTCATGACTTCAGTTACTTCTAAAACTATGGAGCAGGTATTAAGTACCTTTTGGCCTTTCCTAAGTTAGAGATCAGTGATCTTTGGACTATAGGCTTGCAGCTAGTCCAAGGAAAGTACCAAGGATTCTTAGTTGATTACTTGGCTCATGTGAATGACTAATTTGGTACTTAGAGGCCGTGTTCTTTTAGCCTTACAAAGAACTGATGCCTGAGTTCAAGTTTGAGCTACTGAAAAGATTCAAAAGAAGCAGTTACTTGAGGGCAGGCCCATTTCCCCATATGGTATGAGCAGTACAAAATTTTTTAAAATGAAAGAAAAGAGAGACCTTGATCTGATGTTATTTTTCATATAAGACATTACAGCATACCTTCATCTTAATTCAGTGTTGGGATTTTGTCCAAATATTCCATCAGGGAGCAGTCACAGAAGGGCCAGGATCAAAGTATTCTGTAGCCAAGTAGTTCTGAGGAAAGTGAAGCACTGAACTGAACATCAAAATATGTCATATCTGGAGGCCACTTCATAATTCCAGTTTGTGGCTGAAGAGGGGTCTGTAAGCTTTCACTGGTCAGCCCTGGTTTCCCCAGAGCAGTTGTGATTCAGTAAACAGAGTGTGTTATTTTAGTAGACAGTAACTTAAGTGCCTGTTGGCCTGCCCATGTCCTCCCCTTTATCTATTACCAGGATTAACAATTTGTGATGATTCTGGACTCCAAATACCGATGATGTTTATAGTCCTTATGTATTCTGGCCCTGTGTTTGCATGTCTCTGAACTGTGCGAAGGTTCTTGGCTCTAGTCTGTAGATATTAACCAAATTCATCGCTAATCAAGTACAGTGGTTTTCAAACTTTTATAGTTAACAGCAGAACCAGATTTTCAAAGGAATTCTGACACAGAACTGTAACATTCCCGTATCTAAACCAGATGAGAGTAGGTCCATTTATTTGTTTTTAGTTGAAGTAGAGCTGGGATTCAAAGGCTCACTATTCAGCCTCCACTGCACTCTTGTCAGGCTTCCCAAGGCATTTCCATAAAACCCTAAATTTTCAAAAATATAGCTAAAAAGTATCTTATAAAAATCCCTGCTTTAGCCATAAAAAAGAATTAGATAATACCTTCTGTGGGAACATGGATGGAGCTGGAAGCCATCATCCTTAACAAACTAATGTAGGAACAGAAAACCAAATACCACATGTTATTACTTATAAGTGGGAGCTAAATGATAAGACCTCATGGACATAAGGAGGGGGACAACAGACACTGGGGGCTATTTGAGGGTGGAGGGTGAGAAAGAGTGCCAGAAAAATTACTGGGTACTAGGCTTAGCACCTGGATAACGAAATAATCTGTGCCAAACCCCCGTGACACAAGTTTACCTATTTAACAAATGTACTGTACCCCTAAAAGTTAAAAAAGTAAAAATATAAAAAAATAAAATCCCTGCTTTAGGGAGGGTGGGAGGGGGTGAGGGAAACAGAAACTACATACTGAGTACAATGTACAGTAGTCCAGTGATGGGTGCACTAAAATTTCAGACTTTACACCACTATACAATTCATCCATGTAACCAGAAACCACTTGTACCCCTAAAGCTATTGAAATAAAAAGCTAAATGAGTTCCCCCACCTTCCTCTCCCCATCAAAATCCTTGCTTTAGATACAATAAGAGTAGGCAATCTGTGTTCTATATGTGTTAGATGTGTATTACTGGTGAAATGACAAGAGAAAGCAAGATATTTGACTAGTAAAAAGACTAGGAGGCAAGATATTTCTAATATATCAAGCAAACCTTTTACCATGTGACTGAAAGCAAATAAACTTCCTAAGACCTCAGTAGTTTTTGGTTGTCCTATCTGTAAAATTGGTCAATAACCTTCAGAACAGAAGTCTGGTCCAGATATATATATATATCTTTTCCAGATCACTAATGTTTGTATCTAGATGTGCTTCAACCAAAGAGATGTTCTCCTTAAGTAAAATGTTTCTTATGAAGCAAATCACTTTCTCATTGATTTATTAGTTTCTAAGTTATTACCAATGTAACATTTTGAGGCTGGGCATGGTGGCTTACGCCTGTAATCCCAACATTTTGGGAGGCTGAGGCAGGCAGATCACTTCAGGTCAGGAGTTTGAGACCAGCCTGGCCAACATGGCAAAACCCTGTCTCTATTAAAAGACAAAAGTTAGTCGGGTGTGGTGGCACATGCCTGTGATTCCAGCTACTTGGGAGGCTGAGGCATGAGAATCGCTTGAACCCGGGAGGCAGAGGTTGCAGTGAGCTGAGATTGTGCCACTGCACTCCAGCCTGGCTACACAGTGAGACTCCGTCTCAAAACAACAAAAATAACATTTTGATACCAATGGTAATGGAATTCTTCTTTGCTAAGATTTCTCTTGGCCCCTGATTTTTCATTAGAAGTCAAATATTGTGAAAACATTCGATGCAAGGACCTGGGACACAGTGGGCTATGTCCAAGGGTATCAACGATCAAGATAAGTTTTTCCTACTGTTTTTGTTCCAGTTCAGATACTGCTTTATGGCTTCACTCCTTTGGGTTTTTTGCCCCCCCGCTCCTTTTTTTTTTTTTTTTTTCTGAATCCAGTCCCTCCCTTTGGAGGGGCTGAATTTCTTCTTAGCTTGCCTTTCATCAAGTAGATCCATTTGGAGAGGAGAAAGCCATTAGTCCTGTCCCATGATTCCACATAATCTGAATGAGGCCAGGCATTGGTGCCCGCGCCTGTAATCCCAGCACTTTGGGAGGCTGAGGTGGAAGAATTGCTTTAACCCAGGAGTTTGAGACCAGCCTGGGCAACATCGTGGGACCCCACCCTGTCTACAAAAATCAAAATTAGCCAGTTGTGGTGGTGTGCACCTGTGGTCCCAGCTGTCTGGGGAGGCTGAGGCAGGAGGATCCCTTGAGCCTGGGAAGTCATGGCTGCAGTGAGCCATGATTGTGCCACTGCACTCCATCCTGGGTGACAGAGTGAGGCCCTGTCTCCAAAAAAAAAAAAAAATCAGTTACACTACCCAATTGCCTAGTCTTGGAGCCTGATAATTGATGCCTTCTCCCTAACCCCAATCTAATCTGTCACCAGTTTCTGTTTTGCCTCCTATGAATTTATCCTCTTTGCTTTGTTTCCACACATTCTAGTTCAAGTATCTCTCTTGTGGCCCTGCAGTGGGTCTCTTATCTGGTCTCACCCATTCTGGCATCTCTCCTATCTATTCATACTGCAGGCAGAGGAAGCATTTAGAAAAATACACTTCTTATATTACCCACTTAAAATCCTTTGGTGATGTCTTAATCTGGTCAAAGACAGCTGGCTCATAAGGGGAAACTAGGACCAAATCCTTTTTCCTTCAACCAATTAGACCCTCACACAGAAAACTTAAACTTAGCATATATGAGTAAGACAAAAAAACTTCAGATCCAGTGGGGAGGAAAAGCAGATGGCTCCTAGTCCAAGGGACAGAATGGGTCACAGCTCCTAACAGGGCTGACTGCAGCCTTGGGTAGTGGGGGTGTTAGATTGTGGCATACGGGTGGCATATATGGGTCCCTAGTCAAGGACAGAGCAGTGGTTTTATCAAGGGGTATAACCCTTGTATAAGGTGTAACCCGAGTGAGTATCCTATTATGTCAACACGGCTCCAGAAAGTTGTTCAGTCATTTTCATAGTGAGTGCATAAGAGTGACTTTTCTGTACTCTATTATTCAGGTCCACATAACTTACCTGGATCAAGAGGAGACAGGTAGAGACCCCCACGAGTGTGGCAGCGGGTTAGGGAGGGAGGTGGTTCTGGGTGTACCAAGATAGAGCTCCCGTGGAAGAGGAAGGCACGGCCCGTAGTGGCTCTAATCGGGAGAGAAGAGGGAAAGGAGGGACGTCGCTGCCCGAGGGAGTAGTTAATGGAGGAAGCAAGAGGTGCCAGGTACTATTCAAGTAGCTAAGGGGGAAATGACGACTTCTGAGATTGGGTTGTCTAGTAAAGTATGACTTCTTAGTTAAACCTCGAGAGTGGACAAGTGGTAGAGGAAGGGAGGGGTGAAGGCAAAGAACGCTACTCAGTAACGCTCGGTTCAGCAGTGGTGCTGTGGACTGGAAAACAGCTACCGAAGAAAGGCAGGGGATTATTTTTCCTCGTGCATCCCGGCCCAGGAGGCCGCGCCCTTGGGAAAGCGGGTCTCCAGAAGGGCCTAGCTTTCCGTCAGCGGCGGTGCAGACAGAGGACAACACGGCGCGGTAGCTGCACCGCCTCGGCGGAAATCCCGGGCGAAGGGGTGGGGCGGAGCCGGGAAATCCGGGGCTTCCGGCGCGGCCAGGGCCCAACTTCCGGCGTCCGTCGGGCAGCAGCGGGGCTGTCTATCCCGGCTGAGGACCCGCGGCCAGTGCGGGTGGCTGGCTTTGCCATTAGCGGGGGCCTTTCCTGAGGACGGCGTACGGAGTGTGGGTGAGAAGCCGCTGTAGGACTGAAGAGGAAGAAGCGCAATTGGGGCCGGGAGGCTGCAGATTTTGTGACAGGGTTCGGGAACTACTAGTGGCGCCCCCAGGCCGCCCCTCCTCTCGAGCCGGGCCGTGCGCTCTTGCTCTGTGCGCATTCCCTGTTTTCCGCGTCGGAACCGCCCTCTTTGCAGTGGCCCCGCGCGTGCGCATAGCTGGGCGCGAGGCGCGCTGTGGGTCTCTGCGGGGCGGATCGTGAAGCTAGTGTGTCAGTCATTCCTCGAAGCGTGCTCTTGGGCTGTATTTTGGAGCTAGCGTCCCTCCTGGTCAGTTTGGCGTTTTTAAGGCCCTGGTACTTGGTTTAGAACCGAGTGCAGTGACCAGTCTTGAGGCCCCTTCCCAGCCAAGAGATGGGGGGATGGAAGTTGAGTTGGTGCTGAAAGAGTTTGTTGTTGGGGCCTTCCAGCTGTGGACACCGGGATTCATGAGTTAATTCACGATCTTTATTGAACGCCTAAATAACCCAGTGGGAAAGGCAACACAGTCCCTTATGCACAGAGCTTAACAGTTTAGTAGGAGAGGCGCGGGCTGGTAACCAGGACAGTGGTAAATGTAGTAGGACCACAGGTGGCTCCTAGCCTAACTCTGGGAGAAAAGGAGTTGGACCCAGAGGAGGCACGCCAGAGGAAGTGATGGTTATCAGAGACTGAGGGCTAAAGGGATTGGCCAGGAGATGAGGGTGTAGAGGGGCCCGAGTAGTTGCAGACAAAAGTCCCGCAACGAGGGAGGCAAAGTGTAGAGCTCTTGGCCGCCTGCAGTACCATGGAACTTGGGTGCTAGTAGAGACAAATGTGTTGGAGAGGGTAAACCAGGACTCTGTCCACCAGTGTTCATTGTTCAGACTTTATCCAGAGGTCAGCGGGGAGTCACTGGAAGAGTTTTAACTGGGGAGTGGCTGAATAATACCGTCATTTATTGAATGCCTACAGTGGTTCCAGAAAAGTCTGGAACCATATAGGGAAGGAAAGAAAATTTGTACTTCCCAGGGGTTTTAGGAGGCATGTTTTGTAGCGCCCCAATTTCCCAAGGGAAAATTTGTATTAAAATCTCTTGTTGTAAGTATGCAAGTTTTGAATAATATGCCATAATATATATTTAGATGTGTTTTCTCAAATCCTCAAGTTATACTAATGCTTTAGAACTTTGCATCATGTGTATCCTGTGATTTTTGTAGCCCTTGATATATCCATAATGTTCCCTCCTTGCTTCTCTCTCCCAGCCCTCCACATACATAACCCAACCTTTCTCTGAGCGGGACACAATTCACAATTCTTTATAGGTATTACTTTCTTTAATCCTCTTATCAACCATTAGAGTTGTGTTATTATTTCTACATTAGCAATGAAGAAACTGAGGCAAAAAGGTTAAGAAGGTTGCCCAGGTTCACCCAGCTAGTGAGTGGAGATGTATACCCAGGCTATAAATTTATACAACTCCTTTGTTCTTGTCCTTAACCACTGCACTGTTGCATTGTAGGGAATAATTTAGGGCTGGTAATAGGAGATGCAAAGTAGAGAGGACAATTAAGAAGTTGTTTAAATAGTCTAGATGAGAGTTGATTTCCAACTTCAAAAAGGTAGTTTTAAAAACGATGAAGAGAAGTAAGTGGATATAAGACTGTAAAGGAAGTAGAACTGACATAATTTGGTGTCTGGATTGATGGTGCTGCCAACCACTCATAAGGATGGCTGGGAAAGAGCACCTTTGAGGGTGAAAGGACTTGGATTGAGATGCCCCAGTGATATTCAAGCCCAGATGTCCTCTGAAGTATCTGGAAGTTCTCCTCTTGGGATGAGAGAATATGGCTTTTCTTCTTTGCATTGAATATGTACCACTGTCAGTGGTTTATGGCTCTTCTAAGGGGTGTCCCATGTAATTTGTTCCGATTATGGGAGATGGGTATGGACTCAAGATAAACAAAATCAGGCACTACCTTTGAAGCCTTTATAGTTATTTTGAGGGTTATATTAGTATTTTACAATTACATTTTATCAAATACCAGCTTGTAGTTCAGGTAACGAGTATTATACATGTTCAGACAAGGCTTGGTGGCTCATACCTGTAATCCCAGCACTTTGGGAGCCCAAGGCGGATGGATCACTTGAACTCACCAGTTCGAGACCATCCTGGGCAACGTGGTGAAACCCCGTCTCTACTAAAAGTACAAAAATTAGGTGGGCGTGGTGGTGCACACCTGTGGTTCCAGCTACTTGGGAGGCGGAGGTGGGAGGATGGCTTGAGCCGGGGAGGCAGAGGTTGCAGTGAGCTGAGAGATAGTGCCACTGCACTCCAGCCTAGGAGATAGAGTCAGACCTTGTCTCCAAAAAAAAAAAAAAAGAAAGAAAAAACAAAGTTTTGGACAAGAAGAGAGGTCATAGTGATCAAGTGATCAAGTTAGTGGGACTAACTGAAGAAGTAAGTATATTTTGAGGTATGAGTGGGGCACCTCAATTTTATTCTAGGCCTTAGTCAGTCACTCTCAAATATGTGGTGCTCCAGAAGAGCATTTTAGAGTTTAAAAGGTACGTTCTATGGAACTGGTGAGAGCAAAGAATATAGGCTTTTAAAATGTTTTGGTAACATTAAGCCTGTGTGGATGCTTCAGTAAGGATTAAAATGATAAATATGTATTATGACAGTTCCTTGGCTCCAAGTAAATAGTACAGTTCTTACTTTCATTGCTTTTCTGGTCTTGTTCATATTTGTTCTTTAATCACCTTCAGAGGTAACGTTTCTTCTTGAATATTAGATATCTCCCATAAAAGCTGGGTTTTGAGAGAAGCAATTTTAGATTCCTCTGTATATATGAAAAGAAAATGCCTTTTTTTGGTCCATTCTTTTGTAGTGTACTTCAAATAATTTTTTAACTATTACACATCCAAATGGAATCCCTAGGAACGGTCTAGTCTTTTGATGAACAAGCTGTTTTCTGTCTCAGGGAGGTAATAGTTGATGCTCTTGCTTATATAATCCTTCAATTCAAGGTCACAATAAAGATCAGAAATAGAATAACATGTGGACTATTAGAGAAGGTAGGATTTTGCAGTTGAAATTTGATTAACCACAGCTCTTAATATATTTTTTAACCTCTGCAGTCTTCTTTTTCCCTCTTTCATCAGATACATTATGAAAGACAAACAGAATCGGGGATTTACTTAAAATTCAAAATGCCTTGAAGGTGGAGGCTTTTATGCTGAGTGTATAGTAATTGTCTGGACTACTGGACTAATTTAGTTTTTTATAACTATTAAATGTATGAGAAAAAACTGACTAAAATATAAGACTCATTTTTTATTGTGCAATATATCATCTATAGAAGAGTATACAAAACATATATGTTTAAAATGATTATAGTATAATTAAAAGCACCCATATTCTCATTGTCTAGGTTAAGAAGTAGAGTATTGCCAGACCTTAGAGGCTCCCTTTGCGCTCCTCTTGGTTTGCATCTGCTTCCTGTCCTCTGGAGGGTAATCATTATCCCCACTCTTGTGGTAATCATTCCCTTGCTTCTCTTTACAGTTTTATCACCTATGTATGCATCTGTATTTTTGAGTACTATAATATGAAACCATACTGTATATATTCTTTTTTGACTTGCTTTTTTCACCCTCTAGTAGATTTCCGAGAGTTGTGTAAGGTGATGTGTGTGAATGTAAGTTCTTTCTACTGCCATTTTTTTCTGTGTGTAAATATACCACAACTTATTTATCCATTCTGTTGTTGATGGACATTTGTATTGTTTCCATTTTCTGGCTGTTACAAATGGTGCTGCTATAGACGTCTTTGTTCATGTATCATGGTACACTGTGAAAGAATCTCTCAAAGGTATACTTGGAAGTGCCGAACTGCCAGATTGTAGGATATGGTGATGCCAGACTGATTCCAAAATGCTTGTACAAGTATATTCTTTCACTAGCAGCATGTGGGAATTGCTGTTGACAGCCTTTGGTGTTTGCAGACTTAAATTTTGCCCATCTGTAGGTTGGTGCATTGATCTCACTGTGCTTGAAATTTGCATTTTCCTGATTACCAATGAGCTTTGAGTATCTTCATTTATTTGCTGTTCAGATTTGCTCTTTTTTTTTTTTTTTTTTTGAGACACATTCTTGCTCTGTCGCCCAGGCTGAAGTGCAATGGTGTGATCTCGGCCTCACTGCAACCTCTGCCTCCCAGGTTTAAGCGATTCTCCTTCCTCAGCCTCCCGAGTAGCTGGGATTACAGGTGCCTGCCACCATGCCCAGCTAATTTTGGTATTTGTAGAGACAGGGTTTCACCATGTTGACTAGGCTGGTCTTGAATGCCTGACCTAGGGTCATCCACCCGCCTTGGCTTCCCAAACTGCTGAGATTACAGACATGAGCCACTGTGCCCGGCCAGATTTGCTCTTTTGTAAAGGCTACGTTAAGATCTTATGCAGTTTTTCTATTGGGTTGTTCATCTTTTTCTTAATGTTTATACTTTATACTTCCTGGAATCTCGTCTTTTCCCACATGTGTTAGAAAAATAAGTTCTTTTTCTGTATTTTCACTCTCTTTGTGGTGCTTTTGAAATATAGTTGAATTTATCTGTCTTTTCTTCAATGGTTTGTGCTTTTTATGTCTCATTTTAGAAAGCCTTTTCTGTCCTCAAGTCATGAAGATACTCTCCTATCTAAAAGTTTTAGTTTTGCCTTAAACATGTGGTTGTTTAATCTCCTTGGAAAAGAAAATTGTTGTGTATAGTGTGATGTGGGAGTCCAATTTCATTTTTTCTCATGTGGATATTCCATGGTTCCAACACCATATTATTGATCATTTTATTTTTTCTTTACTAATCTGAAACACTACTTCTATCATATATGAATTTTCTACACATATTGGGACCTTTTTCTGTATTTTCTGTTCCATTGATCAGTTCGTCTCCATATGTACTAATACCACACCATTTTAATTAATTACAAGACCTCATTAAGTAAGTCTGGATATTAGGTAAAGCAACGCCTACTTTCTTGTTCTTCTTTGGTCTTGGCCGAAGTGTCTTGGCTATACTTGGCCATTTGTACTGGTGTAAACATTTTAGTATCAGCTTATCAAATTCACAAGACACTTTTTGGGATATTGATTGGAGTTGCATTGAATCTGAGTCTAAATGTTGCTCCTTTGAAAGCAATTTGTCTTTTCCCTTGGCTGCTTTCAAGATCTTCTCTTTGCCATTGGCGTATAGCAAGGGTTTAGATGTGGATTTATTTTCATTTATCTTGCTTAGAATTCGTTGGGCCTTCTGAATTTGCACACTGATAGTCTTTCATGTGTTTTCTCCTCATATTTTTGATCTTGCCTTTTGTTCCTTACACATGTAGGCATTATGATAATTACATTAGAAGAATAAGAAGCCCTTATAGGGCTGCTTATGCAGTCTGTTGTTTGTGTAGGTTCTCCCTTACCATGGCTTGTTTCCTTAGGTTACTTGCTCATCATTCTTATAATTTGATTTCTTTGTGTTGTTTTTTTTTCTTTTTTTCTTTTCTTTTCTTTTTTTTTTTTTTTGAGACAGGGTCTTGCTCTGTTGCTCAAGCTGGAATGCAGTGGTGCTATCATAGCTCTTTGTGGCCTTGAACTCCTGAGCCCAAGCAGTCCCTCCCACCTTAGCCTCCCAAGTAGCTAGGACTACAGGCCCATGCTACCACGCTTGGCTATTTGATTTTATTTATGGGATTTCTTTGCTGTTTGGGCTGAAAACTAGTATTTTGAGGGAGGGTTTATATTTGCTGTAGCCAGGCACCTGCTAGTCAAGGTCACGCTAATTACAATCTTGAAGTTTTTCTGAGGCTTATCTTAGGTAATGTGAATTTGGTCTGCAAATTGGGTCCAGCACTGGTTTATGGTTCCAAATTCTCTGCAGCACTTTATACCTACCACCCCTTTGGGCCATGTTTCAAAGCAGTTGATTTTCTTGTAGTCAACTGAGACAAGGTAGAGAGGGAGTGCCTGGGATAGTTTATTTCTGGCTCACCCTTACAGTGAGGTCTTGGTTTTTAGGTCAGAGGATCTATCTCTTCAGATGGGCTCTGAGTTTATCTTTTATTCCCTGAAGAGGCCCATGGGGAAAAAGATAACTTAAGGTCACATAGTGTGACAGATACGTTTGGAGCCAAAACAGGCCACAGGGTTCTGCTCATCTCCTGAGTTTCTTGCTTTTATTCAGATCTAACAATTCTTTTTTTCCTTGCACCTTGTGGCTTACACACATGCGCATGCGTGCAGACGTGCACACACACATGTGTATAATTTTTTATCTAGTATTGTTAGGCTTTATTTGGAGAGTTAATTTGATTCTTAGCCTGCTATATTATGGAAGCCCAAGTTTAAAGTGAGTTTTAAAAATAAGCATACCAGAGTTTATTCATCAATAAATGTTTACTCTTTCAAAGTAGTCAGGGTAGGAAACGATAAGCTTCTACATTGCTCAAGATCTTTTTGGACTCCTATTTTGGAATTGCTTTCTGAGCTAGTACATGTTCTTTGGGATATTTTTATTGGTTACAATTTGTATGCTTTAAAGATGGATATAATTTTGAAAGTGTCAGAATAAAGCCTGCTGAATGAGATGGGTAGTCAAG
This sequence comes from Homo sapiens, assembly GCF_000001405.40. NCBI lineage: Eukaryota > Metazoa > Chordata > Mammalia > Primates > Hominidae > Homo > Homo sapiens. The sequence continues at coordinate 47,143,726 of NC_000018.10, read as the reverse complement.
GAGAGTAATGCCACTTGGAGTTAAAAATAAAATGGAGCCATTGGTTAATGAGGCTGATTTTCATGTATGGCTCATATGCTAACATTGATGGTAATTCCTAAAGAGAAAAATCCCAAAACGTTTTGAGTAATAGTTATTTGAAATAAACATTTCTTATCATTTCTAGTTACCTTCAGTTAACTGGAAAAATAACTCTACTAGAACACTGCATTATTTCTTAAGCATCATGAGTAGTTGTGTCTTTAGTGTGATGAGGAAATATTAGTAGAATACAAATATATATATATGTGTGTGTTTTAGGGATATAGTCTCACTGTGTTGCCCTGACTGCATGGTCATAGCCCACTGCAGCCCCATACTCCTGGGCTTACGCAATCCCAGTAGCTGAGACTACAGGCACACGCCACCATGCTTGGCTACTTTTTAATTTATTTTTTATAGAGATGGGGGTCTCGCTTTATGGCCCAGGCTGGTCTCGAACTCCTGGATTCAAGCAATCCTCCTACCTCAGCCACCCAAAGTGCTGGGATTACAGGTGCGAGCCACTGTACCTGGCCAACAATCTTCTTTTAAAAGAGAAAAATAGCTTCTTGGACACGTGCTTCTAAATTTTTTCATTAAATTTTTATTCCTGTTGTATATCTAATTTTATACATTATTAATAACATTATTTCCATTAATATAACAGGTTTATTATAAATAATGTGCCAAAGATCTATTTAATATTTGTGTGGTATGTCTGGTATATTCTGTGTAGGGAGGTAAATTCTGTTTCATTTAAGAGTAGTTTGTCAGGCGCATTGAACCTTTAGAAAAAGTTAGAAGGCAAATTTAGTAACAAATCTTTGTTAGTAATTTCTTCATCTGAGCACCATCATTCTCAAGAGAAGGTAATATCTATATAGACATTATCTGGACCTTGGTTTTCCCAACTAAGGTGTAAAACCAGTGTGTGTAGAAAGGGGTGAGGGGTGGTTCGAGAGCAGATAATCGAAGATCCTGTGTAGCTGTAATGTTTTTTTTGTTCATTACTTAAATATTTATGGTCTGTTCTCTTATTCTTATATAATCACATGTATTTTCCTCATTATTTTTCTTTCTCCTCAAAGCCCACTTTTGCCCTCACACTTCTAAATAGAAGCATATACAAGTTTTTTCTTTATGAGAACGTATGTACTCACATTCTGTGACCATATGGGGCATAATGTTATGTGTATGTCTCTGTAAGTGGAATTAAGGGTGTTTAGCTTGCTGGTTTTAGGGTTTTTTGGGGTTTTTTTGCCACTCTTCTCCAGTAGGAATCTCCTCCCCTAGCACAGGGTCAATAAACTTTTTCTGTAAAGGGCCAGATAGTAAGGCTTTGCAGGCCAAAAAGTAAAATTGAGAATATTAGGTAGATATCTAGTTAACAGGAAAGAAAATTTTTTTCTACAAACTTTTTTTTTTTTATGAAATGAAAAACATTTATTTATGGAACTAAAACTTTAATTTCATATTATTTTAAGGTATCACAAAATATTATTCTTTTGATTTCTTTCCCAATCATCTAAAAATCTGTACTAGTTCATTCTCACGCTGCTGTAAGGACATACCCAAGACTGCGTAATTTATACAGGAAAGATGTTTAATGGACTCACAATTCCACATTGCTGGGGAGGCCTCACAATCATGGCATAAGGCAAAGGAGTAACAAAGGCATGTCTTACATGCTGGCAGGCAAGAGAGCATGTGTGGGGAACTGCTCTTTATTAAACCATCAAATCTTGGGAGATTTTCTCACTATCACTAGAACACCATGGGAGAACCCACCCCCATGATTCAATTACCTCCCATTGGGTCCCTCCCACGACACGTGGGAATTATGGGAGCTACGATTCAAGATGAGATTCGAGTGGGAACACAGCCAAACCATATCAAAATGTAATCAATTATCAGCTTACAGGAAAAGACAAGATGAGTCTGGAGCATCATGTAGTTCCAAAAGCAAAGAAGTGCTCAAAAAACAAAAGGATGGAGGCACAGGAGCCAACCTGAGAGAGCTCTCAATGGCCAAAGCTAAAACAATTTTAGCAACAAACTAAATGACATAGTATTAGCTTATGGCACAAAGAATAGAATAAATATCTGTGAGCCCATACTGATTACATAAAATAAATGATTGAGTAAATCAATGGAGAACAAGTCTTTCTCACAGAAGAATTTGAAATAATATATGAGGACACTCCTGTTTTTAGAAGGTGGAGTTTAGTTCCTCCCTACCCTCTTTAATGACTCAGCCCCAAAGAATAAAATGTGAAAGGGAAAAATACTGAATGTGGAAAAACCTGGCAAATATCATAATTTATTAAACTAGCCTTCTGTTGATGGTCATTTAGGTTGTTTCTTATCTTTTAGTATTTGAATCTAGCAGTAAGTAAAAAAAGATAATATATCAGGACTGCATTGGATTTGTGCAAGATTGTCTTAACATTAATTGACCCCATTGACAGCTTAAGGGGAAAAAATGTGATCATCTCATTGGATACAGAAAAAGTAGTAGGTAAAATCCAATAGCCATTTATGACAAAAATTTTTAGCAAACTGGGAATAGAAGGGAACTTTCTTAAATGGCTGAAATATCAGCAGAGTTCTACAGTAAGTTTACTTAATGTTTAAATACTAAAAGCATTCCTTTCAAGAACAGAATAAGGATGCATGCTATCACTACTTCTATTCAATTATGGAGTTCCTAACTAGAATAATAAAACAGAAAATAAGAAAAATAGAAAAAATTATCACTTGTGGTTGGTAATTATTGTCTACATAGAAAATTCTCTATGTAGACAATAATTTTCTATGTAGATAATAACTACCAACTACAAGTGACAATTTTGTTTCTATTTTTCTTATTTTAGAATTAAGAAAGTTTGGGGCCAGGTGTAGTGGCTCACACCTGTAATCTCAGCACTTTGGAAGGCCAAGGTGGGAGGATCACTTGAGCTTAGGAGTTGGAGACCAGCCTGAGAGACATAGGAAGACCCCATCTTTACAGAAAAAATAAATTAGCCAGGCGTGGTGGTGCACACCTGTGGAAACAGCTACTTGGGAGGCCGATGTGAGAGGATTGCTTGAGCATGGGCAGTCGAGGCTGCAGTGAGCTGTGATCATGCAACTGCACTCCAGCCTGGGTGACAGAACAAGGCCCTGTCTCAAAAAAAAAGAGTTTGGAATGGTTAAAGGATATAAGACAAAAACAACAATAACAACAAAAAATGTATTTTAATACACCAACACCAAACTGTTAGAAAAGTAATTTAAAATAATTTAATATAGCAATGATAGAGTTGTGTCTACAAATATATGCAAGCCATTTATGTAGATATTTATAAAACTAAAAAAATTATGTGAATGGAGAGATACAGTATGTTGATGGATAGGATGGCAATATAATAATGATCTTAGTTGTCCTGATATTGCTCTGTAGATTAAATGTAGTTCTAGTCAGAATCCCAAAAGGTGGATCTTGGTTTTGCTTTTGGTAGAATATAAAAGGCACCAACGTGGCTGAATCTCAGAAATACAATGTTGAGCAAAATAAATCACGAAAATTGTGAAAGAATGTGTACATTGTGATTTCATTTTTGTAACATTCTAAAATGGTAAAACTAAGCAATTGGTAAAAAATATGAAGAAAAGAAAGAAAATTATTATCACAAATTAATTGTACCAGTTACTTCCAGGAAATTTAACTGACCAGGTTCTTACAGGAGGCTTCAGCAATATTGCCATTAGTTCTGTTCTTAAGTTGGGGATGAGGTAGATACATGGAATTTCATTTTGTATAACTATTACCATTCTGGAAGAAAACATTCAAACTGTTTTTCATCTGCTGTCACACTAACACAACAACAGTCAATACAGAAGACTTCTGTGACCCCAAAATATGTGGAGGTTTTTCCCCATCAGCAAGCAAGCAATCAGTTCTGCAGCAGATACCAGTTGGTTGTCCTCCAATTCAGTTCCAACACTGTCTACCTGGAGATAGTGTCAGATCCCACAGGTTGAGGGCTTAGTCTCCAAGACTGCCTCCTCCATTTTCAGACACCAGTCACGAGTCCTGACCTGTGGAACTTCTTACTGACTGGCTTCAGGTTGAGGTTTTCACATGTCCCACTTTGGGTTTGATTAGTTTACTAGCACAGCTCACCAAATTCAGGGAAACACTTACTTACATTTATCAATGTACTACAAAGGATTTTTTTTTTTTTTTTTTTTTTTTTTTTGAGACAGAGTCTCGCTCTGTCACCCAGGCTGGAGTGCAGTGGCACGATCTTGGCTCACTGCAAGCTCCGCCTCCCAGGTTCACACCATTCTCCTGCCTCAGCCTCCTGAGTAGCTGGGACTACACGCGCCGCCACCACGCCCAGCTAATTTTTTTTTTTTTGTATTTTTTAGTAGAGATGGGGTTTCACCATGTTAGCCAGGATGGTCTCGATCTCCTGACCTCGTGATCCACCCACCTCAGCCTCCCAAAGTGCTGGGATTACAGGCGTGAGCCACCGTGCCCGGCCAACAAAGGATTTTTTTGAAGGATACAAATTAACAGCCAAATGAAGAGATACATAGGGCAAGGTCTGGAAGAGTCCCCAGTGAGAGCTTCTGTCCCCATGGAGTTAGGGTGTGCCACCCTCACAGCATGTGGGTGCATTCTTGTTCACCCTCCTATCAGCCTCCATGTGATCAGCTCCCCAAAAGCCCCCATGGAGCCCTATCAATGGAGACTTCATTGGATAGGTATGATTGAAGTATGCGCAACTGTGTCAAAATGTGATTGAATGTAAAGGGTATGATCTAAACCCAGTAAGGCCTGTTTAGATTGTTCTTGACCCCTGTGCAGCATTCCTTCCTCCAGGATATGAGACAGAACCTCTCTGGAATGAGGGTCTTTTGACCCACAATCAGATGAGAGTTCTGCCTTGGGCAGATGAAAGGTGGGCAGGAGAAAGTCAGAGAGATTCTGTTTACTTCAACAAAGGCTATGGGAGTTATGAGCCAGGAATCGTGGAAAAAATCATTTTGTATATTTATATATCACACTGTTATTAGGTATGAAAACATCCTTCTTTCGCCCACTTTGATAAGAAATCTCCTATTAACTTATTTTTCTCAAACTTTTTATGTTGAAAGTTTGTAATAGTGCAGTAAAAACCATATATTCTTCACCTGAAGTCACTAATTGTTAATTCTTGCTCCATTGGCTTTATATTACTCTCATGCATTGCATTTAGATGCCATGTCTCTTCAGACTCCTTTAATTTGATACAGTTCCTCACCCAGCCAATTGTTTTGTACAATTTTCTTTAGTTCGAATTGCCTGACTTTTTCCTTATGCTTCAACTTGGGTTGAACATTTAAGTAGGAATCCTGCACAGGTGATGTTGTCTCTCTCAGGAAGCACATGATGTTGGTTTGTCCCATTACTAATGGTGTTAATTTGATCATTTGATTTAAGGTGTATCTGGCAGGTTTTTCCACTGTAAAGGAATCTTTTTTTTTTTTTTTTTTTTTTTTTTTTTGCGACAGAATCTCACACTATCGCCCAGGCTGGAGTGCAGTGGTGCGATCTCGGCTCACTGCAACCTCCACTTCCCGGGTTCAAGTGATTCTCCTGCCTCATTCTCAGCCTCCCTAGTAGCTGGGATTACAGGCAACTGCCACCATGCCCAGCTAATTTTTGTATTTTTAGTAGAGATGCAGAGACGCGGTTTTACCACGCTGGTCTCGAACTCCTGACCTCAAGTGATCCGCCCGCGTCGGCCTTCCCAAAAGTGCTAAGCCACTGCACCCAGCCCTGTTCTTCTTTTTTTTTTTTCCAACAGGAAGTTTATTTAAACACCAAGATGCTTGACTTGAAGGGAAAAATAGGATTTTTTTTTTTGAGTAATTTATCCCTGCTTAAAGACAGATTGCCCTATACGTAACAGCTACGCAGAAAAAGTTATAAAATTGTCTTTGGTTTTACATTGATAAATGAAAAACATTAAAATTCTCCAATTGAACAAGATATGCAGGGATTTTTATGGGGTTTTTGTTGTTGTTGTTGTTAAAACAGAGCAAAATAACTTACTGAAATGTAAAGATAGCTGAATGAACATGCCACTAATGGAGAAAGGGTATTTTCACAGAATCAGTATTTTTCCCCATCCCATCTCCACTTGATGTCAATCAGAACATACCATTGGCTATTTAGTTAAAAAAATGAAATATGCTTGTGCACATATACCAGTTACTTTGTGTACTGTAAAGGAATGGGGAAAGAGGAAAGGAAAGAATAGAGAAAACTAGTCATCAGGATGTGGTGGAATCAAATCGCCATTTTCTGATTGAGAATGTAAGCTTGGTCTGTAAGAACAGAATTCTGGAGTAAAGAAGCAGGTTCCCTTTTCGCTAGACACCTCGTCTGCTACTGGAACACATCCATTGTATCTTCAGCCTCCATTTCCAAATGTGCAGGTATGTCTGTTTCAGTGATTGATTGCCCATCAAATTGGAATCTCATCTGCCTCATTGACAATCCCTGTCATTCACAATAGTCTTTCATTAGTTTACCAAGTGGTGTATGCCTCTTAATCTTAAACTGCACCACAGAACCATTCTGCCCTGCCACCTTCAAGTTAATATGATCGTTGTTCTCAGTTTTGACTTCTTCCTTGGGCTTTTTGTTGGCCATGGTGACTGCCAGAGTCTCCTCAGCTGCCACTTCACAAAAGAGGTACCATGTCTGCACCAAGAGTGGCAAAAAGGAGGAGGTGGCAGTGGTGGACGAGGGAGAGCCACATATTCTGTTTCAGGTTACAGCAGCAAAGAAGGGCGATGAGAATATTTGCATTATACATAACCAAAGATGAAGAAGACTCTGCTAATGATTTAGTCCTTTCATCCACCCATTCTTTGGAGTACATTATTCTCAGGTTTAAAAATAAAATAAATGAATGAATTGTTCACCAGAGTTCTTTTTAAAAACCTGAAAGTAAATAGTGATACCTCTGTAAGCGTTTTGCTTCCTATAGTTTTAATTCAAGTGTTTTTTTTTTTTAAAAAAAAACCTAAGTATTGTAAAAGGTTTATGGATCAAATTTTGGATTTGTAATTTTTAAAACCAGTTTTCTCCAAAATGGAAGCAGCTTAACACTAAGCAGGATCTTTCTGGATATGAGTGATATTTTTGAATACTTACCAGTTTTTAATTGTCCATTGTTTCCTAAACTGTATTTTTAATTTCATTTGCTCTCTCCTAGGGAATGAAGGATGGCAGCATGCCGTGCATTAAAAGCTGTTTTGGTAGATCTCAGTGGCACACTTCACATTGAAGATGCAGCTGTGCCAGGCGCACAGGAAGCTCTTAAAAGGCAAGCTATCCTCCAGGTTCAGCTGACAAATATGTTTGTAAGTGCCATTTTACCACGGCAGATCATTAGCTAAATGGATGGCCTTAAGATGGCATTTTACCATCTTAACCATATATAGGAACTGCCTTGGGTTTAGCTAGAAGATGTATGCATTACAATTTCTTCCAAACATTGTTTTCTAAGCCTTTATTAGGTTTGGCCTTTTGATCCAGTCTTTTTGTTCTATATGTATGTCATTTTCTAAGTCAGTAATATAAATGTTGGAATGACAACTCAAGAGTCTACAATGTGGAATAAATATCATTGGAAAAAATCACAAATGAATCCTGGAATCACAAAATAAAACACACACAGACAGGCATAATGCTGCTCTTTCTTGTTTTACCTAGGATCTAACATCGATTGTGCAACTGCTCAAATAAAGTTTAGCTAAAGAACTTGAAATTTTTGTGTTATTTCCATCAACTAAACACTTTTAAAGGCTAAGGACTGTCTTATATTTCTCATGTACCAACCACAATACTAAACAGAAGTCTGGATACAAATGAGACACCTAGTAAAAGTATGTTAAAGTAAGCGGAATGTGAATGTTTGCTTCTGGGTGTCCTGAAAAAAAAATCAACTAATCACAACAGAACCAATAACATATATTAAGGATCTTTATCCTAAAATAATTTAGAGAAGTTTTCAAAATCAGCAATACTTAGTATGTGGTACATGTTTTCCAACCTTAAAATGTTCATAGTATGGTGTTAATCAGAAAATCTAGTGACTCATAGGCCAGGCGCGGTGGCTCACGCCTGTAATCCCAGCACTTTGGGAGGCCGAGGCGGGTGGATCACCTGAGGTCGGGAGTTCGAGACCAGCCTGACCGACATGGAGAAACACCGTCTCTACTAAAAATACAAAATTAGCCGGGCATGGTGGCACATGCCTATAATCCCAGCTACTAGGGAGGCTGAGGCAGGAGAATCACTTGAACCTGGGAGGCGGAGGTTGCGGTGCGCTGAGATCGTGCCATTGCACTCCAGCCTGGGCAACAAGAGTGAAACTCCGTCTCAAAAAAAAAAAAAAAAAAAAGAAAAAATCTAGTGACTCATATCACAGTGCCAGGTATTAGGGCAAAAGATTGACACAAACCTCACTTTCTTTCAAGGAGCTTACCTTTCATTTGGGGAATCAAGAAATACATACTTATATATCTGGCAGGCATCAGTTGGGAGTTACCAATTTAGTTAGGAGTCATGATGTTCATTTTATAGGTGGAGAAGCAGTGGACAACATGTTGTTTAAAGTAAAAAAAAAATCTGTTGCACGGTTGGACTTTATCTTGACTCCTTAATAGGGGAATGGATGTCTGTTAATCAGTGTGCTCTTGTTGGACAGAGCTTTTACTGCTTTACAGATGAGCTTTCTACTGTAGATTGAAAGAAAAATCTTTTTACATCTGGTGAACAATGACATCTCTAAGTAGCTATGTAAACTGTAAACCTGCCATTCTGGAGGGGCAAGAGGCTACACATTGTCATGTTGCTGGCCATAAAAACATTTGGCACAGTTTTAACAAATTAGGAGATTTTATAGGGCCAGAATGTAAAAGCTGCCTTTTGACTTCTGAATTTGGCCCTCTCCAGGTTACGTGGTGCTTCTGTAATCATTAGGTTTGTGACCAATACAACCAAAGAGAGCAAGCAAGACCTGTTAGAAAGGTTGAGAAAATTGGAATTTGATATCTCTGAAGATGAAATATTCACATCTCTGACTGCAGCCAGAAGTTTACTAGAGCGGAAACAAGTCAGACCCATGCTGCTAGTTGATGATCGGGCACTACCTGATTTCAAAGGTAGGGGAAATTTGGAAAATTTAAAGATTGGATATTTATATGTACTTACAAATCATTTTTAAAACTGGATGTTTAGAGATGTTTATTCTGATTTCCCCGTTTTTCTTGAAATATTTGATAATACTGATATTTTGAATCTAAATTGGCATTTCCCAAACCTTTTTTTGACTGTAATCCACAGTAAGTGAAACACATTACATAGTAACCTAATACATATCTATATGTGTGTCTTTATGTAAGTTAAGCAATACTTACTCTTGCTGTATAACATGCATTCTATTTTCTTTTTGGTTTGATTGTTTGATTATGATGCTGTTTAGAGCCCTCCAAATTAGTTTTACAGTCTAATAATAGATCACGACCCGTGGTTTGAAAAAACACAGATCATAAAACCATAAAAACCCTAGAAGAAAACCTAGGCAATACCATTCAGGACATAGGCATGGTCAAGGACTTCATGTGTAAAACACCAAAAGCAATGGCAGCAAAAGCCAAAATTGACAAATGGGATCTCATTAAACTAAAGAGCTTCTGCACAGCAAAAGAAACTACCATCAGAGTGAACAGGCAACCTACAGAATGGGAGAAAATTTTTGCAATCTGCTCATCTGACAAAAGGCTAATATCCAGAATCTACAAAGAACTCAAACAAATTTACAAGAAAAAAACAACCCCATCAAAAAGTGGGCGGAGGATATGAACAGACACTTCTCAAAAGGAGACATTTATGCAGTCAAAAGACACATGAAAAAATGCTCATCATCACTGGCCATCAGAGAAATGCAAATCAAAACCACAATGAGATATCATCTCACACCAGTTAGAATGGCGATCATTAAAAAGACAGGAAACAACAGATGCTGGAGAGAATGTGGAGAAATAGAAACACTTTTACACTGTTGTTGGGACTGTAAACTAGTTCACCATTGTGGAAGACAGTGTGGCGATTCCTCAAGGATCTAGAACTAGAAATACCATTTGACCCAGCCATCCCATTAAAGGACTATAAATCATGCTGCTATAAAGACACATGCACACATATGTTTACTGTGGCACTATTCACAATAGCAAAGACTTGGAACCAACCCAAATGTCCATCAATGATAGACTGGATTAAGAAAATGTGGCACATATACAGCATGGAATACTATGCATCCATAAAAAAGGATGAGTTCATGTCCTTTGTAGGGACATGGATGAAGCTGGAAACCACCATTCTCAGCAAACTATTGCAAGGACAGAAAACCAAACACTGCATGTTCTCACTCATAGGTGGGAATTGAACAATGAGAACACATGGACACAGGAAGGGGAACATCACACACTGGGGCCTGTTGTGGGGTGGGGGGAGTGGGGAGGGATAGCGTTAGGAGATATACCTAATGTAAATGACGAGTTAATGGGTGCAGCACACCAACATGGCACATGTATACATATGTAACAAACCTGCATGTTGAGCACATGTACCCTAGAACTTAAAGTATAATAATGGAAATAAAAAAACGAACACAGGTCAAAATTACTTTGAGTATTATAAGCTAATCCTCAATGCAGGCACCACTAAATTAACTTGATTAAATGAGATACACCAGGACCTCTTTGTTTAAAGTAGATGTTATTCTGGATAGTGTGAAGTTTTTACATTGAACATGAAATATTTTTCAATCAAGAAAAAAGTGTTTCTCTTTGGAAAAGTCAACCGATTCTGAAAGAATATGATAGTTTTATGAAGCTTTGCCACATTGCTTCTTTTCAGAGAGGATACTTAGAGTGCAATGGCACAATATAGAAAATGGAGTTTATAAGTTCAGCATGGCTATAGAGTTGGGCAGACCTCAAAACTAGTACTAATAGGAAATATGCCAATGTATCAATCAGAATTATTATTTGCAAGAAACAGAAACCAACTTTGCTGAATTAAACAGAAAATAAATTTACTAAAAGCATCTGAGTGCTGACAGGAATATAAAATGACACAAAGCCTATGGAGAGGAATTTGGCAGTAGCTAGCAAAATTACATATGAAGCAGCACTTGTAGGAATCTATCTCTAAAATATAGATACAAAAATACACAATGACATGAACAAGGTTATTCATTACTACCTTATTTGTAATAACGAAAGATTGGAAACAACCCAAATATTCATCAGAAGGAACTGATTGAATAAACTGTGATATATTCACAAAATGGAATGCTTTGTAGCTGAAAATTAAATAATGATGAAAAGTTCTATCTCTTGATAAAGAGTGCTCTGCATAGGATATATTAAATGAAAAAAGTAAGATGTAGAAATCTTTACACATTTTCTGTATAGGAAAATGAGAAGAAAATGGATATACATATGTATTTGTCTTATATTTGTAAAAAGAAGCCAAAGAAGGATAAATGAAAAACTAATAAAAATGGTTACCTAAAGGGGAAGCAAGGGAAGAGGGGATGGATCAAGATAGGAGGCTTTTAAAAAAGTCCCCATTACATAATTTTGACTTTGGAACCATGTGAATATTGTATACAATGAAAAGACGATTAAGTGAAAAACCAGCCTCCAAATAGAAATGAACTTAGGTCTGTATGAGGTTGGTGGCATAACCACTCAGAGAAAAGAATTACTTCAAATGACTTTAAAGTACAGTATTTTGACCTGTTCATTCATAGTGGGATAAATTCTAAGGACAAAAGAACTACAAAGAGATCTTAAACTGCGTTCAGGAGTCTTATTGTTATTAGTAATACTGGTATTTTTTTTAATTAAAGGTATATATAGGAAAAAGCAAAGTAGTAACTATTAGATTTTAGTGTCAGTGAAAAGAGATGCAATAATAAAAATCAAGTAAGTTAAATACAAGCTGTGTATGACTACTTTTGAATAGGAAATACAGTTACGAACTCCTTTTTTCTTTTAAATAATACATATTATGTAATCTTCCACTGGAAAAGCCTAAAGTAATGACAACCCAGTGCTCAGACTGTGGTATCTACTGTCAATTCCCACTGTAGTTCTTTGGAGAAATTACTGATTTCAGATCTGGACAGGCATGGTATGAGTCTGGAATAGCTTATTGTGTTAGCAAAGAAACTACTGGAGAATACTCATGGCTACTGGTAAGGAGGAAGTTGGAAAGCCTGGATATCTGCAGCCAATAAGAGAGGCAAATAGGAATTGGCATATGGATAATCCATGGAACCTTTAATCAGACCTTTAATAATGGTATGGAGAGGCTGGGTGTGGTGGCTCACATCTGTAATCCTAGCACTTTGGGAGGCTGAGGCGGGTGGATCACCTGAGGTCAGGAATTCGAGACCAGCCTGACCAACATGGAGAAACCCCGTCTCTACCAAAAATACAAAATTAGCCGGGTGTGGTTGGCACATGCCTGGAATCCCAGCTATTCTGGAGGCTGAGGCAGGAGAATTGCTTGAACCTGGGAGGCGGAGGTTGTGGTGAGCTGAGATCGCACCATTACACTCCAGCCTGGGCAACAAGAGCAAAACTCCGTCTCAAAAATAAATAAATAAATAAATAAAGTTGTAATGGAGAATGTACTCGTTTGATTGTCATGTCTGAAGTTCTGTTATAAGATGCCAAGGCCTTAAAACATACTTTAATTTTAAAATAATATTTCTGAAACTAAAAGTAGATAAGGCATTATGCAGAAAACTGTAGACTCTGCAGTGCATTTCATATTAATCATGAATGTGTTAACCTCAGTTGTGTCAATTAGAAAGTCTAATTTCCCTTGCCTCTTAGATTCTCAGTCCCTCATCAGTTGCTATCGATCTGATAGTTCATAGGGAACTCATGGCAGTTATTGTTGATTGTAATCAGTAAAGCATTTTGAAGTTAGAAATTGTCATTTGTTTGAGGACATCAGGTTACAATTTTCAATTCAGATCTTCTGGTTACTTAGTACCCTTAAGACTGTGCACAAGGAATATGGAAAAATATTAGATTTTCTCTCTTTTTCCCTCCCAACCCCCATCTCCCTCTCCCTCTCCTTCTGTGTACTCTCTTATACTTCCAAAGTACACTGGGCAGGATAATCTATTAAATTTTAAATTATGGATACAGCAAAAGTTTGCACTTGATTGACTAAGACTACTTTTTTAAAATGTGACATTGCTTTTAATTGCATTTGCAACAATCATTTTTTTTTTCCGTTCCCAGGAATACAAACAAGTGATCCTAATGCTGTGGTCATGGGATTGGCACCAGAACATTTTCATTATCAAATTCTGAATCAAGCATTCCGGTAAACCTAGCTATTTATTTTTCATCTGATCATAATAGTTCCCTTCTTCCTTTCCTTTTGTCATTGTCATGAATGGGTTTATGTGTTTTACTTTCTGGCCACCTAAATTGTACATTAGGATAGACATCTTCAAGATCAGCATCAAATAATATGTATTACTATCTTGACTTTTTTGTGTGAGTAGTATGTTTTTTGTTTTTATTTTGTTTTTGAGATGGCATCTCACTCTGTCGCCCAGGCTGGAGTGCAGTGACATCATCATGGCTCACCACAGCCTCGATCTCCCCAGGCTCAGACTTAGGTGCTCCTCCTATCTCAGTTTTTGTATTTTTAGTAGAGACGGGGTTTCGCCACGTTACTCAGGGAGGTCTCCAACTCTTGGGCTCAAGCAATCTGCCCACCTCAGCCTCTCAAAAGTGCTGGAATTACAGGCGTGTGCCAGCACGCCCGAGCAGCAGTTTTATCTTTTATTATTACTCCTATGATTCTCTACTGACTATGCTAATCTCCAAAGGAAAACAGTATCCAGGCTGATCCACCAAAAACAATAAATGCGATTCTACCTCCAGTGAGAATCCAGGTTATGGAAAAGAGTTGACACATTTGACCACACTTTAAAATAAATTATTTGATGAGTGGTAATGATACGGTGAACTGGAATAGTGGCAGTGGAGATGAAGAAAAACAGATTCAGAGACCATCAGCATGTCTTACTTTTGAGTTTAGTCAGTGAAGTAGAAGAGTGAGTCAAGGATACATTGAGATTTCTAATCTGAGCAAGTAAGAGAGAACCCTTGGTTTGGGATTTAAGAGGTGATGAGTTTAGGTTTGGTCTATGGGATATTCAAGCAGAGAGACATCAGTGGCTGTGGGTAGAAGTAGAACTAGTATATAAGATATTATAAATCTTCAGTTAATGTGTGCATTTCACTTAAATGAACTATTTTGCTGCTACTTCTAAAAGGAAGGCTGCATACTTGTTCTTGTACTTCCCAAGATAAATTGGATCAGAATTTACCTGCAGATCTGCCGTAGAATGAGATTGTGACTTTTCTTTGGATTTTGTAATTTTTCATGTCTTGCCTTTTATTTCTTGTCAAACCATTAAACAGTATAATTTACCTTTGGATGTATGTCAAGTATATAGTTCAAAATATTGCATATTGGACTAGCTTAGAAAATTTTTCTTTAATAGCCTGGTAAAGTTTTTGTATTTAACTGCAAGAATGCTATAAAAAAAAAACAAACCAGAATTTTCTTACCAGTGCAAGGATCTGTAAGAACCATTCTAACTTATACATTATGTAGAATTCATTTCTTCATGTATATACTACAGAAATAGAATGTTTATAGGAAACTAAAACTCACTACCCAGGTTCACACATTTGGGCACATTGTTTGCTGTTCATCTTGAAAATGACTGCCCTCATGTAAAATCTATGTGGCCAGAAATAGCAGTTTGAGAACAGCCACCGTTTACCGTGTGTGCACATTAATTTTAGATTCTTGGTTAATGGAAACCACAACTACTTAATGCACTTTTATTTGTGACTCTAGTCACTGTGATAGTCAAGCTCTTGTTTAAAAGGAGCAAACTCACTTTTTATAGTTGCCCAGTATCTATTTACTGTAATTATTTCCTGGACATCCACTGTTAACGTCAGATCACTTGGAGATGTACTTCAGTGTATATGGTGTTAAAATTACTTTTGCTTCCCCTGCCTTTTCAATTATCCTACTTTGGCCTTTGGTTGAGGAGGGAGAGACTATGCCATCTGCTCCTTAAGTAAGTTCTACAACTATACCAATATCAGTTTTCATTTGAAACGGAATCTGCTATTATTTTTTCTGAATTTACTTCTACTACTTTTCACTCATTTATTTAACCACAGAATTCAAGGAGAAGATATTGATTAATTTTAGCTGGCAATTTGGGAAGGACATATTTAATAGGAAATTGGGAGGTCTCTGTCTTAATGAATACTAGACTCAGGGAAATAAAAATGTATGTTGACATAATACTGACTTTGTAATTGCTCGGATGCTGTCTAATTAGTACACTTTCCTAACCATATTGATTTTTTATAAACTTAAAACATTACAGTGCACTTATAGGTCAACTCTAATTTCACAAATGCACTTAACAGCTGGATGGAGAGTTAACAGAAGGATTTTAGGTCTTCCCTTTTTGCATATTGATGTTTCCACAGGGACTGCCTTCCAACCAATGACTGCAGCTGTATGGATTGTATGTGGCAAATACAGACATCTTAAATGAACCACCGATTAGTTAAATTACTGTTTAGGCTGATAATGACAATAAACATTGGATTTTAAAGCCCATTGCATGCTGGCTTCAGAGGCATGTTACATCAAGGCAGATACATCAAACTTCACATTATGCTGCATCTTATTTACTGTGTTTTTAGTGGATAGCACCCCACAAAAACGCATAGTACAGCCTTTCTACAAATATCTTTTAAATGCCTGAACGGAATTGAGAATTGTGGTTGGTTTTTTTTTTTTTTTTTTTGAGACCAAGTCTCGCTCTGTCATCCAGGCTGGAGTGCAGTGGTGTGATCTCGGCTCATCTCGAAAAACAAAAAAACCCAAAGTTTGAGCATTTAAGTAATGGACCAATTATAATTGAACTCAATGATTACTATTAGGAGGAAGACAAACAAGTCACTTATAATCCAACCTGAACTTAGTATTAACAAGACTAAAAATATCTAATCACAAAATTAATATATCCTCATCGTGGAAAAGTTTAAATGCTCAAGAAAGAATAAACTAAAAATTACCTGTAACGCTGCCACCTAAAGAGAACGACAGTTAACATTTTAGCACATAGCCAGTTTCTTTGTTTCTATACACATACATGTTTACACAAAATTTATAATGTGTATATACTATATAGTAACATGCTTTTTAAAAACCTAATGTATTGTGCATGCTTTGTCATGTTCCTAAATATTATTCTAAAACCTATTTAATTCCTACAATATACTCTATTTTAAGAAGCACAATGAATTGCTTTGCCACAAGTTCCTATTGCTGTTGGTATTGCAGGTTTTTTTTTTGAGACGGAGTCTTGCTCTGTCACCCAGGTTGGAGTGCAGTGGTGCGATCTTGGCTCACTGCAAGCTCCGCCTTCCGGGTTCATGCCATTCTCCTGCCTCAGCCTCCCAGGTAGCTGGGACTACAGGTGCCCACCACCACGCCCAGCTAATTTTTTGTATTTTTAGTAGAGACGGGGTTTCACCATGTTAGTCAGGATGGTCTCGATCTGACGTCGTGATCCACCCGCCTCAGCCTCCCAAAGTGCTGGGATTACAGGCGTGAGCCACTGCTCCTGGCTGGTATTCCAGGTTTTTGAAATTCATTTTAAAAAACTCCTGAGAACATGTTTGTTGAGCAGTATTTATGCTTTCTTTATGATTTTTTTTTTCAGAAGTATAGTTGCCAGGCAAAGGAATTTTGGGGAAAAAAACTACATGGAATTACTTAGCCTAGGAAACGTTTGAGGCCTTTTTTCCCTATATTAAGAAACTGCTCTCCATCTCCTAGAGTAGCTTATTAAAATATCGTTATACCTGAAGAGAAATGGCATCACAACTTTCATGTTTAAATTTATAGATGAAGCCTTTTTAAGAATAATGTATTTGAAGTTTTGTTAATAACATTCTTCCCATAATTGCTGTAGAGTTTGAGAGTCCTCCAAAAGTCTTAGAGATGTGCAGAATTTTTTTTTTTAATTTTTCAGGATGAGCTTCTTACCACTATAAGAAGTCTTTGTTGACTGTTGGATTGCTTGCTTTCCCCCATCTCCTTCTTAAGGAAAAATTACAAGTTTAATTACTCTGGTATATTAAATCCTTAGTAAAGGGAAGAAAAGAAAGAAAGAACAAGACAAACAGACAGTAATGGCCTCAGTACTGCATTTGTACGCTAACTCCTGAATATTTCCTAAGTACTTAGAGCCCTGAGCATGAGGAATCCCAGAACAGTGTAGCAGCAGGGCTCAAATTAGAAATATATCTATGGGCTTTTCCCATTTTTGAAAGGGTTGACTGCTATGCAGTGTTCTTAATTAAAGTCCAGACTCTAAAATACTACTTTGGAGGTGAGAAATTGTTTAAGACTTCAGAACTTGAGATGTTTAAAGCATTTCATTAGTGTATGTAGGAGAAGTTTATATGCAGATCTGAAAATCATAGGATACAGAATTGAGTATCAGAATCACTGCTCTTATTTTGTAGTTTGAGGATATATTTAGCAGGCAGCTCCTGCTACTCTAAATATGATTTGTTTACGTGAACAAACCATAAAAATATATTCTGTTACTGATTTTTCTAAACTGAGGTAAACATGCACTGTAAGTTATACAGATTTTAAGTATACAACTCAATACAATTTTACACATAGATATACCTATGTAACCCCCATTTGGTGATCAAGATATAGAACATTTTCAGCATCCTTGGTGGCTCCCTTTCCCAGTCACTACCACTCCTTCCCCAGGATAACCACTGCTCTGACTTCTATAATTATTGCCATTTCTTAATCTTCATATGAATGAAATCATAGAATTATAGCATTTTTTGGTCTGCTTTTGAGATTTATCCAAGTTTTTGCGTGTACCAGTACTTTGGTTTTTATTTTGCTTCTTTGTTTTTGTTGTTGTTTTGTATAGTAGTAGTGTATTATATGAATATTCCACAATTTATTTATTCATTCTGCTGTTAATGGACATGGGTTGCTTCCAGTTTGGGCTGTTATGAATAAAACTGCTGTGAACATTCTTGTATATGTCTTTTGGGGGACATGTGCATTCAGTTCTCTTGGGTACATATCTAGAAGTGAAATTGCTAGATAGTACGATAGGTAATTGTTTAGTTTTAGTAAATATCGCCAAACAGTTTTCCAAAGTGATTGTACCAAGACATACATTCTTGCTAGCTACAAATGAGAGTTCCAATGCTCTATATTCTCTATTTAATAGTAGCTATTCTGTTTGGTGTATATAGTGGTATCTTTACTGAGTTCCTATTTGGTTTTTTTTTGTTGTTATTTTTTTCAAAGACAGGGTCTTGCTCTGTCACCCAGGCTAGAGTGCAGTGGCACTATCATAGCTCACTGTAGCCTCAAACTCCTGGACTCAAGAGGTCCTCCTGCCTTAGCCTCCCAAGTAGCTAGGACTACAGATGTGTGCCACTACACCTGGCTAATTTTTAATTCGTTTTTGTAGTGGGGTTTTGCTGTGTTGCTGGCTGTTCTCAAACTCCTGATGTCAAGTGATCATTGTGCCCTAGTCTCTCAAAGTGCTGGGATTACAGGTGTGAGCCATTGCATCCAGCCTCAGTTTCAATTTGTATTTCTCTGATGAGTAATGCTGTTGAAACTTTTTCATATACTTATTAGCCATTTGGATATCTTTTGTTGTGATGCACCCATTCAAATCTTTTACGTTTTCTGATTGGGATGTCTTTTTCTTACTGATTTGTCAAAGTTGTTTTTTTTTTTTTTTTTTTTTTGAGTCAGAGTTTCACTCTTGTTGCCCAGGTTGGAGTGCAATGGTGTAATCTCGGCTCACTGCAACCTCTGCCTCCCGGGTTCAAGCAATTCTCCTGTCTCAGCCTCCCGAGTAGCTGGGATTACAGCCATGCACCACCACGCCTGGCTAATTTTGTATTTTTAGTAGAAACAGGGTTTCTCCGTGTTGGTCAGGCTGGTCTCGAACTCCCGACCTCAGGTGAGCCACCCGCCTCGGCCTCCCAAAGTGCTGGGATTACAGGCGTGAGCCACTGCGCCCGGCCTTAGAGTTCTTAATGTGTTATGTCTTACAAGACTTTGGTTGAATATATGTACCACAGATATCCCTATCTTTGATTTGCCTTTTCACTCTCTTAATAGTATGAGAAGATCAGGTTCTTAATTTTGATGTAGTTCAATTTGTCAGTATTTTCTTCTGTTTTGTTTAAGAAATCTTTGCTTACCCCAAGGTGATGAAGATATTTTCCTGTGTTTTCTTCTGTAAGCTTTATTGTTTTACTTTTAGCAATTAGGTGTAGAATCTATTTTGAATTAATTTTTGTGAATTGTGTGAAATAGAAGTTCATTTTTATCTGTGTATACTCAGTTGTTCCAGCAACACGTATTGCAAAGACCCATTCTTCCCCCATTGATTTGCAATTGTGCTTTTGACGTAAATCAAGTGACTAGATTCTTTATCTATACTTTTGCCATTCATACTGTCTTGATTATTGTAGCTTCATAATAAGCCTAAATATCTGGTAGTGTACATCCTCCAACTTTATTATTTAAGATTGTCTTGGCTATTCTACCTCCTTTGGATTTCCACACAGATTTTGAAATCAACTTTGAAGTCACAAACAAAGCCTGCTGGGAGTTTGATCCTTCCTTAAATCTATGGATTTGGACAGTATGTACATCTGTACAATAATATATCTTCCAGTCTATGAAAATAAAATGTATCTCTATTTAGTTTTTTTTTGTTTCGTTTTTGTTTTTTTACATTTGCTGTCATCAGTGTTTTATAGTTTTTAGAATGTGGGTCTTAGACATTTTGTTAAATTCTTGTCTTTCATGTTGTTTGATGGTATTGTAAATTGTATTTTTGTTTTTGTTTTTCTGAGACAGAATTTCACCCTTGTTGCCCAGGCTGGAGTGCAATGGCATGCTCTCAGCTCACTGTAACCTCTGCCTCCCAGGTTCAAGCGATTCTTCTGCCTCAGCCTCCCAGTAGCTGGGAGTACAAGCATGCGCCACCATGCCTGGCTAATTCTTGTATTTTTAGTAGAGATGGGGTTTTGCCATGTTGGTCAGGCTGGTCTCAAACTCTTGACCTCAGGTAATCCACCCACCTCGGCCTCCCAAAGTGCTGGGATTACAGGTGTGAGCCACTGTGCCCGGCCTTGTATTTTGCTAAATTTCATATTTATTTGCTTATTGCTAATACATAGAAAGCTAATTGGGTTTTTGTATGTTAATCTTCTGTCCAGCAGTCTTCTTCCATTTACTTGCTAATTCTAATAAATTTTTGTATTAATAGAATCTTTTGGATTGCATTTTCTATATAGACAATTGTAGACAATAATGACAATTTTAATTGTCTCCTTCTAGAGTTAAATTTCTTTTTATTTTTCTTGCTATGTTACACTGTCTGGGACTCCTAGTGCACTCCTAATAAACATGGTGATAGTAGATAGCCTTATCTTACTTCTAAATTCAGGGGTAGAACTTTCAGTATTTTACCACTTTGAGTATTTCTTACTAGGTCAGTAAGCTATGTTTGTTTTTAATCCCAAAGACTTCAAAACTTTTTTTTTTTAAATTCTGATTATAACTAGAAATAGCAGTGTTGAAGTTGTCTTAGATCTTCTATTTTAATTTTTCATTTCATCTTTCACTTTGGATGTGTAGTATTCGTAGATTTTTATTTTATGTGGAACATTGAGTCTTTACAAACTCACTACATTTTTTTCAGTAATTAATAAGAGAATTACTGTGCCAGTGTGACATTGGAGGTATTTTGGGGTTTCAATTAATTAAATGTTAGTGGGATTTTCCTTTCGTGTTTTTCATGATTCACTAGTTTTAGTTTGAACTTTTGATAGTTTATGTCTGTTGAGTTGATTGGTATTACTTTTAAGTGTGTTGAATGTTAACACTTTGGCATTACTTTAGTTTAGCGGTTCTCAATCAGGGACAGTTTTGCCCCCTAAGGAATATTTTGGTAAGGTTTGGAGACATTTTTGGTTGTCATAACTGAGGGAGAGGGGTGGTGGTACTGGCACATGATGGGTAGAGGCCAGGGATGCTGTTAAACATCCTATATACATAGGTCAGCCCCCACAGCAGGCATTTTCTGGCCTAAAATAGTGCTGAAAAGCCCTGAACTAGTTTACTGCTTCATTTGAAACTGAAGCTCACAAATGTGAAGTGACTCGCCATTATTTATTTTTAGTATAGTTACTATACTTCCTACATTTATGAATAAAAATAGTTGTCATAGGTCAGGACACTGAGGCATGCAGAGGTTCATCCATGATTTAATTTATTGAATAAACATTTAGCAAAAGGTACCAGGCCTTATTTTTTTTAAGTAGGGAATTCAGTGATGAGTACAACTGATGGGCATTATGGAGACTGTTCTAGTGAGGAAGACAGACCAAACACAATAGGATAAGGATTACCAATCATGCCAAGTGATATGAAGGAAAAAAGGGGTTGAAATAGTTACCAAATGTGAGGAGGAAGTCCACTTTATTTAAAGAGAGATTAAAAATGACTTCTTTGATTTGCTGACATTTAAGCTGAAACCTGACAAATGAGTGGAAGAAATCTATGTGAAAAGTATGGGGAACCATTTCAGGAGGAGGGGGCACCATATGGGGGCTGAAGCAGGAAAGAGCTTGACATTTTTTGAGGAAATGAGAACAAAGTATTGTGGCAGGAGCTCAGTCAATAATGGGAAAGGTAACTTGAGAGTGGAGATGCGGGGTTGGGGATAGATAGGGCAAGGCTTTCGAGACTGTGCTAAGGACTTTGGATTTTATGCTGGTTGCCATGAGAAGCTATTAAAGAATTTTGAGCAGGGGAGGGACATGATCACATCTATTTGCACTTTTCAAAACTCCTGCTATTGCTTATACAATGGATTGGAGTAATAGGTCAAGAGAAAAATGCAGGAAGACCAGTTGTAAGGCTGTTACAGTTCAGGTGAAAGAGTAAGACAATTTTGAGATATTTTAATTTTTGTTCAAAATTGGAAATTACTGGATTTCCTAGTGAATAGGGATGTGGAGGTGGTGGGAGAAATTGAGAAATCAAGTATGACTGATAGGGTTCTGGCTTGAGTAACTGGAGAAATTACAGAGATGGGAAAGATTGGGAAAGAAACACTTTTGGGGAGTGGGGTGAGAGGGACTTACCAGTTTGACGTTGGACATATGGTAGGTGTTTGACCAGTACTTAATCTGCAGTATAATTTCATTTCCACATGCTTCATCTTCAGGGGAAATGGTTATTTAGAAAGACAGCGTCGTGTTCAGGCATACCTCTTTTTATTGCACTTTGCATTATCGCGCTTCACTTGCATTTTTTTTTTTTTTAACAAACTGATTTTGTGGTAACCCTACATTGAGCAAGTCATCGGCACCATATTTCCAACAGTATGTGCTCACTTTGTGTCTCTGTGTCACATTTTGGTAATTCTTGGCAATATTTCAAACTTTTCATTATTATTATGTGTTGTGGTGATCAGTGATCTTTGGTGTTACTGTTGTAATTGTTTTGGGCAGCCACAAACCATGCCCATGTTAAGATGGCAAATTTAATGTTGTGTGTGTTCTGACCGCTTCACCAGCCAGCTGTTCTAACTCTCTCCTCTCCTCTGGCCTCCCTATTCCCTGAGACACAATGATGCTCAGATTAGGCCAATTGATAACCCTACAGTGGCCCCTGAGTGTTTAAGTGAAAGGAAGAATCATACATCTCTTACTTAAAATCAAAAGCTAGAAATGAGTAAGGCAAGTAAGGCATGTCGAAAGCCGAGATAGGCTGAAAGCTAGGTCTCTCGTGCCAAATAGCCAAGTTTTGAATGCAAAGGAAAGTTCTTGAAGGAAATTAAAAGTGCTACTCCAGTGAGCACACAAATGATAAGAAAGCAAAACAGCCTTATCACTAATACGGAGAAACTTTTGTGGTCTGGATAGAAGCTCAAACCAGCCACAAAATTCCCTTAAGACAAAGCCCTAACTCTTCAGTTCTTTGAAGACTAAGAGAGATGAGGAAGCTACAGAAGAAAAGTTTGAAGCTAGCAGAGGATGGTTCATGAAGTTTAAGGAAAGAAGCTGTCTCCATAAACTTGCATTAAAGTGCAAGATGAAGCAGCAAGTGCTGATGTAGAAGCTACAGCATGTTATCCAGAGATCTAGCTAAGATCATTGATGAAGGCGTCTACACTAAACAACAGATTTTCAGTGTAGATGAAACAGTCTTACATTGGAAAAAGATGCCACCTAGGACTTTCATTGCTAGAGAGGAAAAGTCAGTGCCTGGCTTCAAAGCTTCAAAGGACGGGCAGTCTATCTTGTTAGGGGCTAATGCAGCTGGTGACTTTAAGTTCAAACCTGTGCTCTATAAATGGAATAACAAAGCCTGAATGGCAGCACATCTGTTTACAGCATGGTTTATTGAATGTTCCAAGACACTATTGAGACTTACAGGTCAGAAAAATAGATTCCCATCAGAATATTACTGCTCATGGACAAAGCAACTGGTCACCCAAGAGCTCCGCTGGAGATGTACCAGGAGATCAATGTTGTTCTCATGCCTGTTAACACAACACCCATTCTGCCACCCATGGATCAGGGAGTCGTTTTGACTTTCAAGTCTTACTATTTAAAAAATATATTTTGTAAGGCCATAGCTGCCATAGACAATGATTTCCTCTGGTGGATCTAGGCAAAGAAAATTGAAAACCTTCTGGAAAGGATTCAACATTCTAGATGCCATTAAGAACATTTGTGGTTCATGAAAGGTCAAAATGTCAACATCAACAGGAGTTTGGAAGAAGTTGATTTTAACCCTCATGGATGACTTTGAGGGGTTCAAGACTTCAGTGAAGGAAGTAACTGCAGATGTGGTGGAAATAGCAAAACAACTAGAATTAGAAGTAGTGCCTGAAGATGTTACTGAATCGCTGCGATCTCATGATAAAACTTGAATGGATGAGAAGTTGCTTCTTTTGGATGAACAAAGAAAGTGGTTTCTTGAGATGGAATCTACTCCTGGTGAAGATGCTTCGAACGTTGTTGAAATAACAACAGAAGATTTATAATATTACATAAACTTAACTGATAAAGCAGCAGAAGGGCTTGAGAGGATTGATTCACAATTTTGAAAGAGTTTCTGTTGTGAATACTGTGAAACAACATCACATACTACAGAGAATTCTTTCATGAAAGGAAGATTAAACTGATGCAGCAAGCTTCATTGTTGTCTTATTTTGAGGCATTGCCACAGTGACTCAACCTTCAGTGACTACCACCCTGATCCGTCAGCAGCCATCAACATCGAGGCAAGGCCTTCTGCCCACAAAAAGATTATGACTCCCTGAAGGCTCAGATGATTGTTAGCATTTTTCAGCAATAAAGTATTTTTAAATTAACACACATACTTTTTTTTAGACACAATGCTGTTGCACACTTAATAGACTATGGAAAACCAAAATTTATGTGACTCGCTTTATTGCGATACTTGCTGTATTGCAATGGTCTGCAGCTGAATCCAAAATATCTCATAGATATCCCTGTATTTGGAAGAATCCCAGATTGGTTTTCAGGTTCCAGCTTCCAGCACTGGTTCTAGCTCTCCTTGATTGGTGCCAGCATCTCAGATGATCTCATCTGTAAAATGGGGCATGTTGGACTTGATGTTCCTTTGGGTCTCTTTCAGTAATATTCTGTGGCTCTAAATTTATTTTAAATTCCGGGGTACAAGTACAGGATGTGCAGAGTTGTTACATAGGTAAACGTGTGCCATGAAGATTTGCTGCATCTATCAACCCATCACCTAGGTATTAAGCCCGGTAGGCATTAGCTATTTTTCCTGATGGTCTCCCTCCCCTGCAGTCCCAACAGGCCGGAGTCTGTGTTGTTCTCCTCCCTGTGTCCATGTCTTCTCATTGCTCGGCTCCCACTTATAAGTGAGAACATGTAGTGTTTGGTTTGCTGAGGGTAATGGCTTCTAGCTCCATCCGTGTCCCTGCAAAGGGCATGACCTAATTCCTTTTTATTGCCGCATAGTATTCCATGGTGTATGTGTACCACATTTTCTTTCTCCAGTCTATCACTGACGGGCATTTGGGTTGATTTCATGTCTTTTCTTTTGTGACTAATGCTGCAGTGAACATATGCATGCATGTATCTTTATAATAGAATGATCTATATTCCTTTGGGTAATCTAATGGGATTACTGGGTCAGATGGTATTTCTGGTTCTAGGGCTTTGAGGAATTGTGTGGCTCTAAATTTAAATCACTCCTTCAGCTTTCTCTCGCTGCTCTGCCTGAGATTTTTATATGGTAGCCCTGCTCCCTGGGCTAGGATTTTTTACACTTTGTTTATTCACCTACATGGAATTTATAGCCAGAAATTTTTGAATTAGGCCTTCTTTGTGCCTTTAAAATATAATTATATATATGTAATTATTATAATTGTAAGAAATAATTATGTGACTTGCTTTATTGCAGAAGCAAAAACCCAGAACCCAAAAACCAATCTAGTATTCTTCCAAATACAGGCATGTCTATGAGATATTTTGGAGTTGGTTGCAGACCACTGCAATAAAATAAGTATCACAATAAAGCAAGTTGCATAATTATTTCTTATAATAATTACATATATATTATTTTTAGAGATGGAGTCTCTCTGGCTGGTCTGGAATCCTGGCCTCAAGTGGGCCTCCCATCTTGGTCTCCCAAAGTGCTGGGATTACAGGCATGAGCCACTGTGCCTGGCCTCCAATAGGCTTATAGTTAGACAAAATTTTCAGATTTTCTGCTGACATATTATCTCTGTATTAAAAACAACTATCTTTTTACATTTTGTGCTGCTATAACAATACCTGAGACTAGGTAATTTATAAAGAACAGAGTTATTTCTTATAGTTGTGGAGGCTAGGAAGTTCAAGGTTGAAGGGCCTGCACTGGGTGAAGGCCTTTTGCTGCATCATCCTGTGGTAGAAGGCAGAAGGTCAAGAGAGCACGCACACAAGAGAGGGAAGGGGGCCAAACTCATCCTTTTGATCAGGAACCCACTTCTGCAATAACTAACCTATTTCTTCATTAACGGTGGAGCTCTCATGACCTAGTCACCGCTTAAAGGCCCCCGTCTCAACACTGTTGCATTGGGAATTAATTTCCCAACAGATAAATTTTGGGGGGACAAGCCATAGTCACAGCCAACCTTTTGTTGCCCTGTCTAGTAAGTATAAAAATACTCCAAGTATTGGGGTGGCTCTGATATTTTTAAAAATGTTTAACTATAAAAGATCTTTTAATCTGTGTCCTAGAAAACAGTTACTTTTCAGTCCATCCTCAATATGCCTTGGCTCTTCAAAGATTCAGTAAAGCTTATGCTATGCAGAGAAGAACAGTAGAAGGAAGAACTGCTTCCCTGAGAGATGTATAACACTTCTCCAGCCTAGTGTAGAACCAGTTCCCATTTAGAGAAGTGTAGAGGAACCCACAGTTTCACCTCTTCCAGGGAAGGCACTAAAGTACTGCCTGGGAATTAAGTACACACATCAATCAAGCTGATAAGTCTTATCCCCAGTTAATATATGATAAAATATTAACAAAGCTAAATCAAATGAGTTTTCAGTTTAGGCTATATAAGTGGAAAGCAATTTTGAGGTCTGTTGCATAAAGAATTCTAGTTCCGTGGTAGAGTAGCAAATAAGTGGGCTTGGGGGTGGGGTGACAGGAGAAGAGATAGATAAGTCACCCGTTAGTAACTCATTGCTGTCAGCTCTAGGTCTTTAAAGCCAACAGAATGGCTTTGCCAGGTTTCCTAATAGTTGTATTTCAAGAGCAGCTTTAAGAAATAAATTTGTATTAATATTAGTGAATAAATTTGAAGGATCTGTCCAATGCTGTGAGCAATTTGTAGTAACTAACAGTAAGGCCCTGTAATAGTATTGGTTTTTACTTAATAAAATATTTAATCATAAATGTCTGAATTCTGCATCTCCCACAGGAAGGCATTTCCATGCCCACTGACAAAAATAATTTAGCAGTTTCATAGTTGAGCGCTTAATTACTCATAATTGTGAAGGGTAAGATATGATGAATTCTTCCTTGATGGACATACTAAATATTTTAACGAAGTAGATGACTTAAAGTAAATTAAGCTAGTGAGATCATTTATTACATTGGTTAAAAGCAGTTTAAGAAATATATCATGTCCCGCATGCTATTAGATGATAATATGTGCGTGAGTACTTCTGCCATGTGACTAAAGGCTGTATTATTGTGATGGATGGCAGTTGTTTTAGGTTGGGTGTTGGAAAATGAGTATTAAATTTCTGGGGACTTTTTGACTTGTTGTTTTGCCTGAGTTACTAATGAGGATTCTTAGCTATAGGTAGAATTTGCTTGTCAAAATAATGGGAAAACTCTTTATGTCCTTTTGTCTGATGTGAGAGTATTCTTCGTCCTGTATCAGGACAAAGGAAGGGACCTGATGGGGAAGGGTCTCCTGTAAATCTTTTTCTTCAGGAAAGATGGCCTGATTTGCAAAATAATGTTGAAAGCAGTCAAAAGGTAAAAGAAGTAAAAGTGCAAGCAGAAACTCTTTGTAAAACACTTTATTAAAAATTTCTGAATTAAAAAGAAACTTACATTTTGGAGTAGAGGAAACAGGAGTTCAGATATTTTAGGAGTTAATATCACTGCAGCAACAATTGTGTAGTATTGTAAAAGGCTCAGGAGCCTCCTGCTTACCATTGGGGAAGGTTGAAACAACTTGTCTCATTAAGTTAAGCTTCTTCCCTGGAGTGTCTTATTTAGCTTTAGTTCTCTTAATTCTCTTTCCCTGGTGATTTGGGTAGTGTCTGAAACCACTAAAGGTAAAAGGTTGAAGCAATCCCAAATTTAATAATCTATCACCTTTCTTTAGTGTATCTGAGTGTAATTCCCAGCAGTTCTTTGTGAATTCATTAGAAGACAGCAAGTCATTAAAAGTTAATAAGAAACTATTTGTTTCTGTGGGTGTGAATACAGCCACTTTGTAAGTCTGACATTCGTTCCCAGTCATAAAAGCCTTGCTTTTAGCCAATTTGTTTTTTTTGTTGTTGTTCTCTCTAGGTTACTCCTGGATGGAGCACCTCTGATAGCAATCCACAAAGCCAGGTATTACAAGAGGAAAGATGGCTTAGCCCTGGGGCCTGGACCATTTGTGACTGCTTTAGAGTATGCCACAGATACCAAAGCCACAGTCGTGGGGAAACCAGAGAAGACGTTCTTTTTGGAAGCATTGCGGGGCACTGGCTGTGAACCTGAGGAGGCTGTCATGATAGGAGATGTAAGTAGAAGAACCCAGGAGGTGCTCCCAGCTCACCTGTTGTGCTGGGAAAGCCAGCTTAGAAACACTGCTTTAGGAAAGGGGACATTCTGTTACTGACAATGTGGACAGTATATATATAAATGGCTACCTATAAAATGAGGTTTCCTGTCGATGTTTAGTGGTATTCTTCTAAAGAACTGAAATTTTTATTATTTCTGACATTTCTCCATAGCGTAATAGGAGATTTGTGTGTTATGATACATATATATATGTAGTTAACTCCTATAATATATATATATTTGTATATTATATATATAGTTCAAAAGCCATTTATATTGCAAGTCAATTGAATGCTTTAAATGTCTTTTTGAGAAACAATGCTGCACAAATGAGAACCTACACCAAAGAATTCTACCACTATTGTTTTTTTCCTTAGCATATGCTGTATGGAAGAACTTCTCTATCTGTGTGCCACAAATAGCTAAAGCTATTGATCACCTTAGCCCTTTGAGTGGCAGGGCTGAGCCTGGGATGATTGGAGGCCCTGGCTGGTCACCTGTGGCCGTGAGCACCTTGTCAGTTTACCCCAGTGTACTAGGCAAATGTTATTTCCCATGTGTGTCTTGATGGGAAAACAGCTGGAAAGCACACTGCCACATGGTAAATTGGTGGCCAGGATTATATTTCAATTTTTAAATAATAACATGTCAAGCTGGGAGGGATCGTCACAAATGTCTGGTCCAAAACTCCTCATTTTATAGACTGGGAAACTGAAGCCCAAAGAGGTGAATCACCAAGCCTGAATTCCCATAGCTAATTAGTAGCACAGCTGGAAGTAGAGCTTGAGCTCAGGACTCCCTCCCTAGCTGTTTTAACTTGTGATGGTGGAAATGTGTATCACAGTCCTCCTGATTTTATCTTCTGTTTCTATAATCATTCACCTAAAATTGAATAGGATAATCACTGAGCTCAGTAGTATTTTGAGAAACCATCTTTTGAGTCACACCTGTTCCTCTTGACAAGCCTTTAGCTGCCTTTCCTAGACAAATATGTCTAAAAAAGTGGTTATCTGAGCTGGAGCCTTCAGAATTCTTTATCCCAGGAGTTGCTGGCCCTGGGACAGGATGAGAGGTGGGAAGGGATGCAACAGCTGTGCTGCATGGGGGGCTGTTGGTTACCCAGGAAAGTGGTGGTTCCCTGCCCCCCACCGTCTCATTGTCCACATTCTTTTTCCCACCTCCCTATCTCCTCTCCCCCATCTCCACTCTTCAACAGGGCAAGTTTAGCTGTAACAGAAATGGTTTGAAGTTGGACCTTGAATCAGGATTTTGACATTCTGAAACTCATTTTCAAGGGCTGTTGTTGAACAATATTAATGGTTTTTAAGGAAAAAAAAAAACTTTCTTCAGGCATGGTCTGAATCAATCCTGCTTATAGACATGAGGTGGCAAGATTAATTTTTTTGATTTTTCTTTCAGTCCTTGGAATTTTAATTACCTTGCATTCATCATCATTGATGATGTATATTTATCCTTATCTTGAATAATAATTAGAAAGAGGAGCTTCTTTTTCAGACTGATCTGTTATTCCCAAGTGTGAAGTGAACATCAGACAGTCAGAGTCTGTTTAAGTATCTGGATTTAACTTGATTCTACCTGTTAGGACAATGGGATAGAAAGTAAGGATAACATACTATGTGGGCCACAGAAAAGCTATCTTCTGAATCTAGCTCATTCCCTGTCTGCAGCTGTATTATTTACTGCCAAATGGATAGAATGCATTTTTCCATGATCTGTTTAATGGGGAGATAAATAGATGTAGGTGTGGCAAAGCATAGAGAATTGTAATTGTAACTCAGCTCTCTGTGTTTGGTTACCAGGATTACTACTCTATTCTATACCTTCCACCTCTGAGATACTTCCCTTTCCCAATTTGGAATGCTTCCTCAGAGTATTACATGTGGATTCACCTTTTACATCTTCTCTTTTCTATTTCAATAAAAAACATGGCATTACAGTTGGACACCCTAGCCTAATAAATCAGTTGGTAATGTTTGTTGGCTAGCTTACTGAAGACACTGGACTAAATGCTTTCTTTATGCTTTTCTAGGATTGCAGGGATGATGTTGGTGGGGCTCAAGATGTCGGCATGCTGGGCATCTTAGTAAAGACTGGTATGTATCTTCTGTATAAAGCATTTTCTAAAACAGAATAGTAGAATACACAGTTGCTTAAAGAACAATCTTTGCAGAAATGGCAGAGCCCTGGGCACTTTTATTCTCTTCCTGCCACAAAGCAAAAATAAAACAGCTTAGGATTATAGGAAACAATTGGGAAGGGCCCGTGCTGTACAAAGCTAGGAAGATCAGGGCTCAGAGGTACTTTAGTACTTTCCCAGAGGTAACCATTCCTGGTTGACAGCATTTATATTATTTCCTGGATGTACAGTTCACCACAGAGGGATGAAGCAAAGGACCATGGATGGTGGTGCTCTGTGAAAATACCTTTTATTTTTGTGCTGGCTATACCTGTGATACTGATTTCTTTAGGAAACTGGCCAGCTAAGTGATCTGATTCTTTGTGTTAATGTTTGAACTTTTACAAAAATATTTGAAAAACTCTTTTTTCTCTTTACTTACCGTTTGTGGTGAGCAAAAGGTTAAGAAGTATTTCCTGCACAATTAGGTTTACTCTATGTGGTATCTCAAATAAATTTAGGAAAAAGGAAAGACTTTAGTGGGGAGGATTCACTAATACAGTATTATGACCACCGTAGACTGGTTAAGTGCCTTGGGTCCTGGTCAGCTCTGCACTAACTAGCTGTGTGAGACTCGGGTCAAGGCTCTTCCCCTTTTCAGGCCCTGTGAGAATGATGGGATTGGACTGGTCCCATCTCGCCCTCATAGTTTATGATCCTGTGTAGAGTGGGACTGATAAAGTCCTTTCGAGATAAAGAAAGAACAGGCATAAGATCTGTTAGTGGGGCTGAATATTATTGCATTGGGAACTTAATGAGCTGTTACCGTTAAAATGAAAAGCCCTTCTTCCCCTGCATGCTGCCCCCAAATGGCACCTGCTGCATTTGGAATTAACAGCACATGACAGCCAGAAATCTTGTCCAAGAATCATCACCAGACTCTTATAAATCAAATAGCAGATAAATGGTTCCATAGATGTCTCTGTGAGCTCATTTGCCTGGTTTCATATCATAGTAGTAAAACTATTTAATTGGCTGTTTACAGAAGGGAATATTTAAACATAAAGTCAAAGAAGAGTTACAACTGGGGAATTTTTTAGAAAAAGTGACTATGATGTTTGTTCAAGAAAATGTGGTTGCTTGAAATCTGTTTTGAATTTCAAATAGAAACAAGAAATGTAGATGGAGCTACAATTGAATAAGAAGTATGTGGCAAAGGTCTGCACAAAGAGTGAAAACACTGTCTGCTTGCTCCTGGGGCCTGAAGTGAACCATTGGAGCCTTGCAGATAGTAACACCAGTCACTCTAGAATTAACACAGTGGATTTTTTCGAATGTCTCAGTCAAAATGATCACCTTCCCAGGAACGTAACAGCCCTGTGATGTAAGCAGAAAAGAGGAAGAATGAAATGAAGTCTGGAAAAGTAGCCACACTCGTCAGCCTCCATGTATCTTTGTTTTCAGATTCCTGCCTTTTGCTGTTTTATTTTCTCATTATTGAAGAAATCCTTAGATAACTATTTTTGCTCTTGTGTATTATTCCCATGAGTATTTCTTTCTTTCTTTCTTTCTTTTTTTTTTTTTTTAGCTCATGTAATTAAGGATTTACACTGAGCTTCAAAATGGTACCTCTGTCAGTGTCTTGATGGGCCCAGCTCCCCCAGCTGGTCTCCACTGGCTCTGTCGTCTATTGTGACTGGCATTTTATTGTGACCAGCCTTTCACAGGCATCAGTTTAGTCTCTGAGAAGCCATCAGCGTAACACAATCAAGTCCAAAATGTGTAATTAGTAAATCAACTAAGTACAGCTCTTGGAAGCAGGCATATTTGTACCATTGATTTTTGGTCAGAAAAATCATGAATAACCCTACTGTTCTAAAAACATGTGGAACAGCCAGCTTCATTGGTAAATTTTAACTCAGTGCAGTGGACAAGTGCTAGGCTTCCCAGTGTTGAAAATAACCGTAAATATTTTAATTCATATTCAATAATAAGTGCTTTCTGTGGATCATCTCGAGCAATTTTGTTTCTAAAGGGGTAGCACAAGGTAGATGCTCAATATAATTTGATCAATTATTTGTTAAAGATTTTTGACTAGTCCTAACCAGAATTTGTTTAGCATGTGAAACAGTCATCTAGAAAAAAAATAGGATCTTTCTTTGCCTTCATATATCATCAACATAGCATCC
Organism: Homo sapiens; assembly: GCF_000001405.40. NCBI lineage: Eukaryota > Metazoa > Chordata > Mammalia > Primates > Hominidae > Homo > Homo sapiens. The sequence goes on along the minus strand of NC_000018.10, from coordinate 47,110,764 downwards.
TGTTTTCTCCCTCCATTCATCATTTATCCATCCATGAAAGCACAGGCTGCTGCAGTGAGTGAATCAGCCATGAGCAATGCAGGCAGCTCCATTCACTCAACGAACGTTATTGAGCCCCTGCTGTGTGCTAGGTGCTAGAACTAAAACATATACCTAAGCCACTTTTGTCAATTTCTATTTTGTAGAAACCCCACTTGCAGAGCCAGACTAAGCAAAAGCCTTTAACTCCATGGCTAGGAAGCTTATTTATTTGTCTCTTAGACCACTGGATCCAGAAAGTAGGTCATATAGTAATATTTAGTCATTAACTTACCTGTAAGATCAAATAGAAACCTTGTGAAGGAGTTTATACTAACGATATTTAAGCTTGGGAAGAAAACTGGCAGTAGAGCTTGCTGCGGGGACCATGCTATGGACAGGTGCCTTCAGGGTGCTAACGAGAGTGAGGTATATATTAATTACCTTTGTACATTTGATGCTGGCTCCCTTCCTGTAAGAAGTTATAATCAGTAAGATAAGACAGGAAGCGTCTTCTCCACCATGATGCAAAGATGTGGAAAAGAGGGTTTTTCAGGCTTTGTGTTTGTCTGGCAAAGCCTCTTAAAGTAGTTGTAGAAAACAGTAGGTCTCTTGTTGAAAGAGCTGAGTTTAGGCAGAGAAAACTGGGAAAAGCAGAAGAATCAACAATAGAGACCACAAAGGGATGAGAGAGCAAGGAGAAAGGTGAAGGGCAGAGGCAGCCCTGGTGGCTACAGGGCAGGAGCTGCGTTCTGCATTTCCTCCCTCCCCTCTCTTCTTCCCTCCATTCATTCTTTAAAAAGATATTTATAGGATAGTTACTATGTGCTAGTCACTATGTTAGGTACTTGGAATACATTGGGACATGTAACAGATATAGCCCCTGTCTCAAATAACTTAGTCTTCTTAAATGTGAGACAGATGTTAAACAAATAAATGCATAATTACAAATTGTTGTAAATGTTGTGGAGGCAAAGAACAAGGTGAATAACAGGGAGGGGGTTTAATTTGGATGGGAAGGTGGGGTCTGACCTGAAGCATGAAGGAGGTAGTCAGGTGAGAATAATGGAATGACAAGGGAATGGCACGTGTGTAGGCCCTCAGAAAAGCAGGTCCAGTCTGGGACTGCAGCCTGGTGAGCCAGTAGCACATGCTTAGGTGAGAGGGTCACTGGGGCTGCATGACAAAGGGCTTGGTAAGCAGCAGTAGAGATTTTGGATTCTTTCTGAAGGGCACTGGGACCCATTAAAGGGTCTTTAAATAGGGACTGTGCACCTTCTGACTTGTAAAAGCTCTTTGTGACCACTGTGGAATGGTTCCTCTGCTGTGTTGAGGTGTTAAATTGTGTGCCAGGTGCTAGAACAGCAGGCCATCTTGAATTCCACGGTTGGGAGAGTCAGGCAGTGAGCCTGCTGCTTGATGCCAAGTGGCCTGTCCTGCCTGGCCCCTGGCCTGCGAGCATCCATCACTCTTTTCCTCCCCAACCCAGGGCGTTCTCATCTGCTGGGCTCCCGGGCTGCCTGGATCCCTGCGTGGCAGCAGCACATCCTGTTCCCAGTTGCCTTTGGGAGCGGATGAGTCCTCTGCCCTCTGGGGTCTGGGCTTCCATTTTAAAGCATTAATTTAATCACCAATCTATCTTTAGAGCTGAGGGTAGGGGAAAGAAAATGATTTCATCAGCTGTGAACATGTGAAGGGAATCTTAGCTGTCAGACGATCCAGTACCTGTGGCTGTCCATTGTGAATGACCAGAGGGCCTGGGGAAAGGCTGAATGTGACATTTCTTTGAATTGCCTCATTTACATCCTGAAGCCTCAATAAAAGGTGATTTGGGAGATGTGCAGCCCCTGATTCTGTCTTAACTGTAAGGGTGGTGCTGTGATGACCCAGGTGCTCATGGGGTATGATTAATTTAGCATTCTGGTGGCAGCCTGTGTTTACTGGCTTTACTTTCATTTCAGGGAAATATCGAGCATCAGATGAAGAAAAAATTAATCCACCTCCTTACTTAACTTGTGAGAGTTTCCCTCATGCTGTGGACCACATTCTGCAGCACCTATTGTGAAGCAGTGTGTGCATCTGAAGCAACTTGAAATGCAGCTTCTTATTGTCTGGAATGAATCCCTTACCAACTCAGTGCCAGCATCGGTAGACACCAGTCAGTGCTGATCGCTTTTTAACCCTCTTTTGTTGTGCATTAATTAGAAAGAAAGGTATTGAATTGCGGCTAGCCAGTAAGCCTTGCTAATCTCTTTTATTTTGTAACTGAAGATGAGACCCAAAGAAAGGGAAAGCTGAGATTTTGTGCCATTCCTTTTAAAATATTCATCAGGTTAGGTGGGGCTGTGGGGGAAAAGCTACTACAGGGAAGAGTGTTCTCTGCTGTCTCTTCACTGGAAAACAGGGAGGGGGGATTTCAGACTGTGAAGAAAGTTGAATGGTGGTTTTTAAATTATAAAGTAATGTATTAAAAGGTGCATTAGGCTGTAGTTCTAATATTGAGTTCAACTGTGAAATCCATCAGATGTGCCAAATGGAGAAGACAGAAAGCAACAAAGTGAATTGTTCTTTAGCCCAAGTGGTACAGTGAATTTGCTTTAACAGATGTTGAAAACTAAATTTTCTACTGTATTCCCAGCACGGGTGACTTCTTTTTCTCTTCATTAGCCAGAGATGACTAATTTAAATTTAGAACCAGATTTTAATTTAAATTAATATTTCCATTAATAACCTATTCATTGCAGATACCTATTATACTGTGTAACAGTTGTTTTGGAAATTTTATGTAAAATTAAAACTATCAGTATTTTACAGATGTTTTAATTAGACATTGTTATTAACAGGAACAGTGCAGAAACTAGAATCAAGCCTTATAATATCTTATAGACCATGCATTTTTGAAGTTAGTGTCCACTAGGGTCCTATTAACTGTACATTTGCAAGATTTCATTATTTTTGCCTCTGACACTATGGGAAAAATTTTTTAGAAGCTATTGGGACAGATTCAAGCTTTTATGCACTTGGTTACTACAGCTGTAAAATGAAATCTCGTCTTGTAGCATGGATTATTCTTCTCATGTTAAACCCACCAAAATAAAGGGGACTAAATAGGTAATGATTTTCCTAGTGCATTTGCATACTGTGATAATCCTGGGCCTTGCAATAGTTCTACAGGGCTCTTGGGCATTGAATTATTAGGATGTAATTGTACATCATTGTAGTGTTCACCTTATTGAAGCTCACTCTGATGTTAATGAGCTTCGGGTTTTGATGCTTGTTTAGAGATCAGCAGTCTTGGATGGGAGGGAACAAAGCTAAATAAATGTTAGTTTGGTGAGCACTGTGTTTTTGTTTTTGCAAATGCCTCATCTTAGTACTTCTATATCCCAGAGTGCAAAAGACAGATGTGATATGACTACCACCCCAAATCAGAAGGATGAGCGGAGTGGCTAAGAGTATACTCTGGATCCTGGTAACACAAAATTAGCTCTCTGGCCTTGGGCAAGTCACCTCACCTCTCATGCCTTCTTTCCTTATCTATAAAATGGGGATAATGATAGTGCCCACCACATACGGTTGGTGTGAGCATTACGTGCATGAACTATATATTAAGTACTTAGAATATCATTGGGCAAATGATGAGTGCTGTGCGTTTGTGATGATGATGATGATGAAGCAGGACTCTCCACATTTAACAGTCTGAAAAAGGTTGGTAGAATTTATCTTTACATTTATCTCAGTGGAGAAAGTCTTCCTAAGGATTAAAAAAAAGGATATTCTTTACTACATTTAGACTTCCTCAGAGCAAAGCTGCACAGAGAGAGAGCTCAGCCTGTGGGTAGAGAGCTCTGCGTGGTGCCTGGTGGGTGGGCTGCCTTCAATTTTGCCCTGTTGCTTGGGCACCTGGGTCAGTGATGCCTTGGCCCAAGCATTATCAAGTGTTTGCTAGTTGCTGTGCACTGAGTGCCCTGATTATGGTGGGAAATAAGCATATTAAGAAAAAGATTTTGCCTCAAGGATCCTTTTCAGTTGAAGAGCTAAGGAAAAGAATACACACAGAGGCGTTCCTGTCCTCTGATGTCGTCCCTGACTTCAGGATGGGGCAAGGTGTCCCCTCCTTCATGTCCGTGTGGCACTTGAAGAGTGTACTTATGTCTTCACATGCTCTTCTCCCCACTAGACAGGGCTGCATCTCATTTTTTTAAATTTTAATTTTGCTACCCAGTTAAATTTGAGTTTCATCATTCTTTCCTATATCTGCTGCAACACAGGTAAGCACTCAAATGGTTACTGAACCAATAAAAACTAAATATCTTAGGAATGTAATGCTAGAAAGCATAGCTTTGAGTGGGCAGGAGAAAATGTTCATTTTAGACTTGTTGTCTTAAAGTTGCCCATAGGGGAGGCCCCATTAAATAAACACTTGGAAGTAATGGATCAGATGCTCTGGAGACAGGTTAGAGCTAAAGCCAAGAAGGGAACATCATTGATGGGTCAGGAAGTGAAGAGGGTAAAAGTCTCCTGAGCATGATGGACTCAGCCGGGAGAAATGGCTTCTCTCCATTCTTCCATTCCACTTAATCCCTGTGAGCCCTGAAAATCTTAGTTTGAGATCTTTAACAAGCATTATATAGGACTTGCTAACTGACCGGCCCACAGTAAGGTTCATGAGAATAACTAAAAATCTTACTTATAAACATTCCAATCCATGTTAGTCTCAGCTGGTTAGTCTGCCTTGGGCCTCATGGAGGAAGTTTAGTAACTGAAGTTTCTTAGGCTTCATTTTCTGGCTGTCCCATTTAAAGGGCTATCTGGTATTAATTTCAAGGATGGTGTTTGCATCAGTTTTATTATAATCCTGTCCTGGGCCAGAAAAGGGACCATGTGACACCTTGGGACTGGAAAGGTTATTAGAAAACATCCATTGTCGGGAGTTGAGTGTCCCACATCTGCTGTGAGCCAGGAGTGTGGAGCAGGGCAGAGCTCCAGTCCAGGGGAAACAGATTCAACCCCCTCCACCCACACCTCCAGAGTCAGCCACAGGTTGCAGTAGCTCTGCCTCCCGTACGTTCTGCATCTGTGAGAGCTAATCGTAATGGCTAGGAAAGGAAAAGGAGGATAACCTACCTCATTCTAAGTGACAATTCCATCAAACTTTACCTTTAGCCGTGATGTCAGAAATTCCCATGGAATGATAATATATGTCACTTCACACATAATCCCACATTTTAGAACTTACAGTAGTGTGTTGGACAGAGAAGTTAAAAACACCTACACTGATTGTGTTCAATTGGTTTTTGGATCAATGTGTGTTCATGTAGGATAAAACTGAAGTCCTTGGGCACCTATAATAGAGAATTTTTTTAAATGACACTAACCTATTGCATTAAAACACTGCCTCAAGCAGTAGAATCCCTTTGTGATGTTAGCAGTTGTTTGCAGAGGGCTGTGTTTGCCTTATCATGTTTATTTGACATAAGTCACAAAAGCTTTTTTCAGCCTAAATGCACAAGGCTTTTGGTGACTTCCGTATTATACCAGCCATCAAGGCCTCCTGTCCCAAATCATGTTGCTATCTTTAAGGAGCAGTAACGAGGGTGCCAAAGTACCAGAAATCATTTGTTTCAAACAGTTTGAATGTTTTTTCCAGTGCTTTTCTTTATGTCATACACAGCTCAACTCCTGTTTGTTTCACTAGCTGATCTTCCTGAAAAAATCAGATATTTAATGTTCTCTGTGAGTAAAGCATAAGGGAGATGGAGAGAATACAGCTGTGGCTCCTAAGATGTGTGTCTTTTAGTTGGGAAATTAACACATATAAAAATTTATAACAATACCAAGGACTCTGACATGTTCAGAATGGTTGTGTAAGTCCTCTAAGATCATGAGCAGTGAGCAAAATGCATGAGAGTAGTAGTCACAGACAGTGCTCAGATAGCCTTTGGCCTACGCCATTTTAAATAATGTTTCATTCAATGGCAGTGAAAAAAAGTACTCCAGGCATGGAGCTTACATTTGGAGGGAGCAAACAAATGATGAAACACGTGCATTTATACACAGCTACCGAATACAGTGAGAGATTGATGAATGATGAAGAAGAAGGCCAACAGGAATGCGGTTACTTTAGGTAAGTATGGTCTGCCAAGGAAGGCTTTTAAAGGTGAGTGGGAGCAGGCTGTGGAAATTCTACAGGCATATAGTTAACCTTGATTGCCAACATCTGAACACCAGGAGATTCTAATGCAAATCAACCACTGGGTTTTCTAGGAAGATGGGAAGAACTGGCTTATGTTAGATCCAAATTTCCATGTCCAATTGGAGCAGAGTCATTACTGTGTCAGAGAGTCCCTGGCCCTCTCTAGCTCACCACCGTCTCCACCTCTGCTTTGCCTAACATCCATCTTACTCCTAATTTGCCACTACATTCCATGTTTCTGTAGGTCTTTGGGCTGTGACCTCTGCTTTGGAAGAAAATACATTAAACTTTCCTCCAACAGCTATCAGGCCAATCTCCTATGTAAACTTAGATATATACTTCTAATCTACTTTAAAAAAATAATCATAGAGACTCAACATAGTAGGTTAGTCATATGTGTTGGTCTCTTTTTCTCAAAGCCACACCAAAATAAGAGTAAAAGGAATAAAATGTAAACCCACAGGGTCAGCCCACAAGAGAAGGTAGAGGAGGCATCAGTGGATGAAAAGGTACAATAATCTGAAAGGTGGAAACTGGTTGGAATGTTGATAGCCAAAATCAGTGCAAAGAAAATACAGCCAAAATTCATCCTGTAGAACAACTTCAAAGACTTAAGGCTTGCAGACAGCAGGTAGGGAGGAAGTGAGGTACAAGACAGGATTGAAAGTGAGGAATTGGTTAGAAGTTGGAGCCTCAGGAAACTTCCCCACCCTGAGCAGTCAGATGCCAACCCCTAGTCAAGGCAGGAGAATGGAAATTTTCCATTATTCTCTGGAAAAATGGAACCATGGAAATTAAGGCCATGGAAACAGTGGGCATGGTGGTGGGCCAGGGTGAGATGCAGGGCTGGAAATTGATTAGGTACAAATTGCTTATTCTGCCATGGTCTTCTGCTCCCCTTTCCCTTAGAACACCAGGACCAGAGCGGGTGGGAAGGGAGTGGAAAGTTTATCTGGTATGTTTGGCCATTTGGAAAAGAATATTGATGGGTATCTGACAGGTCCGAGAATGTGTTAAAAAAAAAAAAAGATACTTAGAAAATTAAGCAAATAGAAAAACAAGGCAGTTGTTAATTCTAGGAAAGACAAAACAAGAAAGCAAATGTAATTCTAATTCACTAGCTGGCTCTGCAGTTAACAATGTACAGTTCTATTAAAAATATTGATTATTGAGTTAACCTAAAATCATAATAGAACTTTTGGGATGATGGAGACAGATACGTATATGTGGTAAGGAAAGGGCAGAGAGATGAAAGAGCTACACTTCATTTCATCCAAAGTGGGAATAAATATATAAAGCATCAAGAAGAAGCCACCAAAGTAAAGGCGTGACAGAAAAACATCCACATGCCGAAGTATTTGAAGACAAATTTTCTTAGGAAAAAAGAGGAGGACTGAGTATGTGATTGAATAGAGGTGGAAGTGTTAAAAACATGGACTAGGCGATATTTAAAGGGAATGGAGGATGTGGAGATGCAGCAGGCACACAGGCTGCATATGGGGTTTTGGAAGTGGAAGAAGGTTAAGTGTATTTGCTGTGAGGGATGGCAGGACTGCACTTATTCTGAATGAATTCAGGAACGGGCAGTAAGCAGAAAGGACCTAAATGTATTGTCATGAAGCCTGCTATCCAGAGGAGCATTTCCCCTGCCCCTTTACCCAGTCACTTTTGGGTATACATACAGCACCAACTTTCCCACTGCAGCAAATTCACAACAGCAGTTGAGATTTTATAAAATTAGAAATGATGGTAGTGGCCACAAGCAAATGGACTAGCAGCTACAAGAAATGTCAGCTGATGTCAGTTCTGACAAGAAGAACCCCCGCCAAACCATAAAGTAGACATCGGAACTTAGGCCTTACATCAGTCTTGGGCCATTCAAAGTAGAGTCATCTATGTCAGTGGTCCCCAGGCTTTTTGGCACCAGGGACCGGTTTCATGGAAGACAGTTTTTCCACGGAGTGGGCCTGGATAGGGGGCGGGGGATGGATGCTTTTGGGATGAAACTGTTCATCTCAGATCATCAGGCATTACTTAGATTCTCATAAGAGCGCATAACCTAGATCCCTCGCATGCACAGTTCACAATGGAGTTCACGCTCCTATGAGAATCTAATGCTTTCGCTGATCTGACAGGAGGTGGAGCTCAGGCAGTAATGCTCACCTGCCTCTTAGCTGCTGTGCAAACCAGTTCTAACAAGCCACGGACGGGTACTACGGGTCCATGGCCCAGGGACTGGGGACTCTCTATATCACTGGTGCTGCATGGTGTAGTGCCTGATGCTTATGAAGAAGTTTAAGCATGTACTGAGATGAAATCTTTTTTATTTTCAATTTGTTAAATAAGGTATATTTTCAATTTGACATTTTCCATGAAATGATGTTTAAAGAGGCATTTGAGAATAATCTCAAAATAATCGATACCGAAAAAAATGCTTTGGTTTTGTTTAAAAGGGTAAAATCCTTTGGGATACTTAGCTATCCAAAGTGTCTCTTTCTGGAGGTTTTTCCTCTTGAAGAGTCTGTCTGCAGGGATGATGAAGACAAGGCAAGGAAGAGAAAAGAAGGTGATTTCCCATAGGTAAGTTCTAGTGGGGGAAAAGAAGTGGCATTACTTAGTAGAAGCCTTCAAAATTTATCAAGGGTTGAAAGTAGATGCCTCGGATTGTGGGTTTCTGAGAGAGATGCGTCTAGTTGTTTATAACCCCTTAAGGAGAGGGGGAAGAGCCTAAGAGCAGGGAAGACTTGGGATGAATGTTCTCGAAGCTTAGGTGCCCCATCCTAAGCTTTGGATCTGATGAGAAGCTGCGGCAATGGAAAGAGAAGGGCAGAGCACACCGGATGTGAGGTGTGAAGAGTGAAAAGATGTTATTGGGGGCCAGAACCCAAAACAATCAGACTGGCAGCTGATGGTGATGGTGTGCTAGTCACCCTGGCTATTAGCTCTAGCATCAGAATGCTCAGTGACATTTCTGAGTGGGGCTTAGTTTGGGAGGGGTTTGCTGCTGACAAAGCTGGATGGAGTCAGAATTAGGGGGAGCTGATGAGATTCAGAATATTGTCCGGAATGAGAAACAGACTGCATTGCCTTCCCTGCTTCCGTCCTCCTTCACCCTGGGACTGTCAGCTGGGCAGTGCCTGTCAAGCTTAGCTTCTACTTGGCTGCCCCAACTCAGGGTCATCCTGTGTGTGGCCAACACAACTTTTCTAAGTACATCTTTTTCTTAAAAAGTTTACAAATGAGTAACATTACAGAAAATTGTTCATTAAAATTTTATGGAGTCTAATTGTCAGAAAAATCTCCATTGTATGACCCAATAGCACATATATGTATGTAACTGAAACTCTCAATATTTTGCTGACATCGATAATGGTAAGTTAATAAATATATCTCAGCTATCCAAAACAATACAGTGGCTCAAGTTAATCCAGTCTTCAAAAATAATTTTCTCTTTTCCATTCCAATCATTTTGTTCTCCCACGGACATTAATAAACTAGGAGGTCTTTGTGGTTGCCTTTGTGGCCAGGTCAGGGTAAATGTGGTTTCAGACAGACTCGAACTCTCTTTGCCAGTCTGAGTATCTCTGAGCCAGATTCTTTGCGGAGGGCTTGGTGTGAGTTAGCACATCCAGAAAGTCGGCAGTGGTTACTATATCCAACTGGATCCTGGGTAAGTCGCTGCTTTCTAGGATAAGAACACAACAGTAACAGCACAACAATCGACCTCTTGGTGATCAATGCTCTTGAAACGCTAATAGACCTTCTTTCAAAATAATGCATAATGCAGCATTCTTAATTGTTAATGCAGCAAAAGGCAAGACTAAAGAGGGCTGGGGAAAAATTCTTTAACGTGCAACTGAGTTAGCCCCTAAGGCCCAGACAAAAAAATGTGACCTAAATGTATCGTTACCAGGTATTATTTAATATTTATATAGTGCCTCAAATGGATCCAGCCCAACATCAGAGTGTGCCAGAGAAATAAAAGCCTGAGCCCTAAGGAGTTTATCATCTGCAAGCAAAGTCGATCCAAATCAGAACACCCACGGAGGAATGAGTTGAGTGAGGGATGATTTGACCAAAAAACGCATTGCCAAGTGTAAAGCGGCACCAAGAACAGGCGCCAGGCTCCATCTGCTGGTGAGAGGGATTTTTACACAAATTCCTGGAACACCTTCATGGTGATCCAACCCATACCTGACTGGTGATTTTCAAGTGCATCAAAGATCTTCCTCACGGGCCGCATGGCTGCTTCCCTGCAGACGAGCTTAATATCTGAGCCTGAGTAGCCCTCAGTCTCCTGAAACAGCCAAAAAACCAGCCATTGGTCAGTGGGCAGAATGCTCCTGGCCATTACGTTGTTATAGGCAGGACCCAGTATCAGAAGCCCTGTGTAGATTCTGTATCTGTCACCCATGAACATCCTAAAAAGATTCCCAGATAAACAGTGCTTGAGGAAGAGACCCTGCTAGCATGTTGGGATAACCTAAGCAGCTGGGCTAGAATGGCTTTCTAACACCATCGAAATATGCTGTAAGATGCCAGTGAAGGATCAGAACACCCAAGTTAGCCTATCAGGGCCCCTGTGCTCAAATCCAAGGATGGTCAAATTTGGTAGGCACGTTTATTCTTGTAAATAAGATCATACCTGCCATTTAGGAACCTCAGAGAACATTGTGTTCAAATGTTCACCAAAAGCAGGCAACATTTCTGCAACACCCTGGGAATGGACACCAGTGATAATGGGCATAATAGACATGTACCTGGAGTTTTTCTGTTATGTAATCATCACAGTCATTCTTTGTGGCTCATCTGCTACCCATTTTACAGATGAAGAAACAGGCTCAAAGAGTAAGTGACTTCTCCGAGGTCACACAGCTAACAAGCAGCAGGGCCAGGATTTGACCATAGGTTCTCTGAGTCTAAACCCTATGCTGTTTCCACTGCCTCACATTGTTTCTCCTTCTCTGAATATTTTTAAGTGAAAAGGAGCTTATTCTTCGTGAAGATGCCCATTGCATTACGGGGGCAGCTTGGATCTTATTCTAAGTGTCTCAAGCTTCTATCAGCTCATGGTAAGACCTGGTCTACAAGATGGCCATATGGTGGGCCCTTGACCTACATGTGCCCCTCTCCAGGGCAGCTGACCTGGCTCAGCACACTGTACTCCAGCTCTGTGTGCAGCTCCAAGGCCCTGCTCTTGCTCACAGGAGGCAGCCAGTGGTAGATCATGGCCTGCCTGGCCTCCCGGCTGGGGAGATCGACCAGAATCCTCTTCTCCAGGCGGCGTAACATGGCACAGTCCAGCTCCCTGAAATCACACCAGAAATGGAGCTGGACAGGGCTGCAAACACACTTCCTGAACAACAACTGTACTTTAAGAACAATTTAGCATTGCAGGAAGCAATTCTGCATTTTAACTGTCACTCTACATCTATGCCTTGAGTGGATGGGACAATTAATATTATTTGGAGAAAGAATTGGTGAGAAAGAGAACTGAGGGAGGGAAGGAAGGGAAGAGAGGAAAGCAGAAAGGAAGGAGAAGAAAGAGAAGGAAGGAAGGATGAATGGAAGAAAAGGAAAAGAGCACATTCTCAGAACTAATGAAAAGGAAGTAATTTTATGCGACTTAATTTGGGGTACAAAAACCAACTAACAACCAGCAATCATGAGTATTCTGATTGCAGTTGTAACATGAATTATTCAGTCCGATCTTGCCAGTGAGTAAATTATTGCTGACAATAAGTTGGGCACTCTAAGTACATTAATTCTTCCAAAATTCTCAGTCCTTCTGGAGTGAATGACCCCTCACTTCATTACATTGGTGAACTTAGCACCAGTGGCCCTTCCTGGGTGCCCAGTGCAAATAACCGCCCTTTCAGACACTCACTTTTACTCCTCCCAAAACTGTCAGGCCAAGTTTATGTGATTTTGCATCCATAGGCCATTTCCTTAAACTTCTTGATATGGTTTGGCTCTGTGTCCCCACCCAAATCTCATCTTGAATTGTAATCGCATAATTCCCACGTGTTGTGGGAGGGACCCAGTAGGAGATAATTTGAATCGTGAGCAGTTTCCACCACGCATGCTGTTCTCATGGTAGTGAATAAGTCTCACAAGGTCTGATGGTTTTATCAGGGGTTTCCGCTTCTTGCGTCTTCCTCATTTTCTCTTGCTGCCACCATATAAGAAGTGTCTTTTGCCCCCCGCCATGATTCTGAGGCTCCCCATCCATGTGAAACTGTAAGTCCAGTTAATTTTTTTTTCTTCCCAGTCTTGGATATGTCTTCACCAGCAGCATGAAAATGGACTAGTACACTTTTTTTTTTTTTGAGACGGAGTCTTGCTCTGTCGCCAGGCTGGAGTGCAATGGCTTTCAAGCTAATATAAAAGTAGAATAAAACAATTGAACATCTATATACATACCATCTTGATTCAACATCAGTATTCTTCTATATCTGCTTCATATCTCTCTATCTACCTATTCTTGCTAAATTATTTCAAAGTAATTTATATCATGACACCTCATCCCTAAATATTTTAGCATGCATTTCCAAAGAAGGGCATTTGCTTACATAGCCACAATATCATTATGACACCTGGCAAAACTGATTCTGTGATGTGTCTAATGCTCAGTCCATATTCAGATTTCTCCAGTCAGGGTGGAGGGTGGGAGGAGGAGAGGATCAGGAAAAACAACTAATGGGTACTAGGCTTAATACCTGGGTGATGAAATAATCTGTACAGCAAACCCCCATGACACAAGTTCACCTATACAACAAACCTGCACATGTACCCCTGAGCTTAAATAAAAGTTAAAAAATAAAATACTCCAACCATCCCCAAAATACCTTCCATCATTTTCTGACAAAATCCAGTGAACACATATGCATCATGTATGGTTCTGTCTCTTAAACCTCTTTTTAATCTAGGCCAGCCTGCTTGCCCTAGACCCTTTTTGAAGAAACAGGGCCAGCTGGAGAATGTCCCACATTCTGAATTTGTCTGATGATTTCCTTGTGATACATGAAACTGGTTCCTCTATTCCCTGTCTCTAAGAGGGAAGTTCTAAAAGCTTAATGAGATTTAGGGTAAATATTTTTTGGCAAGCGTATTGCATAGATGATGATGTGTTTTCATATTCATCAGGATCCACACATCTGTGTATCTCACTGTCGGTGTGGTGTTTGATTTTCTGGTGGCCATGGAACTCTCCGTTGTAAAGAAAAACATCTTCTCTCAGCAAGTAGTAAGTATTCTGTGTACAATACTTTGACACCATAGGAATACCCAATTCCTTATGCCCTTTCAACTAATGGTTTTAGCATCTATTAATGATCTTTGTCTGAATCAATTATTTCACTAGAGGTTGCAAATGCTGATTAAACACACACATACACACACAGAGTTGGATTTTTTTTTTTTTTTTTTTTTTGAGCCAGGGTCTTCCTCTGTTGCCCAGGCTGGAGTGCAGTGGTGCCGTCACAGCTCACTGCAACCTACACCTCCTGGACTCAAGCGATCCTTCTGCCTCAGCCCCCCAGTAGCTGGGACTACAGGTGCGAGCCCGGCTAATATTTTTTGGATGCAGTTTCACCATGTTAACCATGCTGGTCTTGAACTACTGAGCTCAAGCAGTCCACCCGCCTCAGCCTCCCAAAGTGCTAGGATTACAGGTGTGAACCACCACGCCTGGCCTGGATTTTTCATTCCAAATACATTATTTGGAGTTATTATGAAATTACATAGCACTATTATGTAAAGCAGAGCTTTCCCTCATCAGCTGAGGCTATTTGGTTACTCTAAATTACCATTCCTATTATCAATAGATCATCTTGAGTGTGAGTCTGTGAACTGTTTATTTGATTTTCTAGGATAGAAATTAGGAAATTCCTGTATGTTAGCCTAACCATTGATAAAGAGTAACAATGAGCTGAGTGCGGTGGCTCACGCCTGTAATCCCAGCCCTTGGGGAAGCTGAGGTAGAAGATTCGCTGACTATGCTGGGCAACATAGTGAGACCCCGTCTCTGCACAATATAAAAATTAGCCGGGTGTGGTGATGCACGCCTGTAGTCTCAGCTACTTGAGAGGCTGAGGTAGGAGAGTCACCTGAGCCCAGGAAGCCGAGGTTGTAGTGAGCCGAGATCATACTATTGCACTCCAGCCTGAGTGACAGAAATAAATTTTTTAAAAAATAAAATTTTAAATATTTTTTAAAAAAGAGTAACAATGAAAACGTCATCACCAGGTATTTCTCACTCATAAAAACACTGAGAATATCTAAACTGTCTTCCCATTTTTTCTTATTCTCATTCTGAATCTATGTTACAATATTTCTTTTTAAACTGAAAACATACTTCCAGGGAACATATCTGAATCCTAAATCACAGCAACCAGATTTCTTTAAGGAGTGTGTCTTTTCCTCTCCTATTGTTTGTCTAACCCTGAGCTGAGAATCCATAGTCCAGGGGTGCCTTACCGACAGTAACAATGACCTATTTCTTTTTTGCATTTGCTTTGTTCTTTTATCAGTCTCACCCTGTTGACATTCATCGCACATCAGAGACTCAGCCACCTCTTCCCTTGCACAATCATTCCCCCTCTCAAGGCACATTTATATTCAAGGCACAGGGTCAAGGAAAAGAAGAAAAAAACACGCTTCACAGCAGAACTTTGCCTAGCACTCCAATTGAGGATGTGCTCATCTTTGCTTCAGATGGTTTCTTCCTTGTTCATACTCAGCAATAATATACAGCCAGCAGGCAGCAAGAATGATGCTGTTCCCCTTGACTGGTCAGCACCCACACCACACCAGTTGTTCAATATTTTGAATATCACTCCTGCATATAAGCCACAAAAATATGTTATCCTTCATACCCAAGGATGTTCCAACAGAAGGCTGTCTGTGTTACTAAGGTTGAAATAAAAACACTGTATTAGTCCATTCTCACACTGCTATGAAGAAATACTTGAGACTGGGTAATTTATAAAGGAAAGGGGTTTAATTGACTCACAGTTCCACATGGCCTCAAGAAACTGACAATCATGATGGAAAGCAAAAGAGAGAGGCAGGCATCTTCTTTACAGGGTGGCAGGACAGAGTGAGCACTTATAAAACCATCAAGGTGCAGTGAGATCTCATGAGAACAGCATGGGGGAAACCACCCCTATGATTCAGTTATCTCCACCTGGTCCCGTCCTTGACAGGTGGGGATTATGAGGATTATAATTGAAGATGAAATTTTGGGTGGGGACCAGCCAAACCATATTACACTTCATTGTTGATGAACTTTAAATTAACTAAGACTGCACTTAAATTTGGGGATAAACACAATCACCTCTGCTTCCTCCTACTAAACACCACTGAAAGAGTTTTTGAATGGCATAAACCCACAAAAGCAAAGAGAATTGGAGAACTGATTGAAGCAAAGATTTGAAAGCTGGGAAGCATAATAATGAGTAAAAGAAACTTAGTAGAACTGAGAAGCTGCTTTCTAAATCAGCAGTAAAGAAAGTCAAGAAATAATCTGAGTCACAGAATCCCCAAGAGACTTGGCAGTATCTTCTTCTACCTTTAGAGGTGAGGGTGAGGCTGGGTTGAAAATAGGGGGTTTGATTGCCAATTTGCATAAAAAAAAGTTAGATCACAGATTTCCACCCCCTCCAGTAGCAGGGGAACTGCCTCTCCCATACCTTGGTAGAGGGTAAAATGGAGGGTCTCCAGGCTGGGAAACACCAGGCTCAGTTGAAAATAGTGTACTGTACTGAAGCAATGAGATACCGACTATCCCTAGACTATTAGCAGCCAAACTCTTGCCCTCCAGGCAGGAGATTGCAAGAATCGTCACTTGGCAATCTGACCAGCCAAAGAGAAAGACCCTAAGGACATTGATATTGGGAGTTCCCCAACACAGTAACCCAGTCAAATCTCAATACATGGAGCCCACAGTTGGCAAGCCTTTGCCACATGCACAGAGCTTCCTGTGGGTTTTGTTAATGTACCCCTCTCATAAACATTAGGCAGCCAAGAAGACCTACATCTGTGGAACTCCTCTAACTTGAAGACAGAGCCCAACACAAATTAATGGTGGAAAATAAAAAGAATCTTGGAGAAAACAGAATTCTTCAGGGAAATGAAACTTCAAAAATTAGTATTCTCAGAGAGATGTAAGAAAATATTGCCATGAAACAAGAAGAGTGTCTTAGTCCATTTTGAACTGCTATTAACAAAATACCTGAGACTGGGTAATTTATCAAGAACAGAAATTTCATAATTGTCATTTTGGAGGGTGGGAGACCAAGATCAAGGCACCAGCAGGTTTGGTGTCTGGTGAGAGGCTGGCCTCTGCTTCCAAGATGGCACATCCTCAAGAGGGGGAAACAATGTGTCTTCACATGATGGCAAGTGGAAGGCAAACAAGAGAGACCAAACTGCCTCCATCATGCCTTTTTATAATGGCATTAATCTGTTCATGACAGTGGAGCCCTGGTGACCTAAACACTTCCCATAGGGCTCTACCATCCGACACTGTTGCATTGGGGATTAAGTTTCTAACACATGAATTTTGAGGAACACATTCAGACTACAGCAAAGAGGATGCCATTTAAAAAGAATAGAGAAAAACAACAAAATGCAGTAACGAGAATACAAAATATGATAGAAGAAATTAAAAACACAATGGAAAATTTAGAAGATAAAGCTGGAGAAATCTCTCACAGAGTAGGACAAGAAAGACACACAAGGCCAGGCATGGTGGCCTATGCCTGTAATTCAGTGCATTAGGAGGCCAAGGTAGGAGGATCACTTGAGCCCAGGAGTTCGAATCCAGCCTGGGCAACACAGTGAGACCCCATCTCTACAAAAAAATTAGCCAGGCATATGCCTGTAGTCCCAGCTAGTTGGGACATGGGAGGATCGCTTGAACCCAAGAGGTTGAGGCTGCAGGGAGCTGTGGTCATGCCACTGCACTCCAGCCTGGGTGACAGAGCCAGGCCCTGTCTCAATTAAAGAAAAAAAAAGACACACAAACATGCACATAAATACACACACACACACACAAATTCGAAATGAGAAAGAAATGGTTTTTTAAATGAGAACATTATTACAGGAGAGCCAACAGACAATAGGAGATCAAAAAAAAAAAAAAAAAGGACAGAGAAAACAGAAGGGAGGATATCAAAGAAATCATTCAAGAAAACTTTCCAGAATTCTAGGAAATAATTTTCTGTATGTGAAATATTAATAAAAGCAAATGCTTAACTAGTACTTAACTAAGTGGCAGGCAATGTCTCAAGCATTTTACAGACATTAATTCATTTAATTCTCACAACAACCCTGTGAGGCAGGCATGAAGATTTAACTCAGCGAGTCCCTAAACCTATGCCTCAGTTAACTGCTAGTGGACTCCCAAGTCACATCGTGGTGAAATTTCAAAACCTGGAGAACAAAGAAAGGATCATAAAAGCTTCCAGAGAGAAAAAACAGGTTATGTACAATGGATCAATAAGACTTCTCAACAGCAATGTAAGACATTAAAAGAAAATAGAACACTGCCTTCAGAATTCAGATGAGAAATAATTTCTAGCATAGAAATCTATCTCTTGATGAAGACATCAATTAAGTTGGGGGATAGAATAAAGACATTTTCAACATGTGAGGCCTAAAAAAAAATTACCTCCCATGTACTCTTTATCAGGAAAGCATTGGAGGATTCTCTCCAAAGGAGGAGAGTAAACCACACCAAAGGACTATAAGGGATTCAAGAAACAGAGGCTGTGACGCATAGAGTGAAGGACCCTCCAGGAGGACGATGGGGAACCCCAGGGTTTCCTCTATAGACTAGGTGCAGGACAAGCAGGTGAGCCTGGAGCTGGTAAGAAGGCTCTTACCAGCCTTCTCTCCAAGGAGATGAAACTCATAGAATGCCTGGAATGTCTCAATGTATCAAGAGTCCATCTAGACAGTTAACAGTTGTGACTGAATTATAGGAGAAAAAGGTGAAGTGATGGGGGAGAAAAGAAAAAAAGGAGAGAAGGGATTTTTTTTTTTGAGACGGAGTCTCACTCACTCTGTCACCCAGCCTAGAGTGCAGTGGTGCGATCTTGGCTCACTGCAACCTCTACCTCCCAGGTTCAAGCAATTCTCCCACCTTGGCCTCCTGAGTAGCTGGGATTACAGGCGTGTGCCACCATGCTGGGCTATTTTTTGTATTTTTGGTAGAAACGGGATTTCGCCATGTTGGCCAGGCTGGTCTCAAACTCCTGACCTCAAGTGATCTGCTTGCCTCAGCCTCCCAAAGTGCTGGGATTACAGGCGTGATCCACTGCACTCGGCCGGGAGATCTTTTAACAGGGAAGCTAAATCATTACATTTATATTTTAGGAATTCAGTGCCGTTCAGCAGTATTTACTGCCTGCCATGTGTATAGTCATTGCTATGCCTCCAATATACAGAAACAAGATGCCCTCTTCCTTATATGTAATTAAAGGCAGTAATATGGAGGGTTGGGCCTTGGCATGTGGGATCATTGATCCTGTAAATTTCAAAGAAAAAATAAGCTGATATCAGACTGAAAACCCCAAGGGAAGAGAAAATAAGCCCCTAGAAATGGCAGAGCACAGGGTAATGAGCAGTTGCTATATTTTCTTCCAAGGCCTTTACTTTGGATCAGCTACTTGCTTCTAAAAGACAGGCTGCTAAAGAAGAAAGATTCTTTCACAGGGACTCCTTCTTCCTGCTGTCCCTGTCCCATCCAGAGTGACTTCCTGTCTAAAGGAAGTCCAGAACCCTCCAGAATGCCCTAGGAAAATGGAGTCTTGTAGATGATGTGGAAAACAATCCCTCACTACAGATGTCTGTATTGATTAGCTAATGCCCTAAAGCAAGAGATTTACCTCAAAACTGCTTGTGGGCACAAAATAAGTGCAACTCTCTGACAGCCAGGCCTGATGAATGCACTTTTCATGACATCAATAATCATATACAAGGGAGGAAACGAAGGACAAGTGGAATGTACCCAGGAATCATTCTTTATGCCAATATATTTATATAAAAAAATTTAACCTGTGGCAACCAGAAAGCACTCCCCTTAGTCCCTGCACTTTGAGTTTTGAACCTAGTTACTCTGTTTTAATGTCTCCTTTCTTTTGTTTTTCTGGTACTTCTGTCACCTCAAAGGGCAAAACTACCAGCAAGTGTGAGCTGCTGGTGTACAGCAAGTGTGAAATGCAGCAAAGACTCACAGACCTCAGAGTTTGGTCCACTGGACCCAGGCCCACTGCTGGATAAAAGGTGCAGCACCCACTGGCCACTTCCACGGTTTACATCTTGCTTCAAGGCCTTGTGCCCGATCAGCTGAGCCCCTGTGCCAACCCTCAGGTACCTTCCTAAGTCCCTCGTCCTGTCTCCACTGTTAAACCAGGGTTCCTGGGACAGAGATCATTCCAAATTTTACAGAATGTGGAAGCAACATAATTCTAGTTTATTCCTTCACTAGTTAAAATGTATTAAGTTGAAATTATCAGCATAAGAGAAACCAACCTTCAGTTTTAAAAGTGAAGTCTTTGCAGTATGTCTATGTAACACCATGAAGTGAGTGGTCAGGACAACTCTGGAAATTAATATTTATTAACATTCTGTGGTTGATAATAGGGAGCCAATGATTAAGCATTGAAGGGTACTTTGTCTTCCACAGTGAGCCCAGCATCAGCTGTCCCCCACCTACAATTCCCACTTGGGCCAAACTGGTCTGCTTGCCATTCTCAGAATCCACTTTTTGCCATCCTAGTTCTGAGTTTCTACTCAGGCCATTTTCCTTATGTGGAACTTTCACTTTGTCTATCAAAAGTCGAGTCATGTTTATAGACCCAGATCAAGTGCTCTCTACCTCATAAAGGCTTTTAAAACTATATGTCATCAGAAATTGCCTCTTTCCCTTGTATATTTTTATTCTTATTATTGTCTGTACCAATCACACGGTGCTGGCTGCATCTCCGCCTCATAGTCATTTATTTTCTAACCCACTGATTGTTCAATCAGATTGCCAGTTTCCAGAGGCCAAAGATTATGGACCATATGATGTGGATTCCCCCTCCCTCCATCATGCAGAATAAATACCCAACAGGTGCTCAAGAAATACTATTTCGGGCTGGGCGCGGTGGCTCCTGCCTGTAATCCCAGCACTTTGGGAGGCTGAGGTGGGCAGATCACCTGAGGTCAGGAGTTTGAGACCAGCCTAGCTAACATGGTGAAACCCTGTCTCTACTAATAATACAAAAATGAGCTGGGCATGGTGGTGGGCAACTGTAATCCCAGCTACTCAGGAGGCTGAGGCAGGAGAATTGCTTGAACTTGGGAGGCGAAGGTTGCAGTGAGCCAAGATCATGCCACTGTACTGTAGCCTGGGGGACAGAGTGAGACTCTGTCTCAAAAAAAAAAAGAAGAAATACTAGTTCAGCTGGGCATGGTGGCTTACGCCTGTAATCCCAGCACTTGCCAGCACTTTGGGAGGCCGAGGCAGGTGGATCACTTGAGTCCAGGAGTTTGAGACTAGCCTTGGCAACATGGTGAAACCCCAGCTCTACCAAAAATACAAAAATTAGCCAGTCTTATAACCTAATCTCAAAATAGATTTTTTTTTTAAAAGAAATACTACTTGAACACATGACTGACCTTTAGGTGCAGGGCTACTTACTTCATGTTAAATGGCCTGCTTCCTTAACATCCAGGAATTATTTATGAAGGTGAATCTGCTTTGTTGAAAATTTTAGCATTTTATAATCATCATTAGTTCTAATCAATAGAGAAAAGCCGCATCAACTTGGGCAATGGAAATAAGATGTTATATTTTAATCTTTAGTGAAAATAATGGAAACAATGAGTTTAGGGGATGATTCATTGAACCCATGTGGCTGGGCAGTACTTTTGAAAATCAGCTGACAGATGTGGCCTCCACAGAGACCCCACTTCTCATTCTGAGCAGTGAGTTCAGAAGCATGAGGCCTGAGGATACTGTAGGAGAGTCTGCAGCTATCAGTTCAGTTTATGTCCTACTGATGTTTGGGTTGAGAGCATCATTTCTTTATAATGAAGAATGAAAATAACTTCTAATTGCTACAGTATCAACAAAGAAGATATATTCCTCAATTACTCTTGCCAGAAAATATATTACCAAAATTGAGAGGAAAAAAATGGGAAGGCTGGCTCTGTTTCCAGCAAAAAGATAAACTAGCTTCTCTTGTTATACAGTCCCTTAAAAAGCTCAATTAATTATAGGAAATACCTTTCGAATGCACAATTGAGCCCTCAAGGAGACAGGGCCAGAATTCTCAAGGGCCAAAAATAAAGAGGAAGCTGAAAATGAAAGCTGGGCAGTTGAAGCTATGGCTGATTAGGGGTGTTTGTCTCTTGGTTACAAAAGGTTTGAGTTTTAAAGGCAACATGTAGAATGGCATAGAAGGTCCTGGACCCATTCAAGATGGGAGGTGGCGTCAAGGCCCACCACATAAAGACTCAGTATTGCTGAAGGGTGCATGCCTACTATGAAAGGGTTGATTAGGAAATCTCCCCACTAGCAATGGAAGGCACCAGGGAAATTTGTCTGCCTTGCACTTTGGGGTGGGAGAAAGTGTTCACTGATAAGTTAGGACCACAGATCTCCTCTTATTGGCATGGTCCAAAAAATTCTGAACAGGGAAATTAGCTAAAAGTGATTTAAAGACTGACACAGTAAAACAAATATTCTCTGGAGGGACCCATGCAAGAATCCCACAGATAGAGACAACTTCATTAATGTAAGCTAACAATCTAAAATTACAAAACACTAGCCGGGTGTGGTGGCACACGTCTGTGGTCCCTGAGGTGGGAGGATCGCTTGAACCTGGGAGGCGGAGGTTGCAGTGGGCTGAGATTGCATCGCTGCACTCCAGCCTGGGTAACAGAGTGAGACCCCCCTCTCAAAAATGAATGAATAAATTTATTAATTAATATAAAATTACAAAACACATAATAAACCATTATAAATGAGACCTGGCAGAAAAAAACTAACAACAGAAATAGACTCCCCTGATAGAGAGTGTAAAATAAATTATGTTTATGAACAAAAATATGAACAAGACTTTTCCTTTGGCCAAGATGGAGTAGCCCATTCTTCTCTAGTTCACCCTCTTACAACTAAAAATCCCTGGATATAATACAAGAAATAAACATGGAGAGACATTGAATGGTGGAAAGATGAGGACTGGCTAGCTAGGGACCTTGGGACTTGAGGAATGGTGTGGCAGTGAGTTCCCTGGGTTTTCTCTTTACTTCCCATCTATCCCAATAGAATGCAGGAGAAGCCTGCAATTCAGAACTGCTAACATGCACAGATTCAAACACCCCATGACAAGCCTGCTCTCGCTAGCCAAAGGACTGAGGAGAGGCGGTCTACCAGAATAAAAAACCTTTTAATAATACCTGCCCTATTCCAGCTAAACACTGAACGAAGAACTGCCCCCCGACCTTAGAGTGTCCGTGGAGCCCAGCAGGGCACTGAGTCATGGTAGTGGGAAAAGGTGTTCAACAGGCTGGCACCAGATTAAAAACGCTCAAGAAAAAGAAAAGTCAAATAAATTATGGTACACACATACAATGGAGTTTTATGTGGGATTAGGCAGATTTTCAAAGTTGTCCACAATAGATTAAATGAAGGAAAAAAAACAGGCCATAGAACAAATATCACTTGTATCTACAGGACAACGCATTTTTGTTGCTCTGTGTATGTGCTCTACACACACACACACACACACACACACACACAGATGTAAAAGAGTTTGGAGAGACTTACATCATTTTCCATGGTATAGTTACAGGGGACTATTCACTTTTTTAAACTTTTATTTTAGGTTCAGGGGTAAACTTTTGTCATGGGGGTTTGTTGTACAGATTATTTCATCAGTCAGGCACAAAGCCCAGTACCCAATAGTTATTTTTCTCTGCTCCTCTCCCTCCTCCCACCCTCCACCCTCAAGCAGGCCTCAGGGTCTGTTGTTCCCCTCCTTATGTCCATGAGTTCATTGTTTAGCTCTCACTTATAAGTGAGAACATGAGGTATTTGGTTTTCTGTTCCTGTGTTAGTTTGCTATGGATGATGGCCTTCAGCTTCATCCATGTTCCCACAAAAGACATCATCTCGTTCTTTTTATGGCTGCATGGTATTCCATGGTATATATGTACCACATTTTCTTTATCCAGTCTATCACTGATGGGCGTTTAGGTTGATTCCATGTCTTTGCTATTGTGAAGACTACTCACTTTCAAATAATAATAAAGCATATAAATTATGATTTTTATAATAAACAACTATTACTTTAAAATAACCAAAAGAGTAAAAACTGTTTTTCTCTTGGGAACAAAAAACATTACCAGAGAAGGATATGGAAGCAAAAGATGATAAATAACTAAACCATTTTCACCAGAAAGGTAGATACAAAGATGGTAATACTTGAGTCACAGTGGTGAAATCAGAAGTATTTTTTCTAATTCTCCTATTTTCTATAAAATGGTTATAATAATTTTATAATGTTTTAAATGTGGTTTGAAATGTATGATTCGCATGTCAACCTACACCCTGTGAAGAAGAAAAGGTAATGCCAGAATAACCAGGTTGAAAGTTGTTTTTGTCTGATGAGATCAAACAGTAAGGTGTGAACGAAGCAAGAGCAAGGTTACTGCTTAGTAACCTCCTGCTAGTCATCATGTGCCTTCCCCACTGGACCTACCAAATCCTGCACAGTATACTTCTTTCCTCGTCATATGGGTTTTACCCGTAAAACACACATGGAAGATCATGGGCTTGATATTATTGTGTGGGATAGTGAAGTGTTGTATGTAAGTAATTCCAAGCAAAATGGTTTGACCACTAGTAGGCACAAAAATACTATTAAAGATGAATAACAGGCTGGGCACAGTGGCTCACGCCTGTAATCCCAACAGTTTGGGAGGCCGAGGCAGGTGGATCATGAGGTGAGGAGTTCAAGACCAGCCTGGCCAAGATGGTGAAACCCCACCTCTACTAAAAATACAAAAAATTAGCTGGGCATGGTGGTGGGTGTCTGTAATCCCAGCTACTTGGGAGGTTGAGGAAGAGAATTGCTTGAACCCGGGAGGCAGAGGTTGTGGTGAGCCGAGATCGTGCCACTGCACTCCAGCACTCCAGCCTGGGGAACAGAGCGAGACTCTGTCTCCAAATAAAAAAAAAGCCTACAGGCAGGACTGAAGGCAATTGCAATGAAAAATGCATTCATCAGATCAGGGTGAGGTAATACAAACTAATGTCTTCCAAAAGGTTTTCAAATGGAACACTAGACTTGTGAGATACTCCTTGAGGAAAGGAGTGGGGTCAGATAAGTGTGGAAAGTACTGCTTTATCTTATTTTTCATAGAGAGTCACAAAGCACAATAGCATTTTTTTTTAAGAGACAGGGTGTTGCAGCTCTGTTGCCCAGGCTGGGGTGCAGTGGTGTGATCATAGCTCACTTTAGCCTCAAACTCCTGGGCTCAAGCAATTCTCCTGCCTCAGCCTCTTGAGTGGCTGGGACTATAGGCACACACCACCACGCCTGGCTGATTTTTTAACAATTTTTTTGTAGAGACGAGGTCTTGCTATGTTGTCCATGCTGGCCTCAAGCAGTCCTCCTGCCTCAGTCTTACAAAACACTGGGATTACAAGCATAAGCCACCATTCCCAGCCTGCAAATAGTATCTTTTATTTATTTATTTATTTATTTGCAATAAAAAAAGAGTTGAATAAACACAAGCCTGGCCACGCCACATGGGAAATGGAGTCATTACTCAAATCAATCTCCCCCAAATTTCGGAGGCTAGGCTTTTTCAAGGATAGTTTGGTGGGCAATTGAATGGGAGTATGGAAAGTAGTCCTCTTCTGGGGGCGGCCATGGGACTAGTTGGTGGGTTCACGTGGAGTCGTGGGTCATCAGAAATGCAAAAACTTTAAAAGACATCTCTAAAGGCCAATCTTACTTAGATTCTACAATAGTGATGTTATCTCCAGGAGTAACTGGGGAAGTTAACGACTTCAGGCTCCTCTCATCCTTCTAACCTGGTGGTCTTGCATTAGCTTTAGGAAGGCCACATAGTTTTCAAAAAGGGTTATTATCATTTAAACTATAAACGAAATGTCTCCCAAAGTTAGCTTGGCTTGAGCCCAGGAATGATTAAAGGCAAGATGGAGGTTGGTTAGATCAGATCTCTTTCACTGCCATAATCTTCTAACTGTTATATAATTTTTGCAAAAGTGGTTCCAGCAATAAAACTACCATTTCACAAATTTTGCAAAAATGAAGACCATGAGGACATTGCTGGGGACTCTCCATGAGCCAAGGAAGGGTCCCAGGAAATCAAGGGGCTGTAAAGCTTAATCGCCATTAATTCCAAATTAGTATCACTTCTGGTAACAGCACAGGAAGAAACACAAAGCAAGAATGCAGCATAGGGAGCTGGGGCCGGGGCTGCAATTATGAATAGGATGCTGAGTGGGTGGCATCAGAGCAGACCCCTGAAGGTGACCTACAGAGCCCTGCAGATATCTGAAGGGGAGGGAGACGGTGGTGGGGGTGCCACTGCATTCCAGATTCTAGACTCAGGTAAGTGTGAGTACAAGAGTCCAGAGGCAGGCTTTTTTTTTTTTTTTTTTTTTTTTTTTTAGACAGAGTCTTGCTCTGTCATCCAGGCTGGAGTGCAGTGGTGCAATCTCAACTCACTGCAACCTCCACCTCCCAGGTTCAAGTCATTTTCCTGCCTCAGCCTCCTGAGTAGCTGGGACTACAAGCACGTGCCACAACGCCTGGGTAATTTTTGTATTTTTAGTAGAGATAGAGTTTCATCATGTGGGCCAGGCAGGTCTTGAACACCTGACCTCAAGTGATCTGCCTACCTCCGCCTCCCAAAGTGCTGGGATTACAGGCATGAGCCACTGCACCTGGCCCACAGTCGTATTTTAAAGACATTGAGCAACCCTGCTGGGGGAAACCAGTTGAACTGTCTTTAACTTGGTATCTCCTGAACATACCAGGCCACTAGATCTCATTTTTTGCACAATGCTTGCTGACCTGTGGCAGACTGCTTTTGGAAAAATGTTGATCTAGTGAAGGCACAATCAAGACCTTGATTGCAGGCAGGGAGGACAGCTTCTTCCTGGAGCCCAAAAATGCATGTGGTTACTATGGAAAGAACAAGGGTTACATCTGCTTATCCCTCCAATCACATGCATGCATTGCTATAGCAATGTTACACCAGCAGGAGAGGGTTCATGTAGGAAGAAGTAGGTTAACATAGATAACAGAAAGACATCCCTGTTAGCAGTTGCCCCGGCGGGTTTCAAATTTGGCTGAAAAAAGAAGTTGAAGTCACCAGGCGATGACACAAGTGAGCCACTGCTGACTGACAGCTCTTTTCCTTGCTGATTTCCCCTGCAAGTGAATCAGAACCATTTTATTCCATCTCTTGGATCTTAAGTTTTCTTCTAAATGTTAGGGATTTTTAAATCCAGAGCTTGGTATACCAGGTGTCTGATTTTTAAGAGAGTTGCTGGGATTTCTAGCCCTTTTACAAACAGCAAGGAAAACATGAATTTCAGCATGCTTCATATATTTAGTCTTCACACCTTATTTGTACAAACTCCCAGAGAGTTAAATAGGTATTTAAAGATGACATTTGCCTTAATGGGCCTGTTCAGTATTTTGTTTCCTGACCCTTAGGCTTGAGTTTGTGAATACTCAACAATCAAGGCACATCAAATTCTAACTGTGTTTACTAAATTTCTTACATGGCTATTATTTTAAGCAGTAATATTGAAGGTGCAGCATTTGTTATTCCTCTTCTTGCTTGTTTATACATCAATTGACACACAAGAGCTGTTCTTTCTTCTGGTCCTCTCTGTGATGCTATAGACTAGGGAAGGTGCTCTTTGGAGGAGAAGGGCTGAATAAACAAAGGCTGCACACCTGTCACTGCTGGGAAGGGAGAAAATGATTGCCCCTTTGAGACGGAATCTATGTGTCTAGAGAAAATGGTGGTAAGTCAACCAGCAGTAAAGAATAGCCTAGTGCCCCGGACGATGCAATAGATGAGAACTGCCACTAACTGTAAGGAATTTCTTTTGGGATTTTAAGACTGGGTCTTTAGATCACTTGGTATGATTTAGTTATTTCCCCTAGAAGGACAGACTGCTTGAATCAGATAAGTCTACTCCCTCATCTAAGACCCTGAAGTCAAGAGAAAGATCTGTTCCCACATTCTTGCTAAAAAATACACTATTTTCTCATAGAAGGACATCAGCAATGTGTCACAAGGGACTTAAGAAACATCTAAACCCTCTGCTACAGTAAACTGACTTCCGGAAATCTGTCCTAAGGAAACAACCAGAACTTTAGTCAAAGATTTTTATGCAAGGAAATTCATTTCAGTGTTATTTCTAACAGAGAAAGTTTGGGATCATCATATATGTTCAACAGGGAAGGAATTATTAACTAAATGATGGTATATTTATGTGTGAGAATTTTGGGCAGCCATTACAAAATCCAATTTTCAAGGATGATTTAATGACATTGGAAATGTTCTTGCTGTCATGTTAAGTAATGAAAGCAGGACACTAGTGGGAATACAAAGTGGTACAACCTCTGCGGGGGGAAACTTGGCAGGCTCTACCATACTTTCATGCACATTAGCCCTTTGACCCAGCAAAATCTACTTCAAGGAACCTACCCCAAAGATACACTAGCAAATACACAAAGTGTGGTCTCCACACTGCTGCTCACGGCAGCATTCTTTTTAATTTGGGTTAATAGGATTAACCCAAATGCCTATCATTAGGTGGCTGGTGGGATAAATTATTATACACACAAAATGGAGCCCTGCGCAGCTATAAAGGGAGCAAGGAAGAACTTTATATACTTATTTGAAAAGATTGGCAGGGTATTTTGTTAAGATAAAATCAAGATACAGAAAAAATTATGTAATAAACTATGTGTAAGAAAACCAAGTTCAGTTATTTTATTTTATTTTTTTAATAAACATTGTGAGTTTAGCTGTGGAATATGTGTCAGCTTATCTCTATGTGATGTTTATCAAATCCTTAGATTAGTCCAGTGGTCCTCAACTGGGGGTGATTTTGCCTCCAAGGAAACATATGGCAATGTCTAAAGACATATTTTGGTTGTCACAACTGCTGGGGAGGAGGTGCTACTGGCATCTAGTGGATAGTGGGCCAGAGATGCTGCTAAACATCATCAATGCACAGGACAGTCCCACCACAAAGAATTATCTGGCCTGAAAATGTCAGTAGCTCTGAGGTTGAGAAATCCCACATTAGCTCTTTCATCTTAGTTAGGCCAGGTCAGTACCATTTTCCACATCAGAATGTCACTGTCAAGATAGTATTGGTGTTATTACTGAGAAGCTCTGTGATATACACACATATGCAGTATTTGTACATATTGGGATAAAGTGAGTATTAATTACATTAATGCTAAGAACTGAGATTTTCACTATTAGAGAAAAGATACCAATATAAAATCAAATATATTAATCCTAAATCTGAATGGGAAATACTAGCATGGACTCATTATTTGCCTCTTTTTAAAGATACGTATTTCCTAGCTCTGTCTAATCAAAAGGCCTAATTGTGAGACTGTAATCTCTGAATATTAACATCATTTCCCACTAAAGGCACAAGGGCTTCATGAATAAGTGGCTGATTCTAGGAGCAAAATGTACAAAATGGAGCTGAGTCATCCTGCACATATAAGAAGGAAACTTGGCCTTGACCACACCTAACAGTAGGGGAAGACTAAGAAACAGAACCCCCAACTTGAAGTTCTATTCTTAAATTCCGAGGGTGAAATAAATGTTGGGAGGCAACTGTCCATTTCTGCCACAGCAGCATGAGGGAAGACAAATGAGTCTCTGGATCTGTACTCTCTCATATGGTAGCACCAGCCACATGTGGCTTTTGGGTATTGAAACCCAGTTATTCCAAACTGAGGTGTGATGTAAGTGTAAAATATATGCTGGATTTTTCCAATTTAGTATGAAAAAAGAAACTACAATATCACACTAATTTTTATACTGATATTAAAATAATGTTTTGAAAATACTGTGTTAAATAAAACATGTTATTAACATTAATTTCACCAATTTATTTTTACTTTTTAAAAATGTGGCTAATAGAAAACCTGAAAGTATGCATGTGCCTCACAATATATTTCTATTATATTTCTATTAGACAGTGCCGCTGTTGAATAACCAGGTACAGGGTCTTCTGAAAGGTCCAAGACTTGGGAAATGAGACACACATGGGAAGTTTAGCAAGGTAGAGAAAAAAAAGGAATAAAAAAGTTCAGAAAGGAAGGAAGAGAGAAAGAAAGTGATGGATAGAGAGGAAGAGGGAGGGATAAAGTGATGGAGGGAAGGAGGGAAGAAGGCGGGAAAGAAAGAAGAGGGAAGGAAGGAAAGAGGGAAGGGAAGGAAAGGGAGGAGGGAAGGAGGGAAGGAAGGAGGGAGGGAGGAAGGAAGGAAGGGCTACAGAATGGGAGAAATTATTTACAAATCATATATCCAATAGAGGGCTTGTATCTGGAATATATTTTAAAAGTCTTATAACTCAATAATAAAAAGAAAAATTTTAAAGTGGACAAAGGATTTGAAAAGACATTTCTCCCAAGAAGATACGCAATTGGCCCATAAGGACATGAAAAGATGCACAATATCGTTTGTCTCAGAGAAATGCAAATCAAAACCATTTCTTACCCACTCGGATGGCTACAATAAAAGAGACATATAATAACAAGCGTTAGCGAGGTTGTGGAGAAATCGGAACCCTCATCCTTTGCTTGTGAAGTGTGAATTTGCTTCATGTGAAATGGTGCAACATCTTTGTAAAACAGTTGGGCTGTTCCTCAACTAATCAAACGTAGAGTGGCCGTATGACCCAATAATTCTACTCATAGGTATAAGAACAGGCAAATCTACAAGAATGTAAAATAGATCAGTGATTGCCTAATGCTGATGTAGGCATAGGGGAAATGGGATGGTTGCTAATGAGTACAGGGTTTCTTTTTGGGGTAAAGAAAAATGTTCTAAAATTGATTGTGGTGGTAGTTGCACAACCCTAAATACACTCAAAACCATTGAATCGTATACTCTAAATGGGTGAATTGGGTGGTATGTGAGTTATATCTCAATAAAATTTTAGGGGGAAAAAATGAAACTAATGGGGTTGTACCAAACAAGTCATGAGCTTGTAGTGAAAGAGAAAGAAGCTGATGGCTGACTCATTGGTTGCCACTGAAGGTCACTGTGGCATCAACTCACAACTAAAAATCAAAGAGAAAAAAATCCTGCTTTTCTAGTATGAACTATATTTCAGGGTTACCAAATAACCTTACTGGAAGAGGGAAAGTTCTGTTATCAAGAATAATTCCAGCTGTTGATCAGAGGAAATGATAGACTTGTACCCCTGGTGAAATAACTGATTCAGGCAGAGGTCATCAATGGATGCTCACACCATTGATGGGAGCTGTACAGGCAAGGAACCAGGGTGACACACCTGAACCCGGTGATCAATCTTAGCATCACCAAAAATGGAGCAACAAGACATCACATACCTCTAGATATAATGCAACGTGATGTGCACAGCATCGCCTATGAAGTGTGTTTGCCAAAAAATTCTATTGATCCTGAATATAATCTATCTAACCTTTAGTCTAATTACAGGAGTAAGAACAACCCTACTACCATGAGGACACAATGAGCCTAATCCAGAAAGTGTGGACATCCTGCAAGACAATCCCTCTGGCAGGCAATAAGTCAATGACAAGTGGAGGAAAAGAAAAAAAAAAGAGGCTGAGGCAGGCGGATCACTTGAGGTCAGGAGTTCAAGACTAGTCTGGCCAGCATGGTGAAACCCCATCTCTATTAAAAATACAAAAAAATTAGCCGGGCGTGGTGGCAGGCGCCTGTAGTCCCAGCTACCTGGGAGGCTGAGGCAGTAGAGTGGCTTGAACCCGGGAGGCAGAGGTTGCAGTGAGCCGAGATCGTGCCATTGCACTCCAGCCTGGATGACAGAGCAAGGATCCATCTCAAAAAAAAAAAGAAAAAAAAGAGGCCGTCTGTTCTAGATTAAGAGACTTAAGGGAATGACCAATTACAAAGTGCAAACCTTGTTTGGATACCAGTTCAGTAAGTCAATGGTAAAGAGAGTTTTGAAACAAATTGGGAAATCTGAATATAAACAGGAATCACTGTTAATTATGTTAGGGTGATAATGACTTTGTAGTAATGTAAAAAAAGTCCTTATTTTTCTTCAACATGTACATTTGAGAAATAACATAATAGTTGAATATGATTTAAGATATTGCAGCAAAGAAGTGGCAGGGGGTGGTGCTGGAATAGATGAAATAAATTGAGCAAGATGGTGTTAGTTATTAAAACGGGGAGATGGTGGGTTCATTCTGCTTTTTTCCTTTCCTTAGTGTTTTTGGGAATTTTTCATAATAAAACAGGATATATGAGTTAGAACATATTGGTTCTAAGGCACGTTGTAATGATGCAATCAATGATATAAGGAACATAAGCTCAAAAGCACATATGTATTTGCCAGCTGACACATTGAGAAGCAAATTTTTGGAAAAGCCCTTATAAGCTTATTCAATTTTTATGCGTTTTTTGCTTTGTTTTTGGTTTTTTGACCTCTGTGAACCATTTTATTTGGGCTTAGGAAAATCGAAACAGCACAATAAGTTTCTCAACAAATTCTTAGGTATTCACTGGGGGTAGAAGGTCCTCTATTCTTCCAGAAAATATGTAGGTCTCCCCAGGGCACAGACCTTCCCACATTCATGCCTGAAGACTTACAGTTTTTCTGCCTCCCTAGCTGACTCTAATATTCACCCCCAGTGGTTATGATCAACCTTGTTTTAAACCTTTGAAGGAAAGAAGATTCCTTCCCTAAAAGTTTCCACAATCACATTTCAATGACGGTTCTCTGTTTGGACTCCACTTTGATATTATTATATATAGATCCTATATCTTCAAATTGTAAAATGCTGATCACCTGAGCAAGTAGAGAAAGTATTCTAGATTCAAGGGGAGGTGGAGCCAGGTTTAAATTATGAGTATATTTAAAATAACAGATTACAAATGAACATTATGGTTTTTTTCAATGACTTCTGGTTTGGGGGGGGTCCCAGATAATTAGCATGCACTACAGAAGAGTTTCTCTTTTCATCTTTGAATGTAGAGCAAGAGATGGGTGTGAGGGGCATGAGGTCACAAGTCCCAGCTAGGCTACAAGAGTTGTTGATGTTGGTGGATTGACCTCTCTTGACCTTGGTCCCCTCTGAGAATGGGAAGAACAGCATTCCCTTTATCTGTCTCCTGCTTTGCCTGAAGCTTGAAAGAAATAATGTATGTGAAAACATTCTCAGAACTATAAAGGGCTTATACTTATTTTTAAAATATATTCTCCAAGTAGATATTGTTTTTCCCTAATCAACATCTCTTATTTCCCAATTCCACATCTAGAATTGTTCTTAAACCACTCTGGGACACTGTTTAAATAAGACTCTGAGAGTAGATTACATTTTCCATTAGAGATTATTTACCTTTCTATTTACTGTGCAGCATTAAAGAGAAGATTTTCCTCCTAACTTAAAAAAGTTTAATTTTAATACTATAAAATTCAAACATATTATTTCTGGAATATTATTTGAGTCCTGGAGATTTTAAGCATTTTGTAGTTCTATGCCAAAGTCCTACTTAATTTAAACAAACTATGTAATTTGGCTTTAATCTTGAAATGTCCATTTTAAATATTGTTAATGGTCACCCTGGCCTGTGTTTCCTCTGTTAAGGCAGATCTTTCGTGGTACAGACAGCAAGGATTGGGGACCTGAACAGTAAAGCCTCCACATTAATCTTCCAGGGCTGCAGCCAAACAACACAGCTTTGCCTGAAGTGGTCAATATAAAATTTTTATTTGCACTTAGTGACTCCTGAAAATGTATTCAAAATTTACTCTCTTGGTCTCTTACCACGGCAGGTTAGAAGCTGCTAAGACAAATACGAGATCTTCTGAGCGTGCCAGCCCATCCATCTGCACCAGTAACTCTGTCTTCATCCGCAGGCTTCCTTCATGTTCTCCCCTACAGAGAGACAAGACGTGATTCTCCTAAGTGTCAGAGCCTTCGCCCTCATGACAAGAGCAGCATTCACAGCAATGTCCCTGTGACTGTAGAACAGTTTCTGTTCTGATGGCCAATGGAGCCGTTCATACTAGAGTTAGAGAAAATGAGCAATTTGCTGTTATTTTCACATACAGTATGATAGAAAGCAAGTAAATGAATATAATGATGGTATTTGAAAGAAAACCAAAGGCAGGCAGTGAGCTGGAGAAAATAACTAAAGGGTCCACAGTCCCACTGGTAGATTAAATGCAGCCCAACTGTGTCTACCTGCAGCATTATTTACCTCTTTAAAAATGACATAATTGAGGATAATCCCTTTCACTTACATAGCACACAGGAAAGTACTTTCACACCCTCAGCCTCCTGAGTAGCTGGGACCTCAGGCACAAGCCCCCTGCCTGGCTAGGTATATGTTTTTTTAGGATCTATGCCCCTTAATACTCAACTACCTTTGCCTAAGAGAGAAGACCGTCTCTCTCTATATATATATGTGTATATATATATATATATAATTTATTTATTATATATTATAAGCATAATATATAATTAGCATTTGCCCATATATTTGCTATATGTTTAATTATCATTTGCCCATAACTATAATTCCTTTAACATAATATTATCGAAGTCTTCAGAGCACCCATCCCTATTTCCTGACCCTTTGAAGACTCTTAATTTTGGAGTCTTTGATCCCAGACAGGGAAATGGAAATTCGGGGCAGAACCTGGAGCACACACAAGGATAGCAGATGAAGAGTCTTCACATTAGCTCGATGAAGGTTGTGGGAAACTGGGGACAGAGCTCGACAAAGCACACGTAACAACAAGTGCATAGGGAGACCTGGTCTTTGTAGAGTGACTATGAGGGTGGGCTGGTGCATTCCCATCTAGGTGCCTGTGCAGTTGCCTGCTTCTATCAGGCCTGGTATAGAAAGCAGAGTGCTCCAGCCTAGGGCTGACAAGCACCAGCTCCAGTTAAGCTGAGGAAAATGTCCTGTTTCAATCAATTACATGAATCCCATATATTACTTGGGTACATCTTTATGGTTGCTTTTCCCTGCTGGGAAAATGGTTTCCAATGAGTAAAATTTCATAAATTATATTATAGTTATACTTCCAACAAGCTAATTAATTGTGTTTTATTACTATTACTTCTGCCTTGATGATAGTCCATTAAAGGTCATTAATAAATGCAGCTGTGTTGAGATTTCTCAGAGATCTGTTTTTTCAAGCCAGGGGTGCCAGATTTAGTAAAAAGCTTCAGTGGAAAATACCTCTGATCAAGACAGAAAGCTGATCTTAAAAACGAACGAACAAAAAGCACAACACTACTCTGGCTTTTGGAAGCACAAACAGAAGGCTTATTACAGTCTGAGAAGTGTTCCTGCCTGCTGAGGATATTCAGTGACAATCTTTAGAGATAATATATGTAACATATTTAAAGTCAGCCCTGCTGAGCCATAACCTGATGCCACAGAGAAGTGGTGTTTTCCCAGGCTTCACACACCGTCGAGGACTGCCTCTCAGGAGTGAAGTACAGACGTGGCCCTGCACAGTGGCTGAGTGGGCAAGACTCATTCCCCAGGGGCAGCCCCTCTGGCTCCAGAGGAGGCCATCACAGCGGCTATTTTCAGCCAGCAGAACCGATATGGCAGCCTGGGATCCTGGGGCTAGAGGATCTTCAGGCCTGAAAACCACTCTGTGGGGAACGGGGGAAGGGAGAATGGCATTTCCTCCGGTTATAAAAACTACTTAAATCAGCTATTCAGTTAACAGGATCTAATTTAAAGACCTTTCCATGTGTCTGCAGAAAATTTGTGGGCTTATTAATGGGCTCATTCTGCTAGTAAATGTCTATAGGCTTCCGACCATCAAACACACAAGAGGGGAGAAGCCATGACAAAAAACAACAACAACAAAAACCCCAACCCTGTCTGTTACCCAGAAGCTGTGCCTCTCTGACTCATCACCGACTCCAGCTCGTCCAGGAAGATCGTGGATGGGGCGTGGTAGCGGGCAAGCTCAAATAACACCTGGGTGGGGGAAAAGCAAGCAAGTGTTCAAGCTTATAGACTTAAAGTCCTCAGATGCTCCCAGAGTAAAAACTTAGAATGACTGTAATAATAAGCATTTATGCTGCACTCTGTTATTTCACAAAAACTTTATAATCATTACAATCATTTCTCCCTACCTTCACCCCATGGGGTTGGATGGTCCGATTATTTCCATTTATCACTTGATAAAATTAGAGGCAGAGAGTAGGTGGTTACTCCAAGGTTACTAATCATAAATATGAGAGCTTCAGATAAATTTAGGTTCCCAAGCTTGCAGTTGGCCAGTTAACCCCTGAAACACCCTGCCAATAATATGTTCCATATGGACACAAGAGCCTTGGAATATGTATAATCATTTGATAATTCTTCCCTTAATCTTTGGGAACAATGGGAGGTTATTCTCAGAAGAAAGGATTTCAGGGGAAGGATTGGGTTCCCATCATGGGTAACAAGGCTGACAAATTTAGCCCCTTTGTGTTCTCCAAATTACTCCGTAGCCTTCCCACACTACCTCAACAAGGCTGCTTGGTAGGCTTAGGTACGGAAGGCAATTCTCAATTGAATACGATGTTCTATTTGAGAATAAAATAAAATATTATAGACTGAACAAGAACAGGAAAGCAACCGGCAAAAGAACAGACATATAAAAACAAAATAAAGAGCTCTAAAGGGAGATGTGGTGGTGATTAATAGAATATAACAACCTAAACCTTTATTTTTTTAACCCTGAAACTGATCTCTTGAGCATCATATACAATCCTTCACTGGTTGATGGGAAAAAACAGTGGAGATTTAAAAAAGAACAGAGATTCTTTAATAGGCATGGGGGATTTATTCTCCATGTCACTTAGCACTAGCAAACCATCACAGAATTAGAGGGAAAGGGTTCTGAAAAAGTCAGGTTGTGGTTTTCACGAGCAGCAGCAGCTCATCCCTTACAGGTCTCCCTGTCACTGAACAGGAAATACCTCACCTTCCCCACTGCTCGTGGGTACATTCAAGCGCATGCACCAGCATCTCCCTTTTACAGAATCCTGTTTTATAGGAACAACTGGCTGAGTTTAATGAACTGAGAGAACAATGGCAATGCTGGGGCATTCATCACAATGCCTTTCAGATACAATGGAGACCACCTAATTCAGGGCAAATAACTTTCCGTCCTTGTCACACACATACACAAAGAAGCCCAAATATACCTGATATTAAGGGTGATTACGACAGTGGCAATCTACCCAATGAGGAATGAAATATTAGAATATAAAACCCGTACATGTTTTTAAGGTGCTCACTAAAGGCAAAGAGAGACCAAGAGCCTCTGCTAGACCAAACACCCAGTTGGAAGGAGAACCACGCCTGGAGTCTAGGCATTCATACTGTCCTCTGCATTGCTCTTTCCACTCATAGGGAATATACAGAATCATGGGTAAGTGTTTCTGGAAGCATTAGTCTAAAATTTTCAGAGGAACCTGGAGGAAGTTAAATCATACAACTGGGGGGCGGTGCATTGAAAGATGTAAGCATCAACAGATGTATGCATTTGCTAAAGAGACCACTCAACTATTCAGTAGCGATCAGCTCCTAAGAGGCACAGACATTAGTAGGGGAGGGAGGAACACAACCCAATGGTTCCCTATAAATAACTCTTTAATTGGAATAGAAAGAGAAACAAATGGTAGAAAAAGCTTCTCTGCTTTAGGGGAAGGTCCTGAAGGGTTTGCTTTCTTTGAAAGCTTCACAGTAAGGAGCCTGACAGCATGACCAAGATTGTCCAGTTGAGGATCTTCCCAAAAGCTCAGAAAATAAAGAGAAAATGATGTAATTTCTGAAAGGAAATGAGACGAGTTCCTTCGAGGTTAGCAGAGGTTATCTGTTTCTTCTTGAATTATTTTTTAAAATATCCAAAATAAAAATGCACATCACAAAAGGATATAAATATTTTCTAAACCTTTCAAAAGTTGCTCAAGTTCATTCAGAATCAAAGAAATACATATTCGAGCACTGAAATATTGAAATGCATGTTTAATCACTGAAATACACTATTACTTTTTGGTATTAGATTGACAAATGTTTATTTTAAAAAATATATTGGTGTGTTGGCCAGGGTGTGGAGAAGCAAACACACTCATGAACCATTGATGGGACTGTAAGCGAGTACAACCCTGTTGGCAAGTAATCTGGCAATCGGTGATGTCTGTTCCCTCTGACTTGGCGATTCTACTTCGTACAAATTGTCCCATACTATATGGGCAAAAATGTGTACATATAAGACTGCCCACTCTAGCTTTGTTCATAATAGCAAGAGACTAGAAACAATCTAAAGGCCCATCAAGCAAAGACTGGTTAAATACGTTTTGGCACATTTATGCAATGAACTACCATATAGACATATGAAAGAACATGCTTTATCTATAATAGTGTGGAACAATATCCAAGTTATATATATTAAGTTGGGGGAAAAGCCAGGTACAAAAGGGAACACATAGTATGTTCCTACTTGTATTTAGAAAGGCAGGGAGATGCTAGGCATGGTGGCTTATGCCTGTAATCCCAGCATTTTGAGAGCCCAAGGCGGGAGGATTGCTTGAGGCCAAAAGTTCAAGAGGAGCCTGGGCAACATGGTGAAACCTGATTTCTACACAAAAATTAGCTGGGCTTGGTGGTGTGCACCTATAGTCTCAGCTACTGGGGAGGCTGAGGTGGGAAGATTACTTGAGCCCAGGAGGTCGAGGCTGCAGTCAGCTGTGATAGTGCCACTGCACTTTGGCCTGGGTGCCTGGGTGACAGAGCAAGACCCTGCCTCAAAACAAAACAGAAACAGAACACCCAAAAGAAACAGTTGTTGATGCTAACGTAGATAATAGATAAATGTTCTGCAGGGCTGCTCCAGCAACTGTTAATAGTAGTTGCCTCTGCAGAGAGGGCTCAGGAGTCTGTGTATCCTCTTATACTTTTT
This sequence comes from Homo sapiens, assembly GCF_000001405.40. Lineage (NCBI taxonomy): Eukaryota > Metazoa > Chordata > Mammalia > Primates > Hominidae > Homo > Homo sapiens. Next base: position 47,072,302 of record NC_000018.10, on the reverse strand, counting down.
TTTAAAAGGCTAGTTACTTTAAAAATATATAGTAAAAGAAAGGAAGAGGCTGGGCACGGTGGCTCATGCCTGTAATCCCAGCCCTTTGGGAGGCCAAGGTAGGCAGATCACAAGGTCAGGAGTTTGAGACCAGCCTGGCCAATATGGTGAAACCCTGTCTCTACTAAAAATACAAAAAGCCAGGCATGGTGGGGGGCACCTGTAGTCCCAGCTACTCAGGAAGCTGAGGCAGGAGAATCACTTGACAGAGGTTGCAGTTAGCCGAGAATGCACCACTGCACTCCAGCCTGGGTGACAGAGCAAGACTCTGTAAAAAAAAAAAAAAAAAAAAAAAAAAAAAAAAAAAAAAGAAGAAATTGGGAGAGGAATTGTTTCCTCACTCTTTTTTTTTTTTTTAATTAATTTTTTTTGCTCCCACTCCACTGGGACTTTTCTTCACTCTTAGAATCCTAACAAAATAATACTGAACCAGAGGAAAACTTTAAGTAAATACAATGCTCACACAGGATGGATAATTCTTGTTAATTGACTTTTCTGGCTATTCAACATTAAACCAGAAAATCCATGTAACTTCAATCTTTGTTAGGAATATTATAAACTTCCTGAGTTTCCTCTTCTGTCTAGGTAAGTCCTGTCTCAAGAGTATGTCACCTTCCTTCGTGTACCTAGCAGTGTCTTGTGCTCGTGGTTCCAAACACCACTTTTCATGACAGGAGATGAACCTAAACTAATTCTGGGTGGTATCTTTTAAGAGTTTTGTTGCTATTCAGCATATAGAAATGATATTTAAAAAAAAAAGACTTCAGGGTGATAAGAATTCTAGTGAGATGAATTTCAGCTACAGTCGTCTCTAGGCATATGGAAGAGATTGGTTCCAGAACCTCTCCCTGTTCCCCCTGACACTCTTCCCCGTACCAAAATCTGTGCATATTAAGTTGGGGGAAAAGCCAGGTACAAAAGGGAACATAGTATGTTTCTACTTGTATTTAGAAAGGCAGGGAGAAGCTAGGCATGGTGGCTCATGCCTGTAATCCCAGCATTTTGGGAGCCCGAGGCGGGAGGATTGCTTGAGCCCAAGAGTTCAAGAGGAGCCGGGGCAACATGGTGAAACCTGGTTTCTACAAAAAATACAAAAATTAGCTGGGCTTGGTGGTGTGCATCTATAGTCTCAGCTACTGGGGAGTCCCACAGTCGATCCTGGGAAACCCACATATACTCGGGTTTTGCATCCTGTGAATACTGTATTTTGTTGAAAAAAATTCCCCATATAAGTAGACCCGTGCAGTTGAAGGGCCAACTGTTGTTCAAGGGCCAACCGTAACTGAACCTCCAGCTAACTAAAATCACATGGAACCATAACTGTAGGTGCAGCTAAATTCAAGCCCCATCTTCGGAACTGGCACTGAGTTAGATGCAAGATGAAGAACAAAGAAATAGAAGATATCAATGTAGATTTCCACAAATTACCATCTTGAATGGGTAACAAGAATTTACATAAGCTTACATATTTACAACAACTTGAAAATGATATCAAGGTAATAGATAATAGGTTATTTTAGGAAAATCAATCCTTTAAACATATTCTATTATGACTTCCAAATAGGCCATCATATTTTGAAACAGTCATCTAAGGGAATGTAATTTAAGCATAATTTGTTAATCACTTTTCAGAAAATACGTAATATTTTATATTCACTTATATTGATTACATATCTGCCATTCTACAGAGCGTGATAGTTTAACAGGATTTCAAAGAAGGACCTGTCTTACACTGGGACCTAAACCATAAATGGAAGTGCTCTTAATGTCATTGGAAGATTCAGTACCATTTTATAATATAAAATATAACATCAACTATAAATGTGATATTGTAAAGATGGAAACAACCTCTGAAAGAAAGCAAAAAATCGCTTGGCGTGGTGGCCTGTAATCCTAGCACGTTGGAAGGCTGAGGCAGGCAGATCACCTGAGATCAGGAGTTCGAGACCATCCTGGCCAACATGATGAAACCCTTTTTTTTACTAAAAATACAAAAAAAATTAGCTGGGCGTGGTGGCAGGCACCTGTAATCCCAGCTATTCGGGAGGCTGAGGCAGGAGAATTGCTTGAACCCGGGAGGCAGAGGTTGCAGTGAGCCAAGATCGCACCATTGCACTCCAGCCTTGGGGACAAGAGCGAGACTTCGTCTAAAAAAAAAAAAAAAAAGAAAGCAAAAAATCTTACAGGCTATGGGCACTATGGAAGCAAAGGTGCTCAGAACATCTGAAAGAATAATGAAGTTTAAAGTTTCTTGATTCTTTCTTAGAGTATCTAGCATAGGGACTAACATACAGTAGTAGCCTCTCAATAAATGTTAACCAAATATAGTGTACATGTTAAATAATAAATACTTCTTGAATGAAGAAAAAATATGCCACGTCAGAGATTTTTTTCCCCCAGCTTTCATGCCTAAATTGCATGAATAAAAAAAGAGCTGTTGATCAAATTCCCAAAGGAAGGGAGATCATGTTTTGCTGATGGGGGCACAATTAACATCCACACGTAATAGACAATCCATTTCCCAAGCTGCTGGTAATCAAGATCCAGGAGTGGATCTTGAGATCTCACATAAAATCACCTAAAAGCAAAGAAGCTCTGACATCATTTTGTACCACTGTATTACACTAGAACTTATTTTTAAAAACAAAATTAAGAATTCCTACCCGAACGAGTTTTTCTGAATCCCCTCTCCATTTGCTGACAATGGTGGATGCAGAAATGTTAAAGAAGGTTGTTTTACATTCAGTGGCCACAGCTTTGGCCAGTAAAGTCTTTCCTGTACCTAAAGAGAAACACATAAAAGATGAGCAGGCATTTCAACTCCATCCCCCTGCTTATAGACAGAAGTCAGTCTCACACACAAGGAAGGAAGTGACTGCTCAGCTCTCGTGTGCCCCAGTCCTGAAGTGAGGACAGAAGGGGCAACTCATCCTCTGCACACACACTTAACACTGACATCAAAATAGGAAGCTGTGTTTACCTGGAGGGCCGTACAGCAGTAGTCCTTTCCAGGGAGAAAGAATTCCTGTAAATAGCTGTGGATACTAAGGAAACAAGGAACAAGGATGAGGTTTGGTACCAACACATCAGCCTGCATACTCTCAGCACAGACAAGCTGGGAAAGCTGAAGTCAAAGCAGCACAGCTCTAAGATTCAGGGCTCCCTTTTTTGCTTAAGGTTGTCTGCTTCTGACCGAAATAAACAGATCTTATTCATCCCAATTTTATTTTCACGCTTGATTAGAATGCCTGACAATTTTTGCAGCTTTTTAAAGGACCAATTTTTTTGGAAGGAAAGGTATATGTAGGTATTTCTTCCTCTCCGTTAAACAGTTATTTCTTACATGCATAACATCGTTTTCCCCAGACTTCTATACGGAGAGCATTTGGCAATCTTTTGAATGTTGTAAAGCAGGTATGAACTTTAAAATACATACTAGAACCAATTAGTAAAGGTTTATTCGAATAAAGTACAGAGCTACGGTGAAACTTGTTTTGGAAGTTGGGAATATTCAGGGGCAAACGCATTAAGAGACACCAACGCTGAACAGGACATGCGTAGCCTTCAGGAAGTCTCTCCTATTAGTTCAAATTCAAACAATCTCGGGAATGTGGGTGGCAAGGGTTGGTAGAGAATGGGGGAGAGGGTGTGGCAAGGAATATTAGTAAAATTACAACTAGCTATTAGTTTCATGCTAATCCTGATGTCAAATCTCCACACATATGGAGCTTGTAATGCCATGGGGACAACAAATCCAGGGAATTTCAGTGAGATGTTCTATCCTTTTTAAAAGTTTTATAGTTCCATTTAGAGGAAAAGGTGAGTAAATTTCTATTAATTCTGAACACTAGTGTATTTCTTACCCTTAAGTGTGAACACAGAAAGAAAGAGGGGGAAAAGAGAATCCAAATGTATTGATTTTTGTCTCCTTAGAGGAAAGCATCCAAAAATCAGGGGCCACATGGGCTCAGTGGTTTAAGACTAAATAGGTTATTCAATAAAATAAATTCATAATCCTAACAGCAGGAGATTACAGAAAATGGTCACAAATTATTTGTAGCTCCTTTCATCAAGAAATGGAGCCTATTTCTCCAACATTTGAATCTGGGCCTGGCCCTGTGACTTTGGCCAGTGGGACATTAGCAAATGTAAAAGACTTGAAAATATAAGACTAGCAAAAAAATATAAGAGGCATGAAAGATGCTTGTGAATTAGAACTTTCCCTTTCTTGCCTCTTTCTGGGAACCCACTGCCACCATGTGAGCAGGACTGGACTTTCCTGCTAGAGGATGGAGGCCACATGGAGAGACACCTTGGCCGTACTGCTTGTCCCAGCCTTTTCAGTCTCTCCATCTTTTCCAGCTACTCTGGCTGATGGCTCAGACCTGTGATTGAGCTCAGCCAAGAATACCACGTGGAAAAGAGATGAGCCAGCCCAGCTGAGCCCAGCTCCAACTGCCTACCCACGGAATTACAAACAAATAAATTGTTGTCTTAAGGCACTAAGTTGTGGGGTGGTCTGTTATACAACAAAAGCTAAGTTATCACTTATCTCCTCATTAACCCATTTGTAAATCAAACATGGAGAGTATTGTTTTTCTATTTTTCTACCCAGTTTGTAAACTGCACAGAGATTTGTCAGTAATAAGTAATGAGCACAACAGGCTGGCTTTGCTGGTCACTGCCCTGGAAGGGGCTGTCTAGTCTTCACAACCAGCCAGAAGCAAAGCCCCAGACGATCCTGGGGAGGGTAGGTCAGGGGGGCAGGGGTGTAAAGGAAGGATCTGTGGAAACAAAGTGAGAGATTCTCCCCTACCAGAGGTATTTCTACAACAATAAGAATATTTTTAAGGGAGCAGGCTAATTTGAATCAATCTGACAAATCATGTATACTATGGTCTTAGATTTTAAAGTTTCACTTAGCTCAGACACCTGTCTTGAACTAATATGTAATATGATTTTAAATGATCTAGAATGGACCAGGCTTTGGTGCTCCAGGGTTGAGAAAGTGCTGTGACACAAGCAAAGAGTTAACGTGTGGACAGAAAATCATCCTGCCCTTCCCTTCCTGATAGTTGTGTGACATACAGCTTGTCCAATGGATAGTGAACAGAAATAACCCCCAAGAGGCTTCCCGTCCTTACCCTTATAGGATACACAACAGCTTCTTTGACTAACTGCTTGGCTGCATCAAGTCCAATAATGTCATTCCACTTTATGTTTGGATTATGGAGATAAATGTCCTGCAATGCACATTTGATCATTTTTTTAAAACTGATGTTTTCCTCTACAGCTGTAATAAACTTGGGAGCAGCAGAATACTTGACTTACAATAGGATATAAAGTGCTGGTGATAAAAACTGTTCATATTATATATATATATATATATATATATATATATATATATATATATATAAACACATATATACATTGTAATTTTGGGTTAGTTCACCAAAGGTATGCCATGAAAATATTCAATGATTTTCCCTGAAGAAGACATTGATAACACATTGTGGTATTTTTCAGAGAGAAAAAAAAATCTCCTAACAACAGACTCTACCTGTTTTCAGTCAATAGCAAACCATGCTGATTTATAACCATAATTAAAGAAGCTACAGAATATGCCTTCAACTTACATTAGGTTTTACTGTGAAACATAGTTCCTAGCCAGTGCCTGGCCTTGCTCTTGCTCCTTGATCTCACAAACACTTTCTTAATTTGTTGCATAAAGGAGATAATGCTCCTCTGAAACCAATTTCTCTTTTTTCGCTAGCGATCATTCCCTACTTCCAGCAGGAGCAATTGCTTCTACAGAATTCAAGGAAGCTGACAACCGAGCGAAAGTGCAGTTTTTCTCCTCTTATAGAAGAGCCCTGTAGCAACCATCTAGGATAATCAATTAAGGTAGCTTTTACTGATAACTAATTTACAGTTTCCAAACTTCAATTTCACCAGACGCCTCAGAGCAGTCACTAAGGGGCCTTTCTCAGTAGGAGTTGTTTCAGGCAAACTGAATATCTAGAGTGTTTCCTCAAAAAAGCCTGAAAAGCCTTCTTTCCAAAGTCATTCTGAGTGACTACAGAAAAAATCTGAAACTAATTATTATATTTATATAATTTTTAATAAGTAATATATGCACATGGACCAAAAATATAAATACATTTTTTAAATGCTGGTGAGATGTTTGTGCTACTCCTGCTCCCCACCCATCCAGTTCCCTCCACCATAGGAGGTTCATTTTTATTTTTTTAAAATTTTTTTTAAATTTTTTAAATTTTTATTTATTTTTAATTTTTCTTCAAACTGGGTCTCGCTCTGTAGCCCAGGCTGGAGGGCAGTGGCATGATCACCACTCACTGCAGCCTCAACCTCCCGGGCTCAAGCAATCCTCCCACCTCAGCCTCCCAAGGAGGCACACACCATGCCCAGCTATTTTTTTTCATTTTTTGTAGACACGGAGTCTCACTATGTTGCCCAGTCTCAAACTCCTGGACACAAGTGATCCTTCTGCCTCGGCCTCCCAAAGTGCTGAGATTACAGGTGTGAGCCACTGCACCCAGCCAACTTTCACTTTTATTAGAGAAAGTTCTTGTTTGTTTGTTTGTTTGTTTTTTCTGAGATGGAGTCTCACTCTGTCACCCAGGCTACAGTGCAGCAACCTCCGCCTCCCAGGTTCAAGTGATTCTCATGCCTCAGCCTCCCAGGTAGCTAGGACTACCAGCACATGCCACCATGCCTAGCTAATGGGGTCTCTAGAAATGGTCTCTGGGCATATGGAAGAGATTGGTTCCAGAACCTCTCCCTGTTCCCCCCCCGACACTCTCCCCCATACCAAAATCTGTGCATACTCAAGTCCCACAGTCGATCTTGGGAAACCCACATATACCAGCTAATGCTCTCTAGAAATGGGGTCTCATTATGTTGCCCAGGCTGGTCTCCAACTCCTGGCTAATGTTTTGTATTTTCAGTAGAGATAGGTTTTTGCCATGTTGGCCAGGCTGGTCTCAAACCCCTGGCCTCAAGTGATCTACCCATCTCAGTCTCCCAAAGTGCTAGGATTGTAGGTGTGAGCCACTGCATCTGGTCTAGAGAAAGTATTTATAAAAGTACTTTGGTCATGCATGATATTTACAATCCATTCTTGGATTGAAGGGTAGAGAAAGGACTCAGTCTTCCTTATTCTGTCTATAGAGCCTGGATCTACATGCAGGCCCACCAGCCACTCACATTCTTATTACCGTCCTTTCTTAGTGAAATCTCGGCACACAAGGAAGATTCATTTACCTAGGTATTAAAAGCATCCATAGATAACAGCAGTATTTCTTGACCTCTTCTAGAGTTGAGTTCCACAAGGTAATGTTTAATTTCCCAACTGACAGTTTCTCCTTGTATCAATCCAAAGTTAACAGTCAGAACTCAACAGGACTACCTCATGAGGTGGTGAGCTCTCCGTCACTGTAAGCATTCAAGCAGGAGCAGGGTTTCTACCTCCTATGCTACTATAGAAAGGATTCCAGATGGAATCATCTCAGGCCATTTCCACTCTATAGTTCTATCCTCATAGTCATGTTACCCTTTTGCAAAAATGGTAATGAGACTATTAATTTGGGGTTACTGCAGCCTGGCTCAGTCCCTCATCCCCTCTCACTGGTAAAAACCTTATAGATGGTCTCCCCATCTCCTTTTCTTTGCTATTCATTCATCTCACTGTCATAGAACAAGCCATCCACAAGCACATGGGATGATCCCATCCTCCGACGGGCGCCTTTCTAAGGTCCCCTCTTCTATAGGTGTGTTCTCAGCCCTGGGTACTGCTCACAGCACCCTTCCTCAGGAACCCTGCCTCTCTCCACCCGTTCCCCACCACTCCCTGCTTCTTAGGTGGCCCACAGGACATGTGCACAAACTGCAATTTCTCATGGAAGTGCCTATGCCCAGAACAGCTCCTAGCCTCCCTCTTCCACTTTTTCCCTTAGCGATTTCCTGTCTTCTTTCCTAACACTTTCCCCACCCCTCCCTCCTTCATGCTCTTAAAGTGCACTTTGTCCCTGGGATGAGAAACTCTTGAGGGCAAGGACTATGCTCTGACTCGTTCACATTTGTGTCTCCAGCCCACAGCACACACCTGACACACAAGAGGCATACAGGAAACAACTGCTGAGCTGAACAGAGACAGCTCAGGAGCCCTTAGCTTCTCAGAGGAGCTGTGAATTTTGGGGATCATTTTAAACCCCCCTCTGAGCCTGCCTAGGTTTCAGTCTTCAATTAAATATGAAGCAATAGAAATTAGAAAAATACCCTATAACTCAGGAATCTATTTTATTTCCCAGGAACTTGCCCAAAGTCACACAGCTAGCAAGAGAAGGATCTAGAAATCAAAGGCAGGTCAGCTAATTCCAAAGCCTGTTCTTCACTGCCTTCTGGTTCCACAGTGCAAGCTGGAAAAGTCCGTAGTCTGGATGGTAGTCTTTCCTGCTAATTGTGTTTTTCATGGAGATTTTCAATGATGATATCATCAGACTCCCGACGTCTCTATTTCTAGGCTCTGACTTTTTAAACCAGATGCAGACATACTCTTTTCTTCTTTAAGAGGCTTTCTTTCCTTGACTCTTGGCTCTGCTATAAAACCTTTCACCTGTCCCTTCATTCCTAAGTCTTTTTCTCTCTTGGTTTTCTTGGCCTCTATCATGAGATGGTGGGGTTTGTATATTGTAATTTTATGACTCTATAATTTATTTATCATGCATTATTGTGCCTCTAAACAATATGAGTGCCTGCGCAAGTGGGGGCACTTTATAAATAAATGATCATATTTATTGTTATTAATAAAAGAAGCAGCCCACAAAGCTCCAGAAGCCCCAGCCTGCCTCCATAAATTTGTGAATTGAATATCAGATCTTACCCGGCTCACCACGGCTGCCAATTCTCGCATCTCACTGTTCATGCCAATAAATGCACTCAGAGGTTTCAGCAGTCGTTCCTGATGAGAGGAGCGGAAAGGCTCACATTACAATATTGCTTCATAATTTAGGAAGAAACCCCGGGCATGCACAGGTCTTGGTGAAACAAACGATGGCAGGTGGCTATGGCCTTTAACTTGATCTCAAGGTTTCACTGTACTCAAAATTATATTTCCAGAGTTCATCTGGATGTTGGCAATTTGAAAGATGAATGTCACATCTTCGCCACTTACTGAGGGGTCTGGATTATGGTCGAAGGTGTTCAAGGCAAGTTCACTGGTTGCTCCCTTGATGGCATCTGTGAGCAGCCCTTGGAAGTCAATGATTTGGCCCTGAAAGGGAGGAATGGTTATTTATGCCATGAGAACATAAGAGAAGACTCTTCTTAATAACTCAGTTTCATTAAACCAAGACACATTTATAGACCCTGGTATATAGGGCAAACTTCAAGTTAAGCTTTAAAAAGAACCAGCACTAGTATTAAACGTGATGATTTCCTCAAGTTGGAGCACCTTAAAAAATTGTAAGTACATTTTCCAGAATGAAGTGGATTTGAATAAAAATTCATGAGTATTTCTCAGTTCCTGACACAGACCATCTGCTTCCTCCCTTATATGTTGACTTCCCCTGTATGGTCTTATCCTCTTAAAATATTACACATGCAGAAAGAACTCATTGGCACAATGGTAATGAGAGTTCCTGTCTATGGATTGTGATACACGTTCACCACTCAATAGAGTGCTGGGTACAAAATAAGTGTGAAAGGTTCTTTGTGAGAACTATTTCTTTTTTGTTATTTTTGTATATAATTTGTATAAATTTATTGGGTATAAGTGTAATTAATTTAATTTCCACCAACAATGTATGAGTTCCCTTTTCTCCATATCCTGTGAGGATTATTTCTAATCCTTTTTTTTTTTTCCTTTAAGAGACAGGCAGGATCTCACTCTGTTATGCAGTGGCGTAATCATAGCTCACCGCAGCCTTAAACTTCTGGGCTCAAGGGATCCTCCCACTTCAGCCTCCCAAAGAGCTGGGACTACATATGTGCGCCACTACTTTTGGCTAATTAAAAAAATTTTTTTTGCAGAAGTGGGGTCTCTTTATGTTGCCCAGGCTGGTCTCCCAACTCCTGAGCTCGAGTTATACTCCCACCTTAGCCTCCCAAAGGGCTGGGATTACAGGTGCGAACCAGCATACCCAGCCTACTTCTAATTCTTATAACACTTCTGTTAGTCAGGAGTGACATCCTGGCTTCATAGATGTGGGAGTAAGTCCAGAGAGGTTAAGTAATTTGCCCAGGGCCACACAGCTAATAAATGGCTTAAGGCCAGGATTTAAACCCACTTAATCTCTCTCCCAACCCATGATCCTTCCAATATCACCCTGTCCCCCCTAGAGGTAGGAAGGAAAAAGCAAGGATGCACCAAAAAAAAAAATAATAATAATAGTTAACATTTATGGAGTGTTTACTATGTGCTAGCACTGCACCAAGGCTCTCCTTTCATCATGAGACTTAAAGGGGACGCTATGATTATTTCCACTTTACAGATGAGAGAAATGAGGCTTGGAGAAATTATAAAACAACTTAACCAACTTGCCCAAAGTTACATAGTGGGGGAGCATCTGAGCCAGGTTTTGAATCTAGACAGGCTGACTCTGAAGCCTATGCCCTCAAGAACAACATACCTACTAAATTTGCAGGGAGGGTGTCCTAAAGCTTGGATTCTGATGTAGTAAGGATGTGTGCCCCCTCCAAATCTCATATTGAAATGTGATCCCCAGTGTTGGAGGTGGGCCTGGTGGGAGGTGTTTGGGTCATTGGGGAGGAACTCTCATGAAAGGCTTGGTGCTCTCACCACTGTAATGAGTGAGTTCTCACTCTATTAGTTCACGAGGGACCTGGTTGTTTATAAGAGCAGGTCATCTCCCTCCCTTCTTGTTCCCTCTCTTGCCATGTGACATGCCAGGTCCCCTTGCCTTCCGCCATGAGTAAAAGCTTCCTGAGGCCTCACCAGAAGCTGAGCAGATCCCAGTGCCATATAGAACTATGAGTCAAATAAATCTCTTTTCTTTATAAACTACTCAGCCTCAGGTATTCCTTTATAGCAATGCAAAACAGACAAACACAGGTACTAACATAGAAATGACAGACCTGGGGTTTTCTGAGATTGGCCCCAGGCCATATACCCTCATACAACCTATGGACATATGAAATGCTAGGGAGAAAGCCATCTACATTGTGCCTTTGAGGACATTTCTGCTGGTAAGAGGATTTATAGTCAGACTATTTCAAAGGTTAAGTGCTGGGTTAAATGGTCCCTTCCTTGTGACCCAATCAAAAACATCCATTCATTTCAATGTGAGGCATTCACAAGAGAAACTTATGCCACAAAAAAGCTAGGCAAAGGTGACTGAAAACACAATAGAAGCAGTGAAGGTGAACAAGGAGACATTTTTCCAAGGGAGGTGTTGATTCCCATGGCATCATCTTCAGCAATTACCATGTAAGTGAGGCCCTTAAAGGGAGTCAGTTCAGGCCAGTGAGGTCACTGCTCTTGATTTTCAGGGATATGCTCCAGTCACCCCTCCAAATTCACACACACAGAGTTCAGTTTTTCTAAGAGCTGGCCAGAACTAAGTCAGCACTCCAGAGGTTTGAGCACTTGGCTGAAGAAAGAAGAAGCTTAAAGAACTACAACCTTGGAGAGTATGACCAAGAGCAATATGGTGCAATTCATTTCCAAATTACATGTTTTAATCTACCTTTTGACTACATCCACCCAATCTGGGTCTTTTCTGCTTAAGACATTATTATTTAGAAATCTAGACATGAGATTCATTATGAAAAAGGTAAAAATATCTATCAAGGACAAAATCAACCCTGTATCAACTGATGTTTCATGGTCCACATGAAATTACATTTAGACCAGGAGCCATCCCTCCAAGGAGAAAGGTGACACCACTAATCAAATGCCACTGACAGGACAGAGCAGAATGAGTATGCGTTTCCAACTCACTAAATAACGCAGATGTCCTAGCGCTTTGGGAAGCCCAGACAGGAGGATTGCTTGAGGCTAGAAGTTTGAAACCAGCCTGGGCAACATAGTGAGACCCCATCTCTAGAAAAATGAAAAAAATTAGCTGGATGTTGTGGTGCATGCCTGTAGTCCTAGCTACTTGGGAAGCTGAGGCAAGAGGATTCTTTGAGCCCAGGAGTTTGAGGCTGCAGTGAGCCATGATTGCACCATTATACTCCAGCCTGGGTGACAGAGCAAGACCCTGTCTCTTAAAAAAAAAAAAAAATGATGAGAACGATGCAGGATGATCATGCCAATGTTTGTCATTGTTATTACAGAATTTTTAAGCTGATGGGAACACTAGAGACAATCTCTTCCAAGCCCCTCAATTTACAAATGTGGAAACTGAGTTCCTTAGAGATGGGGCAGTTCATGCCAGCCCATTCATTCAGAAAGGAGATTCCAAAGAAGAACCCATTTTCTGACGCTCTTCTCCATTTACCTCACAGCCAACCTTCAAAAATCACATCTTAACTTTCCTGTTTGACAAAAATAATGTTTTTTGTTTTCATGTTTAAAAGGAAAAAGAAATTACCACTTTCAGTGTTAGGTTCATGAGTTTCACTTACTCTTCGTGGGTGGGCATTTTCCTCTCCACTGTCTTTACGGATTCTTGATATATGTAGGCCGAAGTTGGCACTTTCCAGGCGAGTGTTATCAACTACCTCCTGAAGAAAGAGAGACAAGGACACATCGGCTGTGAGCAGCCATGGAGAGTTGCTGGATGTACCTGCCTACTCCATCAAGCAAAGTCCGATGCTGGATAGCAATTCTGTGAACGCGACATGCACATGTAGCTTAGCCACATTTGTGCAGACCCAGGAAGATGAAGTAGCTGTCTGCCTGCACTATGTGGAAAGAGTTGTCCCTGGAAGACTGAGAAGATGCCAGGCCCCATGGGCCCCAAGCAGCTTTTCCAATGTGCTTCAAACAGTTGTGCCTCAACCCATCCCCATTCGCTGGCTCGTCTTTTCTCCTGTGATCAGGGGTGTTTTTGGCCAGGAGTGGCTGAGTTTGGAGATATGGCAGAGTCAACTAGCCTCCCATGGGACTCATCCTGCCCCACCTTCACCTCTCTTCCACATGAGTCAGGCTGCAGCGGCCAGAACCGTAGGACCTCCTTGAGGGGGAGAGAATCCTTTTGACCAATCGGATATTGTGATTATACCTTTCCGTTATTTGACATTAATTTTTTTAATTCCTTTTCTCAGTTTCCATTGGTCCTCTTTCCTTTGAAACCTGGGATGTTTAGTCCTAACTAAGAAGGTTCTGGACATGAGCCTCCTGAGTCAGGAGCCATTGACTTCTCTCACCTGCTGGATTCTCTCCTTGCTGCCCTTCTTGGCCCCCAGGAAGTCCAGCATGAAGGTCTGGGGTGAGGGCTGACCATGTGCGATTTGGAGGAGCCCAACAGGAGACCTTGAGACCCAGCCATACCTGAAATGTAGTGTAGGCTATGCCTGGCCTACACTTAGGAACCTAGCAATGTGCTCTGGGATGGGAAGACCTGCCATCTTGGTTAGCTCAGTTACCTCAGGTAATAGTTACCTCAGATGGGAGGATCAAGGCAACCAGGCCTTCCCGCTCTGACTGGGCCCTGGCCCCACCCTGGCCAATCACCCAGCACCCAGACCAGGGGAAAAACTTGGAGGAGAAAAAAGTCCTCCCACTCAAGTTAAGAAACATTAGGAAATCTAGGGATATGTCCATGGTTTTAGTCCAGTGTACTGGAAGAAAACCTAAAATTCAATTAGATCACACAGCAATTTTAAAAGCGTAGGTCCTCAAAAAATAAATAAATGTGACCTTTTTCATAGGGCTATTTTTCAGCCAAGTGTGCTGTTCACAAAGTCAAGCCAAGCCATCCTGACCTGATTAGGATGCTCCTTATTGAGCGATTTGGTGTCCCCTGTCTTCCCCGCTGTGGTTTTGGACCGGGGCCTCTGCTGATTGATCTTGGGAAGATTTTGACAACTGTCGTTCATCATCCTAAGGGAGGGAACAAAGACCTTGGAAGAAATTATTCTAGCCACTTAATTTGAGGTAGTTAAACAACTATTCTTAAGAATAGCACATTTAAGAAAGCTATTGAAAGATATGCAGGTGGCAACTATAGGGCCCTTCCACCTATGTGATCCACCCACCAGGTCCATCCTGGCCCTAACACCCTCCAGGCTACTCACTGGGTTCTTCTAAGATTGCCTCCTCGAGCCCCCCAACTCACCCTCTTCATTTCCCTTTCACACCACATAGCTTCGGCCCTTCTGCAAATAGCTTTAGTTCTTAAGAATACATTACTTTACAAGCATTCTTCCATTGTTCCTTCCACCTTCCTTAAAAGGAGCATTAGACCAGGAGAAAGGTGTGAGAGAGAAAGGAGTCCTCCCATTCAAACTAAGAAACAGTAGGAAATCCAGGGATTGGCCCCATGGTTTTAATCCAGTGTCCTGGATATACCCTGCCTACTTAAAATACCTCTCAGCATGTTATGAGTAATAAACATCAAAAGGGGATTGCAGAAGGAAAACAAACTTCCCTTCATCAATGTTGTCCCAGACCAATCATATTTGCCAAACAAATTTTCATCAACAATTGTTTACTTCAGACAAAACAAACTGATGGGGCTGGAAGTCAGAAGAGTAGCTAACTCTGATGGAGATGGGGAGAATTTGACTGAGAAGGGGCAAAGGTAGCTTGCCGGTGGCTGTAACTGTGGTTACAAGAGTATATACATTTACTGTATACATAGTTATATATGTGGTATGACTGTATATATGTTATATATCCATAGAAAGATCAAATCACTTTTTTCACTACATCCTCATAATTAGATATAAAATTCAGTATTGGAATATCCATATTTTTCTGTAGAAGATGCCATCCAGAGAGAGACAGGACTAGCTTGTGGGGGCAGAACATGAACTCCCACATTGTTGCTTAGTTCTCTTAGCACTTTTGTCCCCATATGTGAGATGCATTTGCAGAAGGTTCGTTAGAAGCAAGTCTCCCCATGTTCAGAGTGATCTCAGAGAGCTGCTATTTCAACTTCCTTTCTTTATGGGGATAATAAATGTTCATGTCTAATATAAATGCACAACTATTTGGCCAGCAAGACCACACATGTCGATAACACCACCAATGTCCACATGGTGACACATCTGTGAGTGTTGGTCTCACTGGGGAGAGCGTCATGAGAAGTGGACACTAACAGTTCTTGGGGTTTTTTTTTTCTATCTTTAAACTAGGAATAAGAATGTCTTTCTCTACCCTTTTGCTGGCACAAAAATAAAATATCTATGAAATGAAAACCAAGCATTTTACAAATGCAAACTTATATTAATAGTGTTGACTCAAGAGAAGTTATATATGTGTGTGTGGAAGTGTGTGTGTGTGTTTATGTGTTTGTGTGTGTGTGTGTCTGTATTTAAACTTGCCTCACCATCCTTGTGGAGCTGGCAGGAAACAGGGATTCTATATTCCCACTTTGATTTCCCATTGGATGCAACTGATCCCCAAGATCTGCTTTAACAAGACCAAAATACAAGAGCACTAATGTACAAAGCAATGCAATTTATTTTAAATTGGTTCTGAGGATGGTAAAATTCTTCTGAACATGGAACCAAATTCACTCTGCTTTGACTTTAACCATTAGTCCTAGGTGCACCCTGTGGAATTTGGCAGAAAAGGCCCAATCGCCCTTTAGAGGGTGAACTGAAGCCTGTTCCTGCAATGTTCTAAGGAGTGCCCCTCCACCAGCCATCTGTTCAAGCTCAACATCTGCAGTTGCTCTAGTCATTTCTAAAGTTACCTGGTTCCCAGATTGTTCCTCATACTGGTCACCTTCCAGAATAGTGTGACCTCCTATTTTTTGGACACTGTATTTCTATTGATGGGGCTGGGACCACAGTAGCACTCATGTCACACTGTTGGCCCAGGTAAACTGAGATTTCCAGGTCTCTGATTTTGTAATGGAGGAGCTATTTGTTGTAACTCTTGTTAGAGCTTAAACCTTATTTTATTAAATTTCGTCTTGTTACTTTGAACCCATCTCTGGAATTGCCAAGATCTTTTGGGATCCCATTTCTGTCATCCATCACATTAGATAACCTTTCCTCCCTTGGTTCATCAGCAAATCTTTAAGTGGGGATTATAAATCTTTTCCAAGATTAGGAAAAGACACTTTGATTTGCTAATAGCCAGTCTCATGACATGTCTCATTTTAGTAACTATATTTGAGTATAAATTGTCCGCAGAAACACCATTCATTACTTTCCTAGTTATTCCTCCTGATTCTAACCATTTGCTATTCAACTTTTACACTTGCCACATACAAACATCTACTCAGAGAGGAGCTGAGGAGCCCCCACACTGTCAAATGTGCCACGGTGCTCCTTGCCTAAGGGGAACAAAGCACTCTGACACCATTCACTCACAGAGCATTTGCCAGGGAAGAATGCTGAGAAGGTTCCAGAAAAATAGAATCCAAAAGCCTTCCGAAGCTGGCTGCAAACGCTCCTCATGATTTCTATGCACAAGCAGTTATCATTTATTACCCAGAGTCTGACTAACTTTGTGGAAACTATAAATAAAAGAATAACACTTTTGTCAAAGCGATAAAACTCTTCCTGCAGAATAGCACAAAGCAAAGGTAGCCCGAGGCCAAGTATTATAACAAGTAGGATCGTGGAGCGTGCGTGGGCTCCACAGCCATTTTTGCAAGCTGTGCCCACCAGCCCTGTAAAGTGTCCTAGGCCCTTCCTTCTGAGGCTGGAACAAGGGAACTGGAGTCGCAGGGGTGGGAAATGTAGCGGAGGCATAACAGAATCCATACCTCTTGAGGGCCTAATAAGTTGCATGTGATTACAATCTAACTTTTCTTTTTCCAAGAGCATTTTAAGACTTTAAACACTTTGTTGACTGCTTGGATGGCTGTGTCTTTCCATGAGGTTTAGGCCCTACTGTAATAGCAACAGCCCACAGGTTGCGATGCCCCAGAGCTGGCCCTCACTGGCAGCCGGCAGCAGCACCCTTGTTCCCCTGGGTATTTCTGAACAGCTCTGACAGTGGAGGGGTCTATGGGAGTGGGGCGAGAGGAATGCGAAGGACACTGGCAAGAGTAGGGGGCCTTGTGAGAGAATATGTGCACCCAAAAAGGTCCAGAGACAGAGGGGCTCCCATCAGAGGCTACAAGCCCCAAATGAGATTTGGACTTGAGAAGCTGGAGAAAGGAATGCAAGATGAGCTGTGAACAGGAGGGAAAAGCAAGAGAAGAATGGGTCCCCACTGGTCAGGACTGGCGAAGCCAGAAGCCTGAGCTCACACCTCCTGGCTCATTGTTGATCTTCAGACAGGTCAGGACATCTGATCTGGGAGTGCTTGAAATTAACTAAATGATGAAAAGAGGGAAAATATTATATCTTGGGTGCTCACTGTGTGCCAGGAACTCACTATGTGTCCAAAACTTGCTCCATGCTTGTAAATAGCAGAGCCAGGAGTTGAACCTGGGTCTTTTAACCTTTGAGGTTAAGACTTTTCATACCACATGGCCTGGAAAGACAGAGCATCACAGGATATACTTATTTACAGTAAAACCAGGAGAGTAGACGGACATTGGCCCAAATCTGGGGCAGCTGTAATGAGAGAAGTCCTGGGCTGGGCCAGGTCACATGACTGCAGTCAGTATTGCTGGGAGACAGTCACAGAGCTGTGATGGTAAAGCTTCTGGAAAGGGATTCCACAAGCTCCTCGAGCCGAGTCGATTAAGAAGAATTACCATTCACTTTACCTTCTGGTCTTCCCTCTACTTCTTTGCGGTAAATTATTTTCTGCTGTGACAAAACAGACATTGGGAGGGAAAGAAAATAATTTTAAGAGTGACAAAGTGATTTTTTTCAGGTATGTTTCCCCTTTTTGCATTGTTCTTAAAATTTGAGTTTTAACCAATTGGAATCTAGAGACTTTAAGCTATTCTCATCTAGAGAGAACTGAAATTACCAGCGAAGAGAAAGAGGCCTGAGCTTCTCCAGCATCTCCTCACAGAGGAAGATTGCAAAGGGCTCAGATATTAAACATGTCAGAGACTGTGGACCTGGTGGCAACTCCAATATAGGCTAGCTTTACAGCTACCATTTCATTACGCTTTCATGAACTTGACACCATTTTGCTGCATTACATGGGACACCAGGATGATTGCACGAATCTGGCAGGGAACACTGAAGTCATACTCTGCTAGTTAAAATAAAAATAACGTGTCCAATATCATAGGAGAATTTGGGTATCATGCTAGATGGGAACTAGCCATCTGGAAGTGAGATCATGTCACTAACAGTGCTGATCACCCTGTGTTTAGGAGTCTGGGCTGTCTCTTCAAGGCCCACATCTAACCACCTGCCAAGGAAGTCAAGCTCTGAATGCTGCATTGGAAGGGAGCTCAGATAAAATACCTCTTTGACCTTTTCTAGCTCTGAGATCTGGCCCTGGCTATTTTAAATTGATGTTCCTCTTGGTTTCCCGGTCCCTACATGAAATGTTAAAGTCTGTGGCTTAACAAGTGGCTTGTAAACAGGACAATGATCTCCCTTGGTTTATAATTACTTCCCCCACTTACAGACTTCTCAGTCAATGTTACTACAAAGCACAGGGCCCCCACTTTAGATCTTTCCTCCAGCCAGCCTTGTTGACTGCTAACCTATACTGGGTTTTTATATTATATTGATCATTATCTGGATTGATGGCTTTCAAAAGCTTTTCATTATCTATACATGAGCTATTAGCTTCCCCAATACTCATTTTTGTAGTTATTTTCAAGACAGATAATAGGTCTCCTAAAAACAAAAAAAGTCTTCTGTCATTTATCCTCTTCCAACAGTTCTTTTCATCTCTAAGGAAATTAAAGTAATGCTAATCATCTGAAAAGTACCTATGATACACTGGGGTTTTGCTTTCATTGCCTGAAAACACATTTTCTCAAACAAATGCCAAAGTGCCTAAAGGGATATCAGTGTCCAGGTAATCATATTTCAGTTGTCTGTGCTGGATATGAGAATGGCTACACAATCCTCCTGGCCTACTCCTTTGGTGCAGGGTGAGGGTCTCCATCTATCTGGGAATAAGATGAGAAAGAAACACTAATCTTACAGATGAGACAAAGCCTTATCTCTAGAAAATAGGCATGTACCTGTGTCTGATGACTTTTTGACAATTTTGGGGTATTTCTGAAATTTTACAAAATAATAACTCTCATATTCCATCAAAATAGTTTCAAGATCAATGTTGTCACAAACTTCAAACCGTCGTAACCCCAGTTTAGTTTCTTGCTCCAAAGCATTTGCTGTATCGATATACCTGGCAGTTTCACAGAATAAAAAGAAGAAATTAACTGAGGTGAAAAGAATAATGGCTAACAGGCATTACAAGTCTAAAGGGATGCAATACAAAAAGTAAGCCTATATATAGCACATTAGATGAAAACTAGTATGTGCATAGGAGGTTTGCCTATAAAGAGCCCCATATTTGTTAAGTATATTTAACTATTATCTTTCAAAGCAGTTGCCTTTGAAAGTTACATACTTATTCTGGTGATGTCACCGTTGTTAAGGATGTTTTTGGAAGTGCTTAAAAGTCAAATAAGTAAATCAACCAAGAAACATCTTGTGATTTGTCTTTACTCATTTGCAGCCTAAAATGGGTATCTGCCCAAACTTGGTTACCTCTTTATTCACAGGTATTCATTTTAGGTAACATTTGGCAAAATGATAAAACCCAAATTCAACCCAAATTTGCCATCATTGAAGTAATTCACATTAACAAGTCTCGAGCACTGAAGGAAATTCCAAAGATCTACCAATCAAGATCATCAAAGAACTTTCATATAAGATAACATCCACTTGGAATGTATTATTTGTTTCTGGTAATTTTTTAATCAGTCACACATTGCACTTCAGAGTGTTTCTGTATAAAAGTAGTACCTTGATCTTTGTTCCTTACTGTCATTTTTAACTTGTTCAGTTGTAAAACTGTCCAATATAAGTGGCCTTAGCACTGGAAGCAAGGGCTGTGTCTCAAAATCCTCTGAAAGAAGAAAGACTCTCCAGGTCTTAAATTTTAGTTCTTAACTTCTTTTAAAACCAACAATTTTCTCCTGAAAAGTGTGCACATGTGCAAATTAGCATACAATTTCAGGAGCTCATCCAAGGACCCCAGATTCAGATTTCTGCTGCAGGTTAGAGTTCTTTCTGTTTCATTTGAATCTAGATCCAGGAAAGTAGAAAGAGAAAACTTTCTTTTTTAGTAGCCCTCCTCTTCTCTCTCTTTCTTTCTTTCTTTCAGACAAGGTCTCCTTATGATGCCCAGGCTGCTTTCAAACTCCTGGCCTCAAGCAATTGATTCCCTTCTTGGCCTCCAAAGTGTTGGGATTACAGGTGTGAGCCACTATGCCTAGCCTGAACTTTCTTAAAAGAAGATGCCATGATTATTTTCAATGACCTTGAAATGTATGTATCTCTCCTAAGCTAATTTTAAAGAAGCTGCAAACCACAGTCAGTTGACTCTAGCCAATCACCTTCTATACTTTTTCATGTCTCACCATGCTTCTATACTATGTCTTAATCCTCATTTTACAGAGAGAAAAACTAAATCAGTTTTTTATTAATAACTTTAGTATGGAGTAATACATATTCACTTAAGAAAAAACTAGAAAATACTGGTAAATCAAAAGAAAATTCTGCCCCTCAGAGAAAATGACTAACATTTCCTCTGTTTTTACAAACTTTTTTTAACCTTTTTTTTTTTTCTTTTTAGAGACAGGGCCTTGTTCTGTCACCTAAGCTGGAGTGGCACAATCTTGGCTCACTGCAGCCTGGAACTCCTGGGCTCAAACAATCCTCCCACCTCAGCCTTTCAAGTAGCTTGGACTACAGGCGTGCACCACCACGCCCAGCTATTTATTTTATTTTATTTTTTGTAGAGATGCGGTCTTGCTGTGCTGCCCAGGCTGGTCCCGAACGTCTGGTCTCAAGTGAGCTGAGCTTGAATGAGGTTTGAATTCGATGTGGTTGGCAGGAGGAGCCGCTAGAGATTCTTAACCAACAGAGCGACAGGACGGGACTTTAGGAGTAGTGTGCAATACTGGGCCATAATAACAAGACACAAGAGAGAGACGCAGAGGCTACTAAAATTACCCAAGCCCGAGAAGATGGATATGGAGGACTATTAATAGAAGAACCAGCATCCATGACCCTCCATTGTCTGCTGTCACCAATTCTCACTCACACATTCAAACTCTGGTCTTCTTGTTTACTTAATTGTTCCACTTAGGCTGTGCCCCTTCTTCCTCTGTGCCTCTGCCAGGAATGGCCTTACATCACATCGGTCTATTCATATTCTATACATCTTTTAAGTCCAGCTCACGTCACCCTCTCTACAAAGCTTTCCCTGATTGTTTATTTTAATCCACAGTAATCTATCCTCTGCTGAATTTGTAGAACTTCGTTAAGGCAGATCTCTTTTATTGACACTCATATGTCCTTAAAAATACCTATAGTTCATTTTCGTTTTGACAGTCCACTCATTTGTCCCTTTCCCAGCAGGTTTCGGAAAATGATCAGTTCTAGTAGAACTTTCATTGATTCACGATACAAAGAGCCATCTCGTGGCAGAAAGGAAAAATGCATGCTTTGTAAGCAGCAAACTACTTGGCCTTAACAACTACATCTGACTTTTATTTTTATCTTTTTGTTTTTACAGTTCTTCTTTCTGATACAATTTCTGGAACAAAAAATACATTGTAATAAAAAATCAGGGATAATTTGTGAAAATGGCATTGTCTTCGTTTCTAATTATTCTACCCATCTACATTCTAGTAAGTTCCTCAATGGCTATGCAAATAACATTTACTGAGATTCTGTTACTATGTTCACAGTGCTGGGACCTGGCATGGTGAGTTTAAGTTTTATAAGAGTCAACTTATCTAGGAAGACAGCATTCTCAAAGTTATCTGTGGAAAACTCGTCTCTAAAGATGGTCTGAGAAAAAAAAAAGAGTTCCTTAGGCCAGGCATGGTGGTTCATGCCAGTAATCTCAGCACTCTGGAAGCCAAGGTGGGTGGATCGCTTGAGCCCAGGAGTCCCAGACCAGCCTGGGCAACAGATAAATCTCATCTCTACCAAAAAACAAAACAAAACAACGAAACAAAAAGTAGCCATGGCGGCACGCACCTGCAGTTGAGCTAATTGGGAGGCTGAGGTGGGAGGATTGCATGAGACCACAAGTTCAAGGCCAGCTATGTCTACATAGCGAGATTCCATCTTTACCAAAAATAAATGAATAAGGAAATAAATAAATAAACAAACAGTGTCGTGGCATACACCTGTAGTTTCAGCTACACAGGAGGTTGAAGTGAGAGGATCACTTGAACCCAGGAATTTGAGGCTGCAGTGAGCCATGATTGGGCAACTGCACTCCAGCCTGGATGATAGGTGAGACCCTGTCTCCAAAACAACAACCACAATAACAAAACCCTGGAAAAGCTTTGGCCAAATTGATTTGCAAAACCTTGAATACTGTGACTTTAGTATGATATTCTCATTGCACATAGTAAATCAGATGGTCTGAGAAGTCCTGAAATGAGGGACCTAGTTTAATTTAACCCAATATCTGCCAAGCTTACCTGACCACAAAACTCTTTAACACCTATTAATATTCTGTATAACTACTGCTCCAAGTGCTGCACACACTCAGAAAAGCACCTTGAGGTATTTTAACTCAGGGTTCTTTGGATAGAGCTGAGATTCCATCAAAAGATGATGTAAAATGGGCCAAGCCCACATTCCAGTTTCTTTAAGTCCTTTGCTGAACCAAGTTGGGTATTAAGAGAATAAAACCCAAATCCTATCAATAATAGAAGTATAAGTGTAATTGTCAGGCATGATTCTAAGCATGTTACATATTTAATCCTCGTAATAATGGCATCTACCTGATACTTAGCTATACCCCATTACTCCATTCTACAGACAAGGGAACTGAAGCATAAAGAGAATAAGTAACTTGTCCAAGATCACAGATTAGCAAAGGGAAGAGCAGACATTTGAAAGAAAATAGTCTGGGCTGGGCGCGGTGGCTCACGCCTGTAATCCCAGCACTTTGGGAGGCCGAGGCGGGTGGATCACGAGGGCAGGAGATCGAGACCACGGTGAAACCCCGTCTCTACTAAAAATACAAAACAATTAGCCGGGCTTGGTGGCGGGTGCCTGTAGTCCCAGCTACTCGGGAGGCTGAGGCAGGAGAATGGCCTGAACCCAGGAGGCGGAGCTTGCAGTGAGCCGAGATCGCGCCATTGCACTCCAGGCTGGGCGAGAGAGTGAGACTCCGTCTCAAAAAAAAAAAAAAAAAAAAAAAAGAGTCTGGCTTCTAAGTTTATACGCATATCCTGGAAGCCGTCCCTATGACAACAAGCCCCACAGCCCTGTCATAGATTGAACACTTAGCACTTTCTCATATGCTACCCTTGGGGTTACTTTACTTAAGTGCCTGGTGAATAGAGCAGAGCAGCCCACTACCCACATGCAGACTGTCTGGCTTGTCAATTTCAGGAATGCTCTTATAGCCCAGATGGAGAAACAGAGGCACAGAAAGACCAAAGTCAGCCCTGCCCTGCTCCGGGGCTCAATTCCACCCCACTGCTATGTGGAGATACAGAGTTTGAGCCTAAGCTGAGAAGTGACTGATGGCCTGCCTGTCTGCTAACCATGGGACGGGGGCACTCATTTCCTTCTAGGGGGCAATAGGTTTATTGAAAGCAGTGGTTGCTGGCATGGGTAAGAGAAACAATGGGAACTCTCAGTTCGTTGTCAACTGCCTCCTGCCCTCCTCACCTTTTTCCTTTGTACCTCTCCAGGACGAGGGTCACTGGAGTCTCAAAACCGACTTTTAGTTCCAGTAGCTCCCTTATTTAATGGAGGAAAAGATGCTTATCAGACTTTTTGGGAAAATATCAAAAATTGATTGGTTTTTCTTGCTCTAACTCCAGATTTCTCCATCTTGGCACTGTTGACATTCAAAGTCAGATAATTATTTGTTATGGGGGCTGTCCTGTGCGTCAGATGGCATTTGGCAGTATCCTTGGCCTATACCCACTAGATGCCAGTGTGACAGCCAAAAAGACCTCTAAGCAGTGCCAAATATCTCCCAAGGAACAAAATCATCCTAATTGAGAACCACTGCTCTAACTCAAAAGTTTTAAAGCCCTAATCTCAGTGACTGGGAGGTTGAGGCAGGAGGATCACTTGAAGCTAGTAGTTCAAGACCAGCCTGAGCAACAGCAAGATCCTGTCTCTAAAAACAATTTAAATATTAGCTGGACATGGTGGCATGTGCCTGTAGTCCCAGCTACTCAGGAGGCTGAGGTGAGAGGATCCCTTGAGCCCAGGAGTTAGAGGTTGCAGTGAACTATGATCATGCAGCCCTGGCAACAGAGTGAGACCCCCATCTGTTACAAAAAAAAAAAAGTTTGTAAGCTCTTAGTCTGAAACCTACATGTTTTCTTCCTGGCTGAAATTTGAAAAGAAAAGCGAATATAAAGTAGATAGTGCCCTTCAAACACTTTGTGGAGCAGCTCTCTTACTCTTATATCATCCAGCACAGTAGCAGCAGCCCTTACTGTAATTGCTTGTGTGTTTTTAATGAGGTAGGTGGCCAAACCCAAAAGTTTTTAAATTTCCTCACCCTGCCAGTTATAGAATGGGCATTGCGAGGAAGAAGAGAGTTGGGTTTAGGTTGTCCAAGTAAATGCAATACGTTTATTTTGAGGAAAGAAAAACTGATTAAGAAAGTTATCTTGTGCACATAGCCAGCAGTGAGACTATAGAAAAACCTCATTTCTGTGCTATCTTCAAATGTGTAGAGGAAAGGAAAAGTACTTTATGTACTGGATAGGTCTGTTGAAAAGTTTTCAACATCTAATGTGAAAAATATCTAGGTAAATGAGGCAATAAAAGCATAAGTCTGAAGCCAGGTGCAGTGGCTCACACCTGTAATGCCAGAACTTTGGGAGGCTGAGGTGGGCTGATCATTTGAGCTCAGGAATTTGAGACCAGCATGGAAAACATGGTGAGACCCTGTCTGTACAAAAAATACAAAAATTAGCCAGGCATGATGGTACACACCAGCAGTCTCAGCTACTGGGGAGGCTGGGAGCAGGGGGATGTGGTTAGAGGTCGCAGTGAGCCATGATTACACTCCAGCCTTGACAAGAGAATGAGACACTGTCTCAAAAGAAAAAAAAAGTGTATGTCTGGGTTGTTGGGGCAGGAGGAGGAATCGGTGGTGCACAGGGGATTTTTAGGGCAGCGAAATGATTTTGTATGGTACCATATTGGCAAATACATGGCCATTACGCATTTGTCAAAACTCACAGCACAATATAACACAAAGAGTATACCCTAATGTAAACTATGGACTTCAGTTAATAATGTATTGGCTCATCAACGGTAGTAATAAACCACATCAATACAGATGTCACTGGGAGAGGAAACTGGAAAAGGGAAGGGGCATACAGAACTCTGTACTTTCTGCTCGATTTTTCTGTAAATATAGAATTGCTCTAAACAAGAAAGTCTATTGTATTTAAAAGTACGCATCTGGAAAAGTAGAGAGCAGAGAAAGAGGAATCATCTCTATAAATGTTTGTACTGTAACATACCCTTCTTGTGTTAAATAATGCGAAATCAAAATGAGAAGATTTTTTCGTCGTGCTTCTGTCCTCATCTCGCACTGGAACAGAGGAAAATTTAGGTAGGATGACAACAAAAAATAACACTGCTCCTACGGCAATAAACCCTGGAAGGTAAATGTAACCTGTCAAAGCCAAGCAGCATGACTTAAAGGCTGGAAAGCAATTTGAAGTCTCTAAGGACATATAAAGTTGTTTTCCATTGTTATTTTCTTCTCACAGCTGCCTTCTCAATTGTAAACTTAAGGGACAATGATTTTAATTAGGATTGCTCTTTACCACTTGGACTTCTTCCTGCCGAGCCAATCGGCCTTTTATTGCTTATAATCGTGAAGAAACAAATGTACATCTACTACTATTGGGACCAGGTTAAGGAAACTGATTAGAAAAAGATAATCAGCTGTGAGCCAGAAATCATCTGTGACAACACAGGCACTTACCTGCTACCATATCTGTAGTTCACTCAGAGCCCCGCCCAGTCCTTGCCAAATGCAGAGATGAGTTCCCACAAACCATTCAGGGGTGACTGCACAGGCAAGGATTTAGAATAGCCACTGAGAATAGCAGAGGCCATAAAAGGACAACTCCTGTATGATAAGGTCTTTGCTCAAACTGGATGAATCCGTGCACTTATTCACAGTGTTAATGTGCTACATTTAGGAAACTGGTATCTCAAATTGCCCCAAAATGTATTCACAAAATAGTCATGTTCAGTAATACTTCCCTTATTTGAAAATAACTTATCTATCTTTATCTAAGTAGAATACAGGTAAGAACTAGACAAAAGCCATAAAAGGTCTTTGTGTGGCCTAAATTACATCACAAAATCTATGCACAAACACTTATATTCATGATACATAGAAACACTTTTCAATG
The DNA here is from genome assembly GCF_000001405.40 of Homo sapiens. Lineage (NCBI taxonomy): Eukaryota > Metazoa > Chordata > Mammalia > Primates > Hominidae > Homo > Homo sapiens. The sequence goes on along the minus strand of NC_000018.10, from coordinate 47,045,621 downwards.
GCTGGGTGCGGTGGCTCATACCTGTAATCCCAGCAATCTGGGAGACCAAGGCGGATGGATCACTTGAGGTCAGGAGTTTGAGACCAGCCTGGCCAACATGGGAAAACCCCATCTCTACAAAAACTACAAAAATTAGCCAGTGGTGGCAGGCACCTGTAATCCCAGCTACTCGAGAGGCTGAGGCATGAGAACCACTTGAACCTGGAAGGCAGAGGTTGCAGTGAGCCAAGATCTTGCCACTGCACTCCAAGCTGGGTGACAGAGTAAGACTCTGTCTCAAAAAAAAAAAAAAGAAAAGAAAAGAAAAGAAAAACAAACAAACCAAAAACCAAAAAACATTTTTCAGGCATTCATGCAGAGTTTTCTAAAAATTAATGTTATAATGAAATTAAAATATGCATATAAATATTTGAAAATCAAATAATACTAAATTTTTTTCTAAGTTGCTTTTTTATTGTGGTAAAATATATGTAATATAAAATTTACCATTTTAACCATTTTTTTTCTTTTTTAATTTTTTTTTGAGACAGGGTCTCACCCTGTGGCCCAGGCTGGAGTACAGTGGTATGGTCAGGGCTCATGGCAGCCCTGCCCTCCCTAGGCTCAGGTGATCCTTCTGCTTCAGTCTCCTCAGTAGCTGGGACTACAGGTGCACACTACCACCTAGATAAAACTAATCTGGCTGATTTCTATATTTTTTGTAGAGATGAGAGTCTCACAATGTTGGCTAAGTTGTTCTCAAATTCCTGGCCTCAAGCAATCTTCTTACTTTGTCCTTTCAAAGTGCTGGGATTACAGGCGTGAGCCACCACACCGGACCCATTTTAAACTGTTTTTGTTTTTGTTTTTGTTTTTTTTTTGAGAAGGAATCTTGCTCTTGTTGCCCAGGTTGGAATGCAGTGGCATGATCTCCGATCACTGCAAACTCTGCCTCCCGGGTTCAAGCAATTCTCCTGCCTCAGCCTCCTGAGTAGCTGGGATTACAGAAGCCCGCTACCACACCCGGCTAATTTCTGTACTTTATTAGTAGAAACAGGGTTTTGCCATGTTCGCCAGGCTGGTCTCGAACTCCTGACTTCAGATGATCCGCCTGCTTCGGCCTCCCAAAGTGCTGGGATTACAGGCGTGAGCCACCGCACCTGGCCATCATTTTAACCATTTTTAAGTGTACAGTTCAGTGTCATTAAATACATTCACATTGTTGTACAACCATCACCACCATCCATCTCCAGAAAATTTTCATCTTCCCGAATTGAAACTTCGTTTCCATTAAAGAGTAACTCCACATCTCCCCTGCCCCCAGCCCCTGGCAACCACCTCTCTACTTTTTTGTCTGTGGCCCAGGATAGCTTTGAATGTGGCCCAACACAAATTTGTAAATTTTCTTAAAACATGAGATTTTTTTTTGCTTTTTTTTTCTCATCAGCTATCATTAGTGTTAGTGTATTTTATGTGTGGCCCAAGGGAATTCTTCTTCCACTGTGGCCCAGGGAACACAAAAGTTTGGACACCCTTGCCCTAGAGGAAACAACCTTAATTATTTTAGCTGTTTCTTCTGATATGTACTTCCATGTTTCTAAATAATATATCATTGTTTCATGATATGTGTGTTAGGCATTAACTATTCACTTCCTTTAAGACAGATGAGAACTAAGCTGTCTTATACCCTTTTCAAACTATCCTTCCCTACAGTTGGATCAATATTTGCTGATTACATTATTAGGACCATATAAAAGTTGTTCACTGTGGAGCCAAAAATACCATGGTTACTTTTCCATTTCTGTACATTTTTTTTTTTTTTGAAATGAATAACCACCCCATTTTTATTAGGTTACTTTTCAACATACGTATTGTTAATAATCAAAACACTAACACATCTCATATCACTTCCCATGCCATCAAATACATAAGATTTTGTGTCCTTTCTACTCACTCACCTCTTGCTTCCCTCTTGGAGCCTCTATCCTCCCGTTCTACTCTAGAGACTGACTCTAAGACCTGCAATAGATGCTTTTTCTGGGATTTCCCTTTGACATTTTCTTGCATTGGATCCCCTAGAAACTGAATCTTTCTCTTCTGGTCCCTCTCTTGTTTTAATAGCACACTTTCCGCCATGCTTCCAGTACAGCCTGTGGAATCATGAGTCAATTAAACCTCTTTTCTTCGTAAATTACCAAAGCAACAACATCAACAAAAAATAGCACACATTCTCTTGAGTAAAGGTGTATGGGAGATAAATGTTGAGAATTCGTATGCCTGAAAGTGTCTTTATTCTACTTTAAGCTTGATAGCTTGAAAAGGTATAACATTACCATTCCTATTCCTGATCCTTTGCATGTAATGTAATTTTTCTTCCCAGGAAGCTTTTAGGATCTCTTTTTTTTTTTTTTTTTTTGAAACGGAGTCTCGCTCTGTCGCCGGGGCTGGAGTGTAGTGGCGCAATCTCTGCTCACTGCAAGCTCCGCCTCCCGCGTTCACGCCATTCACCTGCCTCAGCCTCCCGAGTAGCTGGGACTACAGACGCCCGCCACCACGCTCGGCTAATTTTTTGTATTTTTAGTAGAGACGGGGTTTCACCGTATTAGCCAGGATGGTCTCGATCTCCTGGCCTCGTGATCCGCCCGCCTTGGCCTCCCAAACTGCTGGGATTACAGGCGTGAGCCACCGCGCCCAGCCTACGATCTCATTTTTAACCCTAGGGTTCTAAAATTACACAATTTCTTTGGTGTAGGTCATTTTCCATTCACTGCCTAGCCATTGTCAAGCTAGAAATTCTCATGTTCTCATTTTTGGAAAACTTCTTTATTATTTCTTTGGTAAATTATTTCACTATTTTTTCTCTGGTTTATTTTTATGAATACCTATTAATTGGATAGGGGATATCCTGAACTGATTTTTAAAGACTTTTTTTCCCACAGTGTTCCATTCCTTTGTCTCTTTTGTTCTATATTCTGAGCAATTTCCTTGGCCTTATTTTTTAGCAGAATTTATTTAGATAATAACATTTTTAATTTCCAGGAGCTTCTTCTTATTCTCTGATTCTTTCTTTTTTCATAGCATCTTATTCTTGTTTTTTAGAGTATTATCTTATGATTTAAAGTCATAATGAAGAGGTTCAGTTATGCTCAATATTTGCAATGTAAGTAGGCAGGTAAAACAGTAACCTATTTTATAAACATATCCATCCAAAAGAATTCAAATAGAAAGTTTTATTGCTTAAGATGATAAGCCTTTATTCAGAGTGCTAGAAAACACAACAAATAAGGCAACCTGTGTTTCAAAATGTTTGTGAAGGGAGCATAGTAAGTACTACTTGTTTGATCGATTTTGCTCTCTGCCATTCAAAAGCTAGTTGTTGCTTTGAATTTAGTCTAAAATAAATAAAAGTCAGGGCTCTCAGAAGTTCAAAAGAAAAAGAGATTTAAAAATATAATCCTCGAACCTATAAAATAGATGACATAAAAAGTAGTGATTCAGAATGAGAGAAATAGTTGCAAAGGACGTATCTGATAAAGGACTGGTATCCAAAATATACAAACACAGACAAACCCTCCTAAATTCAACACTAAAAAAAAAATCCACTTAAAAATGGGCAAAACACATGAACTGACACTTCACAAAAGAAGATATACAGATGGTAACCAAGCATATGAAAAGACAACATCACATCATCAAGGAATGGAAAGTTAAAACAACAGTGAAGTACCACTGCACACTTACTGGGATGGTGAAAATCCAAAATAGCAAATGCTGGCGAGGATGTAGAGCAACAGAAACTCACTGATTGCTGGTGGGATGCAAAACAGTACAAACACTTTGAAAGGCACTTTGGCAGGTTTTTTTAAAGTAAAGACTAACCATACTCTTACTCAGCAATTACTCTGACCCAACAATTGCAACCCTTGGTATTTACCCAAATGAATTGAAAACTTATGTTCACAGAGAAACTGGCACAGGGATGTTTATAGCAGCTTTATTCATAATTGCCAAAACTTAGAAACAACCAAGATGTCGTTCAGTAGGTGAATGGATAAATAAATTGTGGTATACTCAGACAATGGAATATTATTCAGAGCTAAAAGAAATGAGCTATCAAGCCATGAAAGAACATGAAGGAAATTTAGATGCATATCACTAAGTGGAAGAAGCCAATTGAAAAGCCTATATACTGTATGATTCCAAATAGATAACATTCTGGAAAAGGCAAAACTATAGAGACAGTAAAAGGATAAGTGATTGCCAGGGGTTGCGGGGAGGAAGGGATGAATAGGTAGAGTACAAGATTTCTAGGGCAGCGAAACCATTCTATATGATAGATTATAGTAACCGATAGGCATCATTATACATTTGTCCAAAACCACAGAATGTACAACAGCAAGCATGAACCCTCATGTAAAATGGACTTTGGTTGATAATCATGCCAGTGTAGGTTCATCGATTTAACAACATACCACTGTATTTTGGGATGTTGACAGTGGGGGAAGGTGAGCATGCAGAGAGGTACGTGGGAATTCTCTATACTTTGTTCAATTTGGCTGTGAATCTAAAACTGCGCTAAAAAATAAATTCTATTTTTTAAAAAGCAGTGACTAATTTGTCAGGCCTACTGCTTTTAAATGGATGTTTATGGTTTCAAATTAGTTCCTTGGCAGATCATGTTCTTATTCCATTGCTCAAAAAACTTCTGAAACTCTTATTATAAAATTGTATTCAATATAGATTAATGACCACAGTCTTCCCCCAAGCTGCATTTACAAAAATAATCGTGGTAGAAAACTGGTACAATGCATAAAACCATGAGAAAAAAACACATTTTGGTCACATTCTTTTTTAAAATTTAATTTTATTTGTTTAGAGACAGGGATCTCACCATGTTACCAGGCTGGCCTTGAACACCCGGGCTGAAGTGATCCTCCCACCTCAGCCTCCCAAGTAGCTGGGACTACAAGTGTGCACCATTCCACCCAGCCTATACTTTTTAAGTCTTCTTACAAAGTAGTACTCTCATGTAAGCTGATAACTTATTTTTAGAAATAATATTTTATAAATATTTTTCCAAGGCATTAAATGTTTTTATACTTGATTTTTAACATATGCAGAGAATGCATATGTTATTTGCTGAAAAGCCCAAATAGTTGAAAGCAGAATCTTGGCTTCTAGGCCAATGCTCTTCCTTTCATCAACTCCTCCTCATCATTCTCTCACCAATTTATATTCACTCCAGACCAGAGATAATCTTCTACTTTATATCATTTCATAAAATCCATACCCTGCACAACCACTATTTTAATTTACCAAAACCTGTGGGCCAAACTTGCCAGAAACAAACAACTGTGGTTACCAGCCGGTCTTTCCTAGTTGACCTAACAGAGTAATAAATGAATGATGTCTTTTACAATTTCTCAAACCTAATTTCCCACAATATTAGTGACCATTCCAAAGCTGTTACTGGCTAGACCTCCTTCAAAAGGTTAGTCACCCTGCTGTACCAGGAGTAGTATGTCTTATAAGAGATTATGTCTTTTAATTGCTGAATAGTTGCAGACCTGCTGTAAATAAAGCTAATCCATTTCATATGCATGTAAAAGTCTTTGAGAAAGCAAAGATGGGAATTGGCTTAAAGAGACATGAAAGTGATCTACATTTTTCTAAAGACTATATTGGACACTGACTGGTCCCATTTCTAACAATGTCCATATCCCTCCATATTAGAGGTTCTAACACAGTGTCCTGTACATCACATGAAATAAAGCCTGGAAAGTGCTTTGAAAACTGTGGGGGTGCTATGCCAATATTAGGGATAGTAATTGGTGGGTGCCCAATAGCTGTTAGTTGCTTCGTACATGCATTTCAGAGTCTCTCTATCCTTCACTAGAAGCATTTGCTTCTTCCTAATTGAAACATGTACTTGTGCAAATGTTCTCTAGGACTAGGTCACTGAGAAAAAGTAGCTAGTGTTCTGTGTGCTCCTCAGTACTGGATCCACTGCACTGGGTTTGGCTGAATTTCTTAAAGATGAGGAGGGTCAATTACACTATATTATAGAAATACTCCATGTGTGCACAGACATGCATATACCCAGAGGAAGACCCTCATTAGTGGGATGAAAAACTCATTAGGGAAAACTCATTAGATTTATTAGAGGAACAGAAAAAAAAAGATCCTGGAAGAAACATTTAAAAGCAGGGAGGAGAGGACTGGGGAGGATGGGAGAACTGCAGGAGGCAGTGGGTGGAGGGGATGGCAGGTAAAGGGTACAGAATTTCTCTTTGGGCTAATGAAAAGGTTCTAAAATTGATCAAGGCAATGGAAGTATATCTCTGTGAATATCTTGAAAGCCATGGAATTGTACATTTTAAATGGTGAGTTGTAAGGTATATGAATAAAGATATTTTAAAATGCAAAATGTGGGAGAGGGGCAGAGAAAAGAAGGCTTAAATAAATGTAAATAATTTAAGTAAAATTGTGGCTTGATATATAAAATAAATAGTCTAACTGAAAATATAAATCATTATATGCAATATTTTGAAGCTATTCAAGATGGAAATGATGGGGGTAAAAGAACTGGTTATCACACACAGCACCATGAGGGCCTGCTTTTTCAGCCCCCAGACAGAGCCTGTTTCTGCTTTGGAGTGTAGCAATGACACTTTATTACTACCCAGCCTTGCTCTATCAGTGTGACTACAGGAGTAGACTTACTGAACAGAAGAGTAATACAGGCATTTCTGTGTTCAGAATCTTCACATATTCATTTACAGCAGACATTTCTCTTTGCAGTTTTTCTTGTGGGTTTTATAATAATTTGCAATATATATACAAGTTGAAGAAACCACCTTAACTATTGTCTATACTTCTTCAGTTTTTTGGTACAAAAATAAGCTTCTTTCAATAAGACTCTCAAATTTTTTAAAGTGCAGCTATTTTTTACATTTTTACATCCAGATTTGGTAAGGTATTGAAAGAATATTGTATTTCAGATACAATTGGTGGGAATGTAAGTTGGTACAACCCTTTTGCAGAGCAAATTGACAAAATCTATCAAAGAGAAAAATGCGCATACCTGTCGACCCAGCAATATCACTCAGCAATTTATACTCTAGAGGATCAATTACACTATATTATAGAAATACTCCATGTGTGCACATACATGCACATACACAGAGGCAGAAAAATACAGTTTATTTTCTACTACCCACAGGTAGGATAGTGAGTTTCATAGCAACCCTAATAAAAGCAAGTTGGAACATTTGTCAGAATTATTTCCTTCAAACTCCTTTTTAGAATCCCTGGAGAGTCATTTAAACAGTGAACCACTGACCTAATTAACACAGTTAATCAGGATAAATAAGAAAGCAAAAGCTCTAATTCTTGAGACAGAGGTCTAATTCTTAATCCTAAACAAATCTGAGCAATGTTGATCATACTTTTGAAAGAATAGCCTAAAAGACAGGCTTACTCAGGGTTTTCATTACATTTCTGCAAAATGGCAGGTACTTCAACTCCAATCAAAAGAATTTCCACTTTTTTTTTATTAGAATCACAGTTTGCAAAAGAGTCGATGTCTATAATGGGGATTGGCTGAGTCCTTTAGAACTCTGTCTGGTAATGAGGCTGCATCAAAAATGGCTTTTCATGGTCGGGCACTGTGGCTCACTCCTGTAATCCCAGCAATTTGGGAGGCCAAGGTGGGAGGATCACTTGAGCCCAGGAGTTTGAGAGCAGCCTGGGCAACATAGGGAGACTCCCATCTCTAATAAAAAAAAAAAAATGGCTTTCCTACTATGTGGACTGTGAAGCAGCTTTTACTTGTGGTGACCAGGTCTTAAAATAATAATGTGATTTTTATTTTGTGGTAAGAGTGATAAAAATTCAGAATTCAGTAAGAGTAAAGCAGGAAAAGAGAGTTTTAAAAACACTATTCCAAATGTAGTGTTAAATATTTAAGATGAGCTTCTGTTACTGAAAACACAGAATGCAGTCTTACAAATTTCTTAATTAAAGGTATAAAGTTGGCCAGATCTACATCTTTCTGCCCAGGCCATTCAAATTAACCTAGAAAATTATCTTCTGAATTAAAAAAAACTAAGAATGAGCCATTCCCCGCAAAAAGGATCCATTTAAACTGTAAGAGATGGTGTGCCCCTGAAATGGACACAATTACATGCTCATTAATTTCTGTGTACAAAGAAAGGAGGCCCAGAAGTGAACATCTAATCTAGGTGTCTCATTTGCATGTTTCAATAATCTGGCTGTTTTTGTTTTCTTTCATTTCCTTTGTGGGCTATTGTGCCACAAATATACCTCCATTATCAAATTCAAAATTGAATCCTATGATACCATAGCCTGAGGAAAAGGAAGCATTGAATATCATTCCCAGTTTTAGACCCAGAAGATATTTAGGAAATGTTACTGTATATACACCACATGCAACATTAGTGCTTTTAATTTCCTTTTTACGGGTGCAATGGAGATTAATTTGCATGAGCTCGTTTCAATTTCAGTAATAAGATCCAAATTTTGCATTAAGCTTTCAATCTCAAAAACAAACAGTTAAAAAGCATACATCACTTCTTTCAAATGTCTTTACTATACTTCTGTTTTACAGTCCCTGCATCTAATATTCCCCTAAAAGGTTGAATATATATACCTGTAGGTTCTAATTTGTTTCTTGTTTGTTTCCTGACTATCTCCTGGCTCTGCCAGGAAACTTCCTAACTTTCAAATGCTGTACAACCCAAAAAAATGCTAGAAATATCAAAAGAAGTGTCTACAGATCCAGAAAAGACATTTATTGAATTTAATACAATGTCAGAATTGGTCAACTATGCTCAGAAACATAGGACCAAGTGTTCCCTAATTTGAGAGGGTAAATAAGTAACAACAGAAATAAGAGAAAAAACCATAGATATTTCAAATGATCCTGTTTTAATAATTGTCACTGAAAATTAAAGTCCGATCCAGATACCAAATCTGTTTCAACAATAATAGCTAGAGACAAGAGTAAAAATTTCTTTAAAGTTTTAAAACAGGTGGAAGAAGATCCAGAAATATTTATTCCAAGATTTGTAAGCGGGGATAAAACATGGCTACACTGGATAGTCCTGAAGAAAGAGCACAAAACAAAGGCTACCAAAAGGTGGCAGCACTCCAGTCAAAGACAGAGAGGACCAGTCAAGAGAAGAGGTCATGGCAACAGTTTTGGGGAATGCTCAAAAGATATGACTAAAAGACTTTTTGAAGGGCCAAACCAAGATCAAATATGCTTACTAACAGAGTTTTTGAGAAAACTAGCCAAAGCATGAGCAGAAAAACCATTACCAGAGAGTTCTACCTAATCATGAAAAAGTTCTTGCTGTAGCATTTCACTGAACAAAGGGCAGTTTGGCAAGAGTTTCAAAAGGAGATCATGAGGCGTCCACCTTGCAGTCATGATGTGGAACCTGCTGACTTCTATTTATTTCCTCGTATTAAAAATTCTGCAAACGGCACCCAGTTTTCTTCAGTTAATAATGGAAAAAAGATTTCTTGGAAATAGTTAAATTCCCAGAAACATCAGGGCTTGAGGGACAAGGCGGGGTCAAGACAGTGCTCGAACTACTGTCTCGAAATTGATGGAGCAGATGTTAAGAAATAAAATCTACCGGTTTTATTTTTGTCTTTTAATCCCTGTTTTGACAAATTTGGGAAGTCCCCTCACACAACATCAGTCCTAGGCAAAGAGTTGTTATCCTGTATTGGTTCTTCTTTCTATGATTTTGTCTTGCTGTGTTATTTTCTGTTTTACTCCCAAGAAGATTCAGTCTGTGTTTTTTGGAATTCACAGATGTGGAACCTGCGAACATGGAAGGTCAACGGTAAAACTCAGTGGGGTGTGTCGAGGCTGAAATTAACCTAATCAACCTCTGGGGCACAGCAGTCCACCTGGCGTGGACCGTCCCGATTGTCTGCATTGTGCTGACGGCATGAGTACGTATGGGGGCGGGGCAGCCCAAGAGCTAAGAGGGTCAGGGCTAGAGCCGTGAGTGTCAGCCTGGGATGGGCTACATAAGGCCCAGCTCTGGCACCAGAGCTTCATTCTTTGTTGCACAGCAAACTGCAGAGGTCACTCCAGGCTGTGGCTCCACATCCCGAGGAACAAAAGCGGGCCTGCTCAGCTGTCTGCAAGGACGGCCGTTCCAGACCAAGTGGCCTGCTGCTCCGAGGACCCAGCTCGCTCCAGGCTGTGACTCCACATCCCGAGGTCGCTGCCTGGCGACCGGGCAGCGAGGACCGGCCACCCCAGACTTCCTGTCCCGCAGCCCCAAAGACAGAGCTGCGACCGCCGGGACAGCGACGCCTGCACAGCTCTGGTGAGATGGCGGCAGGGTCCACTACGCTGCACGCAGTGGAGAAGCTGCAGGTGCGTCTGGCCACTAAGACGGAGCCGAAAAAGCTAGAGAAATATTTGCAGAAACTCTCCGCCTTGCCCATGACGGCAGACATCCTGGCGGAGACTGGAATCAGAAAGACGGTGAAGCGCCTGCGGAAGCACCAGCACGTGGGCGACTTTGCCAGAGACTTAGCGGCCCGGTGGAAGAAGCTGGTGCTCGTGGACCGAAACACCCGGCCTGGCCCACAGGACCCTGAGGAGAGCGCTTCCCGACAGCGCTTCGGGGAGGCTCTTCAGGACCAGGAAAAGGCCTGGGGCTTCCCAGAAAACGCGACGGCCCCCAGGAGCCCATCTCACAGCCCTGAGCACAGACGGACAGCACGCAGAACACCTCCGGGGCAACAGAGACCTCACCCGAGGTCTCACAGTCGCGAGCCCAGAGCTGAGAGAAAGTGCCCCAGAATAGCCCCAGCTGATTCCGGCCGCTATCGGGCCTCTCCAACGCGCACAGCTCCCCTCCGGATGCCCGAGGGCCCTGAGCCCGCTGCGCCCGGGAAGCAACCCGGAAGAGGCCACACTCACGCGGCTCAGGGCGGGCCTCTGCTGTGTCCAGGCTGCCAGGGCCAACCCCAGGGGAAAGCCGTTGTGAGCCACAGCAAGGGGCACAAATCGTCTCGCCAGGAAAAACGCCCCTTGTGTGCCCAGGGAGATTGGCACTCCCCTACTTTGATCAGGGAGAAATCATGCGGGGCCTGCTTAAGAGAGGAAACCCCAAGGATGCCCTCCTGGGCAAGTGCCAGGGACAGGCAGCCTTCGGACTTCAAGACAGACAAGGAAGGGGGGCAAGCTGGCAGCGGCCAGCGTGTCCCTGCCTTGGAGGAGGCTCCAGACAGTCACCAGAAGAGGCCTCAGCACAGTCACTCGAACAAGAAGAGGCCCAGTCTAGACGGCCGGGACCCAGGAAATGGGACACACGGCCTGTCGCCCGAGGAGAAAGAGCAGCTTTCCAACGACCGAGAGACTCAAGAGGGGAAGCCACCGACTGCTCATTTGGACAGAACGTCCGTGAGCTCCCTCTCTGAGGTGGAGGAGGTAGATATGGCTGAGGAATTCGAGCAGCCCACTCTGTCATGTGAAAAATACCTCACCTACGATCAGTTGCGGAAGCAAAAGAAAAAGACTGGAAAATCTGCCACCACTGCACTTGGAGATAAACAAAGGAAAGCAAACGAATCCAAGGGCACTCGTGAGTCCTGGGATTCGGCTAAGAAATTGCCTCCTGTCCAGGAAAGCCAGTCAGAGAGGCTGCAGGCGGCCGGCGCTGATTCCGCCGGGCCGAAAACGGTGCCCAGCCATGTCTTCTCAGAGCTCTGGGACCTCTCAGAGGCCTGGATGCAGGCCAACTACGATCCGCTTTCGGATTCTGACTCCATGACCTCCCAGGCAAAGCCAGAAGCACTCTCTTCACCAAAGTTCCGGGAGGAAGCTGCTTTCCCTGGACGCAGAGTGAATGCTAAGATGCCGGTGTACTCGGGCTCCAGGCCTGCCTGCCAGCTCCAGGTGCCGACGCTGCGCCAGCAGTGTGCCCAGGTGCTTAGAAACAATCCGGACGCCCTCAGCGACGTGGGAGAGGTCCCCTACTGGGTTCTTGAACCTGTTCTGGAAGGGTGGAGGCCCGATCAGCTGTATCGCAGAAAGAAAGACAATCACGCACTCGTTAGAGAGACAGACGAATTACGGAGGAATCATTGTTTCCAGGACTTCAAGGAAGAAAAGCCACAGGAAAACAAAACTTGGAGGGAGCAGTACCTGCGGCTTCCGGACGCCCCAGAGCAGCGGCTGAGAGTAATGACAACGAATATCCGATCTGCACGTGGAAACAACCCCAACGGCAGAGAGGCAAAGATGATCTGTTTCAAATCTGTGGCCAAGACGCCTTATGATACTTCAAGGAGGCAAGAGAAGTCTGCAGGAGACGCTGACCCCGAAAATGGGGAGATCAAGCCAGCCTCCAAGCCCGCGGGAAGCAGCCACACTCCCTCCAGCCAGAGCAGCAGCGGCGGTGGCAGAGACAGCAGCAGCAGCATCCTTCGCTGGCTCCCTGAGAAGCGGGCCAACCCCTGCCTGAGCAGCAGCAATGAGCACGCGGCGCCCGCGGCCAAAACCCGGAAACAGGCTGCCAAGAAAGTGGCCCCGCTGATGGCCAAGGCAATTCGAGACTACAAGAGAAGATTCTCCCGACGATAAACTCAGGACTTGCCTTGCAGATAAAATCTGGGGGGATTTTTGCATTGGCAAAGTCAATGCGGGTTGGGGAACGAAACTTCCAATGGACACCAGAACCTTTAACTTGGTGCAAAGTTGAGCCTTTGAATTCTGCAGGTGTCATGTGCTGGCCCTGTGATTTTGCCTCCCACACCCAGCCACTACCTCCCAGCTTGGAGAACACCTCAGAATTCAGAAGATATGAACGCATTGGGAACAATTCTATTTTGGATGTTCACTGATAATTTTTAAAAACACCCTAGTTGTAATCATAAATAAGGAAAAAGATGTGAGATTTCCTTTTTCCTTTCTTTTTTTTTTCGAAATCAAGTAGATAAGAACTTCTTAGACAAAAACACACAAGCCATTAGTTGACACTGATAACTCCGAATACATAAAATGTTTGCTGTTGCTGCCGTTGTTGTTGTTTTAATAAAAGGCTGAGCATGATCTTGTAATCGTGAGCCATCCTCCTTTGGGAGGTGGAGGAAAGCAGTTCGCTTGAGCCTAGTAGGTGAAGAACAGCCTGGGCAAAATAGGAAAACCCCGTCTCTGCAAAAGATATCAAAACTAGCCTGGCATGGTGGCACGGTCCATGTGGTCCCAGCTTCTTAAAGGGCTGAGGTGGCAGGATTGCCTGAGCTGGGCAAGTAGAGGTTGCAGTGACCCTTCATCATTCCACTGCACTTCAGGCTGGGTGACAGAACCTGAGCATGGCTCAAAGAAAACTGCTATTTCTTAGAAAAAAGGAACTATCGGATTTCATAAGTGAATGGTAATCACTGGTACATGCGTTAAGCCAAAATAGTTTCCCTAAGTAACACATAGAATCATTCCCAAACTTTTCACCCAGAACCCCTATGAAAGAATGGTGACACATTAATCAGCTTATTTAGGTTCTGAATCAAGAAGTCTAAAGAGGCCAATCAGATTTTCTAATTACCATGAAAGGACCGGGTTAACTACCTTGAGTTCAGATCACACGGACGTCTGCTAGCTTTCTTAAAACTTTTCATTATAAAGCAGGGCATTTGTTGGCCTCACACGGGCTGGTAATCAAAGGAACGTATGCCAGATATGATACACACACACACAGGAAAAAAGCCAGGATGGAGACAAAGGGATACTGCATTTCAGGAAGACAAGAAAGCATTCTTTCTGGGAAAAGGGATGTGACACTGCCAGTAACCATATAAAACTCAAAAAAGTCCAGGTGGGGAGGCTCAAGGCCCTACCTCAGCACTTTGGGAGGCCGAGGTGGGTGGATCACATAAGGTAAGGAGTTAAAGACCAGGACGACCAATATGAAAAAGATCCCATCTCTACTAAAATAATCCTCATTCTAGCTCTGAAGAATTGCCAGTATTACACTACGATTCTCCTGGAGAAGTAGCTGGAAGTCTGGAAACACAGCAAATTTACCTATTTTTCTACAAACTGTGGAAGGGTACTTATAAGAAAAGGCTTAACACCCGAATCCCCATTCCCCGATTCTCAGGGCATAATGATTTTCTTTCTGCAGAAGAAACACACCCCGCCCCCACCACAACACACACAAAAAGAAAGACAGAGAGACACAAAAAAAGTCACACGAGAAATTAAAAATTACGCGAAACTGCCAACGACAGCAGAAACAAAAGCCGAAAACATACATATTTCAAATGGATCTGTTTTCCTCATTCGGACTGAAAGGTAAGAGTGGAACTCCGCTGCCCAAACCGTGGCACCAATATCAGCTGCAGACCAGAGCAAGCCTTTCCGAGGAGATTTTAAACAACCGGTGGGAGCAAGATCCTGAAGCATTTCTTCCAAGATTGGTCACAGGAGATGAAACCTGGCTCTACCGGCAGGATCCTGAAGACCAAGCACGAAGCCATGGCTACCAAGAGGTGGCAGTGCTCCAGTCGAAGCTGCAGAGGAGCAGTCAAGAGCAGAGGTCATGGCCACCGTTGGGGGCGGGGGGGGGGGGGGGAGATGCTAGAGGGATTCTGCTGGTTGACTTTCTGCAGGGCCAAACCCTGATCACATCTGCTCGCTAGCAGAGCGTTTTCAGAAAGTTAGCCAAAGCTGGAGCGAAGAAGGTCCCCACCAGAGACTTCTTCTCCACCACGACAGTGTTCCTGATCATGCCTTTCTTCGAACAAGGGCAGCTGGGCAAGACTTGCCATGGGAAACCGTGAGGCGTCCACCTGACAATCCTGATTTGGCGCCTGCTGACTTCTCTTTGTTTCCTTGTCTTGGAAAACCTGTAAGGGGCACCCAGTTTTCTTCAGTTAACAATGGAAAAAAGATTGCATGGAAATAGTTAAATTCCCAGGACCCTGGGGGCTTTAAGGGATGGGCTAGACGGCGGGGAAAAGACACTGCTTCCAGAAGGGTCTTGATGCTGATGGAGCCGAGGTTGAGGAGTAAAATACGCCTTTTTCCTCTTTCTCCCTTAATCCCACTTTTCTACCAATGTTTCCAAGTCCCCTCACACAACGTCAATGCCAGGTAAAGAGTTGTCATCCTCTGTTGGTTCTTCTTCCTACGATTCTGTCTTGCGGTGTTGTTATTTTCGCTTTTACTCCCAAGAAGATTCTCTCTGTGTCTTTTGGAATCCACAGATGTGGAAGCTGGGTACATGGAGGGCCAACGGTAGAACTCAGTGGGGTGTGTCCAGGCTGCAATTAACCTAATGACCCCGCGGGGCACAGCAGTCCACCTGGCGTGGACCGCCCCGATTGGCTGCGTTGGGCTGACGGAATGAATTCCTATCGGGGCGGGGCAGCCCAGGGGCCCAGGGGGGTCAGGGCTTGAGCCCTGGGTGGGCCCGGGGCTGGCTATATAAGGCCGGGCTCTGGCAGCGGAGCTTCACTCCGCCTTGGACGGCGCACCGCACAGGTCACACTCCAGGCTGCGGCCGCACATCCCGAGGAACAGAAGCGGGCCTGCTCAGCTGTCTGCAAGGACCGGCGTTCCAGACCAAGTGGCCCGCTGCTCCGAGGACCCAGCTCGCTCCAGGCTGTGACTCCACATCCCGAGGTCGCCGCCTGGCGACCGGGCAGCGAGGACCGGCCACCCCAGACTGCCTGTGCCGCCGCCCCGAGCTCGGACAGAGCCGCGACCGCGAGGACAGCGACGCCTGCACAGCTCTGGCGAGATGGCGGCAGGGTCCACTACGCTGCGCGCAGTGGGGAAGCTGCAGGTGCGTCTGGCCACTAAGACGGAGCCGAAAAAGCTAGAGAAATATTTGCAGAAACTCTCCGCCTTGCCCATGACCGCAGACATCCTGGCGGAGACTGGAATCAGAAAGACGGTGAAGCGCCTGCGGAAGCACCAGCACGTGGGCGACTTTGCCAGAGACTTAGCGGCCCGGTGGAAGAAGCTGGTGCTCGTGGACCGAAACACCGGGCCTGACCCGCAGGACCCTGAGGAGAGCGCTTCCCGACAGCGCTTCGGGGAGGCTCTTCAGGAGCGGGAAAAGGCCTGGGGCTTCCCAGAAAACGCGACGGCCCCCAGGAGCCCATCTCACAGCCCTGAGCACAGACGGACAGCACGCAGAACACCTCCGGGGCAACAGAGACCTCACCCGAGGTCTCCCAGTCGCGAGCCCAGAGCCGAGAGAAAGCGCCCCAGAATGGCCCCAGCTGATTCCGGCCCCCATCGGGACCCTCCAACGCGCACCGCTCCCCTCCCGATGCCCGAGGGCCCTGAGCCCGCTGTGCCCGGGGAGCAACCCGGAAGAGGCCACGCTCACGCCGCTCAGGGCGGGCCTCTGCTGGGTCAAGGCTGCCAGGGCCAACCCCAGGGGGAAGCGGTGGGGAGCCACAGCAAGGGGCACAAATCGTCCCGCGGGGCTTCGGCTCAGAAATCGCCTCCTGTCCAGGAAAGCCAGTCAGAGAGGCTGCAGGCGGCCGGCGCTGATTCCGCCGGGCCGAAAACGGTGCCCAGCCATGTCTTCTCGGAGCTCTGGGACCCCTCAGAGGCCTGGATGCAGGCCAACTACGATCTGCTGTCCGCTTTTGAGGCCATGACCTCCCAGGCAAACCCAGAAGCACTCTCCGCGCCAGCGCTCCAGGAGGAAGCTGCTTTCCCTGGACGCAGAGTGAACGCTAAGATGCCGGTGTACTCGGGCTCCAGGCCTGCCTGCCAGCTCCAGGTGCCGACGCTGCGCCAGCAGTGCCTCCGGGTGCCTAGGAACAATCCGGACGCCCTCGGCGACGTGGAAGGGGTCCCCTACTCGGTTCTTGAACCCGTTCTGGAAGGGTGGACGCCCGATCAGCTGTACCGCACAGAGAAAGACAATGCCGCACTCGCTCGAGAGACAGATGAATTATGGAGGATTCATTGCCTCCAGGACTTCAAGGAAGAAAAGCCACAGGAGCACGAGTCTTGGCGGGAGCTGTACCTGCGGCTTCGGGACGCCCGAGAGCAGCGGCTGCGAGTAGTGACCACGAAAATCCGATCCGCACGTGAAAACAAACCCAGCGGCCGACAGACAAAGATGATCTGTTTCAACTCTGTGGCCAAGACGCCTTATGATGCTTCCAGGAGGCAAGAGAAGTCTGCAGGAGCCGCTGACCCCGGAAATGGAGAGATGGAGCCAGCCCCCAAGCCCGCAGGAAGCAGCCAGGCTCCCTCCGGCCTCGGGGACGGCGACGGCGGCAGCGTGAGCGGCGGCGGCAGCAGCAACCGGCACGCGGCGCCCGCGGACAAAACCCGAAAACAGGCTGCCAAGAAAGTGGCCCCGCTGATGGCCAAGGCAATTCGAGACTACAAGGGAAGATTCTCCCGACGATAAACTCAGGACTTGCCTTACGGATAAAATCCGGGGGGAGGAGGGCCAATGCAAAGTCAATGCGGGTTGGGGAACGAAACTTGCGACGGACACCAGAACCCTTGGCTTGGTGCAAAGTTGAGCCTCCGAATCCTGCAGGTGTCAAGTGCTGGCCCTGTGATTTTTGCCTCCCACACCCAGCCACTGCCTCCCTGCTTGGAGGACACCTCAGAATTCAGAAGATATTATGAACGCATTCGGATCAATTCTACTTTGGTGGTTCACTGATCGTCTTTTAAATAACGCCCTAGTTGCAATCATAAATCAGGTACAAGATGTGAGATTCCCTTTTGTCTTTTCTCCTTTCTTTTGAAATCATCCAGTGCATAAGGAAGGACTTCTTAGACACAAACTCTCAATCCACCAGTTGACACTGATAACTCCGACTACGCAAAATGTTTTGTTGCTGTTGGTGTTTTCTTTCGGGGAAAAGGCCGGGCATGATCCTGTAATCGTCGGCCATCCTCCTCTGGGAGGCCGAGGAAAGCAGATCGCTGCAGCCCAGGAGGTGGAGAACAGGCTGGGCCAAACGGAGAAACCCCGTCTCCACAAAAGATACCAAAATGAGCCCGGCGTGGTGGCACGGCCCCTGTGGTCCCAGCTTCTTAGAGGGCTGAGGTGGCAGGATCGCCTGAGCTGGGCAAGCGGAGGCTGCAGTGACCCTTCCTCATTCCACTGCACTCCAGCCTGGGTGACACAAGCGGAGCACATCTCAAAGAAACCTGCTGTTTATCTGAAGAAAGGAACTCCTGGATTTCATACATAAATGCTAACAACTGCTACGTTCCTTAAGTCAAAATACTTTTACTAAGCACGGCAAAGAATCAATCCCAATCTTTTCAGCCAGAACCCCTGTGAAAGAATGGCGACACCTCAATCAGCTTCTTTAGGTTCTCGATCAGGAAGTCTAAACCTGCCAAGCAGAGTTTCTAATTACCATGAGATGACCGGGTTAACTACCTTGAGTTCACCTCCTACGAGCTCCTGCAAGCTTTGGTGAAAGTTTGCATTCTAACTCAGGGCATTTGTTGGCTTCACGCGGGCTGGTAATCACAGGTCCGTGTGCCAGATACGACACACACACATACACACAAAGAAAGACACGCACACACACACGCACACGCACACATGAGCACGCACACGGACGCGCGCGCGCACACACACACACACACCATTAAGTAAACTTGGTTCTTAGGCGTTACCGACAGTGAGGGATAGAGAGAGAAATAGAAAGACCTAAGCCGCAAGGCAAAACCCAGCAAGGGCAGCAGAAGAGATCAAAGTCCTGTGCCCTTGGCTGTCAGCAGAGTGGGTGCTGGGAAGCTTCTGGAAGCAGGCACCTGAGTGGATGCCGGTGCACGTGAAAAGAGGCCTTCAAGCCTGAAGAACACGTAAGGAGCCAGAACAGGGTGCCACAGAGATACTACCCTTAAGGAAGACAGAAAAGCATTCGTGCCGGGGAAGGGGACATAATCCAATCAGCGACCCTGTGAAACTCAGACATGTCCGGGCACGGTGACTCACGCCTCTATTCCCATCGCTTTGGGAGGTCGAGGCCGGCGGACCCCCTGACGTCCGGAGTTGCAGACCAGCCTGACCAACATGAGGAAATCCCGTCTCTTCTAAAAAGACGAAACTCGGTTGGGCTTGCTGGCGAGCGCCTGTAATCCCAGCTACTCAGGGGGCTGAGACGGGAGAATCGCTTGAACCCGGGAGGCCGAGTTTGCAGTGAGCCCAGATGCCACCATTGCACTCCAGCCTGGACAACAAAAGCCAAACTCCGTCTCAAATTAAAAAAACAAAACCTCAGAAAAGCTTCCCCAGCGAGGGCCAGAGACAACGCCGGTCTCTATTTCTTGACAGCAATTCAAGAGAGAATCTCGGGTGGCTTGCAAAACTCACAAGAGAGCAGAATATCCTCCCCGAGGCAGAGAAGCCACACGCTCTTTCTGGAGGTGGAGTAGCCACCGATCACCGTGCAGCCCCTCCCCACTCCCAGCCAGAAACCCCAGCCCCTCGGAACCAAATCCACTGGCAACAACCTTTCTTCCTGGAAAACCTTTCCCCTGCCAAAATGGAAAACAAACATGACACAAGCAAACGCATCTCAAAACACAAACACAAGGAAACAATCCGAGCAAGCTCTAGCCCCTCATAGCTCATCGATGCCCCCACTGGCATGCTACTGAAAACAGCGGCTGCACCCATTAAACTCATTCATTACTGGAGAACGAGACAAACCTTAGCAGATCCCTGCTCCCACAGCGACAATCCCGCTCGAAAACACAGAAAGGAAACAACCCCCGCACAAAATATAAATCTACCCCAGATAGAATTCAGCATCAACCTAAGGATCCTGCTGTAACATTACTACACTGACCCAGGACAGCTCAATTCTCTTCCCACCTATTTACAAGATAAACCTCATTCAGGGAGCTCTGGAGGCATCGCCAGTATTGCACTACGATCCTCTTCGTGAGGCAGCTGGAAGTCTGGAAACACAGCAAATTTACTTATTTCTCTGCACAACACGGAGGGTAATTCTCAGAAAAGGCTTAACACCCGAATCCCCATTCCCCGATTCTCAGGCTATAACGATTATCTTTCTGCAGAAGAGACACACACACACACACACACACACACACACACACACACACACACACTGAGAGAGAGAGAGAGAAAGTCATGTGAGAATGTAAACATTACGCGAAATCGCCGCCGACAGCAGAAACAATAGCCGACACCATAGACACTTCAAATGGTTCTGTTTTCCTCATTTGGACTGAAAGGTGAGAGTGGAACTCGGCTGCCCAAACCGTGGCACCAATATCAGCTGCAGGCCAGAGCAAGCCTTTCCGAGGAGATTTTAAACAACCGGTGGGAGCAAGATCCTGAAGCATTTCTTCCAAGATTGGTCACAGGAGATGAAACCTGGCTCTACCGGCAGGATCCTGAAGACCAAGCACGAAGCCATGGCTACCAAGAGGTGGCAGTGCTCCAGTCGAAGCTGCAGAGGAGCAGTCAAGAGCAGAGGTCATGGCCACCGTTGGGGGCGGGGTGGGGGGGGGAGATGCTAGAGGGATTCTGCTGGTTGACTTTCTGCAGGGCCAAACCCTGATCACATCTGCTCGCTAGCAGAGCGTTTTCAGAAAGTTAGCCAAAGCTGGAGCGAAGAAGGTCCCCACCAGAGACTTCTTCTCCACCACGACAGTGTTCCTGATCATGCCTTTCTTCGAACAAGGGCAGCTGGGCAAGACTTGCCATGGGAAACCGTGAGGCGTCCACCTGACAATCCTGATTTGGCGCCTGCTGACTTCTCTTTGTTTCCTTGTCTTGGAAAACCTGTAAGGGGCACCCAGTTTTCTTCAGTTAACAATGGAAAAAAGATTGCATGGAAATAGTTAAATTCCCAGGACCCTGGGGGCTTTAAGGGATGGGCTAGACGGCGGGGAAAAGACACTGCTTCCAGAAGGGTCTTGATGCTGATGGAGCCGAGGTTGAGGAGTAAAATACGCCTTTTTCCTCTTTCTCCCTTAATCCCACTTTTCTACCAATGTTTCCAAGTCCCCTCACACAACGTCAATGCCAGGTAAAGAGTTGTCATCCTCTGTTGGTTCTTCTTCCTACGATTCTGTCTTGCGGTGTTGTTATTTTCGCTTTTACTCCCAAGAAGATTCTCTCTGTGTCTTTTGGAATCCACAGATGTGGAAGCTGGGTACATGGAGGGCCAACGGTAGAACTCAGTGGGGTGTGTCCAGGCTGCAATTAACCTAATGACCCCGCGGGGCACAGCAGTCCACCTGGCGTGGACCGCCCCGATTGGCTGCGTTGGGCTGACGGAATGAATTCCTATCGGGGCGGGGCAGCCCAGGGGCCCAGGGGGGTCAGGGCTTGAGCCCTGGGTGGGCCCGGGGCTGGCTATATAAGGCCGGGCTCTGGCAGCGGAGCTTCACTCCGCCTTGGACGGCGCACCGCACAGGTCACACTCCAGGCTGCGGCCGCACATCCCGAGGAACAGAAGCGGGCCTGCTCAGCTGTCTGCAAGGACCGGCGTTCCAGACCAAGTGGCCCGCTGCTCCGAGGACCCAGCTCGCTCCAGGCTGTGACTCCACATCCCGAGGTCGCCGCCTGGCGACCGGGCAGCGAGGACCGGCCACCCCAGACTGCCTGTGCCGCCGCCCCGAGCTCGGACAGAGCCGCGACCGCGAGGACAGCGACGCCTGCACAGCTCTGGCGAGATGGCGGCAGGGTCCACTACGCTGCGCGCAGTGGGGAAGCTGCAGGTGCGTCTGGCCACTAAGACGGAGCCGAAAAAGCTAGAGAAATATTTGCAGAAACTCTCCGCCTTGCCCATGACCGCAGACATCCTGGCGGAGACTGGAATCAGAAAGACGGTGAAGCGCCTGCGGAAGCACCAGCACGTGGGCGACTTTGCCAGAGACTTAGCGGCCCGGTGGAAGAAGCTGGTGCTCGTGGACCGAAACACCGGGCCTGACCCGCAGGACCCTGAGGAGAGCGCTTCCCGACAGCGCTTCGGGGAGGCTCTTCAGGAGCGGGAAAAGGCCTGGGGCTTCCCAGAAAACGCGACGGCCCCCAGGAGCCCATCTCACAGCCCTGAGCACAGACGGACAGCACGCAGAACACCTCCGGGGCAACAGAGACCTCACCCGAGGTCTCCCAGTCGCGAGCCCAGAGCCGAGAGAAAGCGCCCCAGAATGGCCCCAGCTGATTCCGGCCCCCATCGGGACCCTCCAACGCGCACCGCTCCCCTCCCGATGCCCGAGGGCCCTGAGCCCGCTGTGCCCGGGGAGCAACCCGGAAGAGGCCACGCTCACGCCGCTCAGGGCGGGCCTCTGCTGGGTCAAGGCTGCCAGGGCCAACCCCAGGGGGAAGCGGTGGGGAGCCACAGCAAGGGGCACAAATCGTCCCGCGGGGCTTCGGCTCAGAAATCGCCTCCTGTCCAGGAAAGCCAGTCAGAGAGGCTGCAGGCGGCCGGCGCTGATTCCGCCGGGCCGAAAACGGTGCCCAGCCATGTCTTCTCGGAGCTCTGGGACCCCTCAGAGGCCTGGATGCAGGCCAACTACGATCTGCTGTCCGCTTTTGAGGCCATGACCTCCCAGGCAAACCCAGAAGCACTCTGCGCGCCAGCGCTCCAGGAGGAAGCTGCTTTCCCTGGACGCAGAGTGAACGCTAAGATGCCGGTGTACTCGGGCTCCAGGCCTGCCTGCCAGCTCCAGGTGCCGACGCTGCGCCAGCAGTGCCTCCGGGTGCCTAGGAACAATCCGGACGCCCTCGGCGACGTGGAAGGGGTCCCCTACTCGGTTCTTGAACCCGTTCTGGAAGGGTGGACGCCCGATCAGCTGTACCGCACAGAGAAAGACAATGCCGCACTCGCTCGAGAGACAGATGAATTATGGAGGATTCATTGCCTCCAGGACTTCAAGGAAGAAAAGCCACAGGAGCACGAGTCTTGGCGGGAGCTGTACCTGCGGCTTCGGGACGCCCGAGAGCAGCGGCTGCGAGTAGTGACCACGAAAATCCGATCCGCACGTGAAAACAAACCCAGCGGCCGACAGACAAAGATGATCTGTTTCAACTCTGTGGCCAAGACGCCTTATGATGCTTCCAGGAGGCAAGAGAAGTCTGCAGGAGCCGCTGACCCCGGAAATGGAGAGATGGAGCCAGCCCCCAAGCCCGCAGGAAGCAGCCAGGCTCCCTCCGGCCTCGGGGACGGCGACGGCGGCAGCGTGAGCGGCGGCGGCAGCAGCAACCGGCACGCGGCGCCCGCGGACAAAACCCGAAAACAGGCTGCCAAGAAAGTGGCCCCGCTGATGGCCAAGGCAATTCGAGACTACAAGGGAAGATTCTCCCGACGATAAACTCAGGACTTGCCTTACGGATAAAATCCGGGGGGAGGAGGGCCAATGCAAAGTCAATGCGGGTTGGGGAACGAAACTTGCGACGGACACCAGAACCCTTGGCTTGGTGCAAAGTTGAGCCTCCGAATCCTGCAGGTGTCAAGTGCTGGCCCTGTGATTTTTGCCTCCCACACCCAGCCACTGCCTCCCTGCTTGGAGGACACCTCAGAATTCAGAAGATATTATGAACGCATTCGGATCAATTCTACTTTGGTGGTTCACTGATCGTCTTTTAAATAACGCCCTAGTTGCAATCATAAATCAGGTACAAGATGTGAGATTCCCTTTTGTCTTTTCTCCTTTCTTTTGAAATCATCCAGTGCATAAGGAAGGACTTCTTAGACACAAACTCTCAATCCACCAGTTGACACTGATAACTCCGACTACGCAAAATGTTTTGTTGCTGTTGGTGTTTTCTTTCGGGGAAAAGGCCGGGCATGATCCTGTAATCGTCGGCCATCCTCCTCTGGGAGGCCGAGGAAAGCAGATCGCTGCAGCCCAGGAGGTGGAGAACAGGCTGGGCCAAACGGAGAAACCCCGTCTCCACAAAAGATACCAAAATGAGCCCGGCGTGGTGGCACGGCCCCTGTGGTCCCAGCTTCTTAGAGGGCTGAGGTGGCAGGATCGCCTGAGCTGGGCAAGCGGAGGCTGCAGTGACCCTTCCTCATTCCACTGCACTCCAGCCTGGGTGACACAAGCGGAGCACATCTCAAAGAAACCTGCTGTTTATCTGAAGAAAGGAACTCCTGGATTTCATACATAAATGCTAACAACTGCTACGTTCCTTAAGTCAAAATACTTTTACTAAGCACGGCAAAGAATCAATCCCAATCTTTTCAGCCAGAACCCCTGTGAAAGAATGGCGACACCTCAATCAGCTTCTTTAGGTTCTCGATCAGGAAGTCTAAACCTGCCAAGCAGAGTTTCTAATTACCATGAGATGACCGGGTTAACTACCTTGAGTTCACCTCCTACGAGCTCCTGCAAGCTTTGGTGAAAGTTTGCATTCTAACTCAGGGCATTTGTTGGCTTCACGCGGGCTGGTAATCACAGGTCCGTGTGCCAGATACGACACACACACATACACACAAAGAAAGACACGCACACACACACGCACACGCACACATGAGCACGCACACGGACGCGCGCGCGCACACACACACACACACCATTAAGTAAACTTGGTTCTTAGGCGTTACCGACAGTGAGGGATAGAGAGAGAAATAGAAAGACCTAAGCCGCAAGGCAAAACCCAGCAAGGGCAGCAGAAGAGATCAAAGTCCTGTGCCCTTGGCTGTCAGCAGAGTGGGTGCTGGGAAGCTTCTGGAAGCAGGCACCTGAGTGGATGCCGGTGCACGTGAAAAGAGGCCTTCAAGCCTGAAGAACACGTAAGGAGCCAGAACAGGGTGCCACAGAGATACTACCCTTAAGGAAGACAGAAAAGCATTCGTGCCGGGGAAGGGGACATAATCCAATCAGCGACCCTGTGAAACTCAGACATGTCCGGGCACGGTGACTCACGCCTCTATTCCCATCGCTTTGGGAGGTCGAGGCCGGCGGACCCCCTGACGTCCGGAGTTGCAGACCAGCCTGACCAACATGAGGAAATCCCGTCTCTTCTAAAAAGACGAAACTCGGTTGGGCTTGCTGGCGAGCGCCTGTAATCCCAGCTACTCAGGGGGCTGAGACGGGAGAATCGCTTGAACCCGGGAGGCCGAGTTTGCAGTGAGCCCAGATGCCACCATTGCACTCCAGCCTGGACAACAAAAGCCAAACTCCGTCTCAAATTAAAAAAACAAAACCTCAGAAAAGCTTCCCCAGCGAGGGCCAGAGACAACGCCGGTCTCTATTTCTTGACAGCAATTCAAGAGAGAATCTCGGGTGGCTTGCAAAACTCACAAGAGAGCAGAATATCCTCCCCGAGGCAGAGAAGCCACACGCTCTTTCTGGAGGTGGAGTAGCCACCGATCACCGTGCAGCCCCTCCCCACTCCCAGCCAGAAACCCCAGCCCCTCGGAACCAAATCCACTGGCAACAACCTTTCTTCCTGGAAAACCTTTCCCCTGCCAAAATGGAAAACAAACATGACACAAGCAAACGCATCTCAAAACACAAACACAAGGAAACAATCCGAGCAAGCTCTAGCCCCTCATAGCTCATCGATGCCCCCACTGGCATGCTACTGAAAACAGCGGCTGCACCCATTAAACTCATTCATTACTGGAGAACGAGACAAACCTTAGCAGATCCCTGCTCCCACAGCGACAATCCCGCTCGAAAACACAGAAAGGAAACAACCCCCGCACAAAATATAAATCTACCCCAGATAGAATTC